>NC_000023.11:147808939-148111969 GCF_000001405.40 Homo sapiens
GTAACACTATCTAGTGGAATTGACAAAGCAGGCTCCCAAAACAATAAATCTTCAGTTGCCTCTAGAGAACAGCCACAGTTTTATGCTCCACTGGAATACATATATGTATATCTTCCTGACATTGACTATTTGTTAACAAAAAAAAAATCCCTAATCAGTCTGGAGCTTCTGAGTATTAGTGGAGAGATGGAATCCCAATTTTCAGTAAAAAGCAAATGGAGTTTAATAGTGGTGTCTCTCTCTGTCTCTCCATCTCTCTCTCTCCCCCCATTTTTAGAAAAAATCTATTTATATTACTTGTCAAAATATAAACTTCCTTGCATAAAACATGGTTGCCAAAGTCTAAAATTTGTTTTCCAATATCAAAAGTTTTGATTCAAACAGCCTAAAATATGAGATGACAACATTGGGAACACAATTGATTAATTGATTTTAAAATTTGGCAACAAAGCAGCAAAATCTTAGAAGCTCTAAAGATCTTTACAATGGACCTTTAGAAGTTATCTGATTCAACTCATATGGTGACTGGATTCCAACTACTTTATCCCAAACTTGGGGTCAGCTTGCTTCCTCATGAGCAACACTCCAGTAATGGGGAAAGCAGTACACTCTGGGACAACCCAGTTGATTAGTGGCAAATGCAGATTGTCATAAAGTTCTTAATTAAACTCAATTACAAAATCAGAACAGTATTATAAGTAGAAAATGTTGCACAAGGGAAACAATAAAGATGTTTATTACAATTCGAAATACATAAATTCCCAAACTTTCTCTAAATGATAATGTTTTTTTTTTACTATTACCAAAAGAAATCTATGGTGATAATATTATTCAAAGTTTTGAGCTACATGGAAAGTGAATATGATAACAGAAAATGTCAAGCGGTTCTAGTTAAATACACTAAGATTAAACGGTGATATGGTCTGGCTCTGCGGCCCCACCAAAATCTCATCTTGAATTGTAACCCTAATTGTAATCCTCACATGTTGGGGGAGGGACCTGGTGGGAGGTGACTGGATCATGGGGGTGGTTCTCATGATAGTGTATGAGTTCTCATGAGATCTGATGGCTTTGTAAGGGACTCTTCCCCCTTTGCTCTGCACTTCTCTCCCCTGCTGCCTTGTGAAGAAAAACATGTTGCTTCCCCTTCCACCATGATTGTAAGTTTCCTGAGGCTTCCTCAGCCAGGCAGAACTGTGAGTCAATGAAACCTCTTTCCTTTTAAATTACCCAGTCTCGGGCAGTTATTTATAGTAAGGTGAGAATGGACTAATACAAATGGGATGGTGTCTCTGAATTCACTACAGAAGAAGACACAAAACTCCTCTGGTTAACAACAGCCTTACTATTTAGTCCCTTGACTTTAACCCCTTCTACATCTTCTAGAAATTTCCCTGCCAATTATCCCATCATTCATTTGTTCAACCCATATTTGTTGAATACCTAAATATGTGCTAGGCATGCTTGTAGTCACCAATGATGTATCAGTGAACAAAACAGACTTTCTAGTGGTATTTTAATCTCATTCTTTTTCACCTGTTGACTCCACATCTGTATCTAGCTTCCACCTGACCTGCTTTTCTTTGAAATCTCAAGAGTTCTTCACACTCACTGCCTCCAAGTCTTCACTTTTCATTTATTCCCCAACCCACTCCTGTCTGCGTATATACTCACTCTTCCTCTTAAACTGCTCTTCCTCCCTCTGTTCACCAATGATTTCATAATTTCCAAACCTAACAGACTTGATCTCTCAACTGCATTTGATGCTGTTCATGGCTTCCCACTTTTTAAAACCCTTAACTCCCTTGCTTTCATGACACGCATCTCTGCTGGTTCTCTTTTTTAAAATCTCCTTTTCCTCTGCCTACTCCTTAAATGTTGATAAATCTCAAGGTTTAACTCTTAGCCAAATGCTCTTCTCACTTTCCACATATTTTCAGGATGATCTCATCCCCTCTTTTGCATTTAACTACTAGGTCAGACCTTTCCTATCTTCAAACCCATTTGCCCAACTGTCTGCTGGACCTCTCTACCTGGATGTCTCACAGGCACTCTCATTACAAATATTCATAATATTCCCCCTAAAAGGTCCCCTCTTTGTTTTCCCAATTTTCATGAATACCGTCACTATTCACCTACATACTCACAGTACAGACTAAGTCTTTGCCTAGGACCGTCCCATTCTTTCAACTTCCAACTCTAACTAGTCAAGTACTAGTGATTTTGCCTTTGAAATTATTCCACAATCTGCACACTCTTCTCAATCCCTGGTACCACTGTTTATTTCATGCCCTCGCCATTGCTTACATGTACTGCTACTGTCCCCTTGTTAGCGTCAATAACCTCTAGCCAAGGACTCCAGAAACGCATCTATAGTTAAACAAGTTGGGTTTATTACTCATTGCAGTGAGGGAGAGCACACACCGTGGAGAAGCATAGGTTATCTTAGTAAGAAGAAGTTAAAAGAACCAGTTATAAGATTTGGGCTTTAGTTGGTCTAAGGAGCAAGACCTCACCTTGGATTGGATACTATCAAGAAATGGGAGCAATTTTATCATTGGGTATCTCAATAAATCTTATCTATATGGAGGACATACTAGAGCAGTGATAAATCTGTAATTGGTAAAGAAGTAACAATCACTCATTTCAGCAGAGAGAGGAAGATATTTGATATATTGTGGGGGGCAGAGTGACCTTGGTTTTGTCTGTGCTGAGACAAAATATGAAGTGGTCTTGTTTTGTTTCACTATATCATGGCCTCAGAGTAACTGTGTGGGGTGTTGGGGTTCTGTGGGGTTTTAAAATGTCCAACAGGAGAATAACATGGCCTAGCTGTGAGTGCTAAGCCAGTTTCTAGATATCAGGGGTTGCGTTTTAATTTTTTTTCTATCTCATTGGTATCTCTGTTTTAATTCTTGTCCTTTTCTGATTCACCTTCCACACTTCAGCCAAGAGAACCCCAGCTAAACCACAAATGATTTTATCATGTCAAAATTTTTTCATGAAGTCTCTGCTTAACCCCTCGTCCAGGTGCAACCCCTGCTTCCTTTGAAAGAGCATGTTGTCACTGCCATCCTGAAGGCACATATATTTTGCTTTGTTACATTGTGATTATGTTTGACTCAGTGCACTCCTTCTAAGTTCTCAATATGATGAAAGACATCTGTCAGTTACTGCCTGAAAGTCACACCAGTTTGGTTGAGATCATGAGAATGCAGGCTATAGTTGTACCACTTATAAATCACCATAAATTTTAAAGACTGATGTATTCAGATCAAAGACCAGTAGATGGTGTTAAATCATCATCAAAGGCATTTTTGCTTATTAAGTGCACATTTCACATGATGCTAAGAGAAAAATTAATCAGATTGAGCCAGAAAACTCATCTCTATCTTCTGGAAATCCACAGCATATTCAAGGATAAGAAATCTAGACCAAGACACACATATTACGAGTAGGAATTCAGCAAATAAAATATTAAAATTATGCATTATGTTATGTTCACACTGAGGAAATAATGAGTAAAGAGTAGTGGCAGGGAAATTAAAAAATACAAGCCTTTTGTATCGGAGGACAAGTAACCATCAACCTACCTTTTTTCTTTTAAGGAGTGATGAGACCTTTGTTAACATCCAGCAGACAGGCCAGTGTTTGGGACCAACAGGCCAATGGTCCAGTGTTCAGGCAGGCAACAAGGGAAATGTGGGCAGGTGAGCATGGGCCAGGCAGGTAGGCAGCCAGCAAGCAAGAGAGGTGCAGCTGGAGGCTTCCCTGTGAGAGCTGAGGAATCCCTTCAGAACTCCATGTCCACCATGTGGGAAAATGGCCTGCCTGAGTCAGGCTGGCCTTTTTTTGTAACTGGATATCATATAATGCAAATATAGAAGAGGATCACGAGTTTGTGGATCCACTCCTTCCAGACTAAGGAAGAATTGTTGTTTGATGGCATCCTCTGCAGTTGATCCTCAAACTGCAGCAGCTTGGTGAGGAGGTTGGCCTTGTCACTGTCAAATTGGAGTGAACAGCTCAAAAAGGCCCTGGATCACAGAAATTTCAGAAGACAGTATCAAAGAAAATGATCAAATGGTAGAAAATAGATTCAATTGGATTCAATAAATATAGATCCTCTATCGTGTCCATGGCACTGTATTATGTTCTAAAAAAAATGTAATAAGAAAGGCAAAGTTCTGGTCCTCCAGGAGTTTACAATCTACTAGAAGGAGTATGACAAGCACACCAACAGCCGCCAGACAAAGTTTGATACAATGCATGTCAGCTAAGAGGTAAGGGCGAAATCTTGTAGGAATTTGAAAGGAAGAGAAAGTACATCCAGTTGGGGAAGTTAGAAGAAAGATTTTTAGGAAAGCATTCTTTTTAAACTAAGCTTTAGAACAATTCCAGTATCCAATACAGTTCTGAAACTCAGGAAGAAAGTTTTATTTAGTTTTTAAGTCACAGTCATAGGATGGAAAAAACCTCATCTCAGGGGAAAACAGATTAGTATAGAGGATTAAACCCTGAAGAACATCTACACGTAAGTGGTGGGCAGGGGAAAAAAGAGCCATTGAATGAGACTAACGAGAAATGTTAAGCAAAGTAGAAGGATATCTGCCATCATGGATGTCAAAGAAGGAGAAAATTTCAAGCTGCATGAAGGTTTAGAGAAATGGAGACTGAAAAGAGGCCACTAGATTTGGTAACCAGGAGGTCCATGATAACCTTGGTGAGTGCTTCACTGAAGTGAATTGACAAGTGAATAGAACATGGATACAGTGAATAGATTTCTCTTTGAAAAGAAAGAGCAGCTTGAAAGAGAGAGAAGGTTGAGTAAAGAGTTCATTTTTATGCTCATAGTTGTAAGATTAGGAGAGAAAGAAGATCATTGCCAGGGAAATATGCCAACGAGGCAGGAAGAGATGGAATTCAAATGATACTTGGATAAGATAACCTCAGAGAGAAGGAAGAACAGACATTATAAGAATGTAGGGATATAAGTAAGTGTAGAAAAAGCAAGAGAGTGAAATAGGGGAAGCTCATCCCTAATCGTCTCTATTGTCTCTAATCTCTATGATACAAAGGGATCAGGAATCAGCATAACTCTGGGGTCCATAAATCTTGGATTCTAGCCCAAGTTTAACCAGTTGTTACCTCCATGACCTTGAGTATATTATTTACTCTCTGAGTATATTAGTTAGGGTTCTCCAAAGAGACAAAATCAATAAGAGATCTATCTATTTATCTCTAGAGAGAGAGAGAGAGAGAGAAGAGGAGGTTTATCAGGGGAATTGGCTCATGTGATTATGGAGGCTGAGAAGTCTCGGAACAGGCCATCTGCAAGCTGAAGACCCTGGGGTGCTGGTAGTCGTCTCAGTGCAAGTGCAAAGTCCTCAGAATCAGGGAAGCCAATGGTATACCTCTCAGTCCAAAGTCAAACCTGGGGGACCACTCGTGTAAGTCCTGGAGTTCAAAGGCTAGGCAGACTGGAGTTGTTGTCCAAGGACAGGAGAGGAAGAGTGTATCCCCATTCCCACAGGAAGATCAACACATTCACCTTTTCTGTTTTTGTTGTCTCCATGCCCCCAGCAGAGAGGACAGTACCCACTCACATTGAGAGCAGAGCTTCCCTATCTAGTTCACTCAGACTCACAGGCTAATCTCCTCTGAAAACGTGCTGGTAGAGACCCCCAAAAATAATGATTTACCAGGTTCCTAGGTATTCCTTAATCCAGTTAAGTTGACACCTAAAACAATTGAGAAAACAATTATTTCCTTGCAGCAATGTTTCCATAATAATGATGTAAAGGAAATTGCAGAGGGCCTGGCATATAGTACATATATAATAAATGATAGCTATTATTACTATCATTATTTGCAGCATAAGAACAAAAAAAATTTAATTTTAATTTTCTAGTACATAAAATGGGGAGAATAATAGCTATCACACAGGTTTCCTGGGAAAATAATGATTTGTGTGAAACTCAAGTCAGTCTTCTCCCTTGCAAGGATCACCTTCTTCTAGTATATACTGAAAGAGGGATTCTCTCACATCTGCTTCTGAATTTCCCACCTTGCAGCAGCTCTTTCCTGCCAAACCATGGGCCATTTCTTTTTTAGATGTTCACTACCTCTAGAAATGCTTGGATACTGTCACCCACTATATACCATGTTGCTCCCTACAAATGGGTATCATCGGGGGGTCAATGTGTGGTAATTCACATTTCTTTTTACCACTCTATTCCTTTACTCCTCATATCTCCACCACCCAAGGTAGTGGAGGTGAGTCTTTACTGAGGAGTTGAGAGTAACTAAAGAGAATTCCAACATGGAAGGGTAAAGATCTAAAACTATGCTCTTCATATGACTGTTTCCATAGCCCAAGAGACAAGCACTACAAATAATTAGCTTCTTCAAAGAGTTCCCATTTTAAGTATTTCCAGCTCCTAGCCTTCCTACTTGCTCCATGGACCCATCCTCCTGGACCTTCAGCACCACGGTCTGGGTGGCCTTTTGTTCTCCAAACTTGGTCCCTCCAATCCCCACCAAGATCTTCCTGCCCATGAAAAAATTAGAATGAGGAATCATTCTGGACATCCAGAAGATAAAAGAAAACCAAATACACACTACTCACCTCTCCAATCCCCAAAAACCCACATGCTACACTCATCATATTCAATTATTTGAAGTTGCTCTATATGTACGTGTATGTATGCATGCATACCTATCCTGCCTAATTTCTTGCCTTTAACCTCATCTTTACACCTGTGTTTACATTTGCCTTTCTGGCTCCTCTCCATATGATACTTCAACCACACTGAATTATTTAAAGGACTTCAATATAATATATTTCCTATTGCTTCCAAGACTTTTTAAAATGTGGTCCTTTCACACAGAATCCTGATTAGAAAGAGTTCAAGGGGGAAGAGAGGGAAAAGCCGTAGGGAAGCCAACACTGCCATATATTGCTAGTAGGATACATAATAGGACAACTTCTATAAAGGGCTATCTCTGCCATATTTCAGTATTTCAGTACTCAGTACTGTATCAGTTATAACCCTATGTGTGTGTGTGCGTGTGTGTGTGTGTGTGTATGCATACCCAAGACTTACCTTATACAGGTATGCCTTGTTTTATTGCACTTTGCAAATACTGCATTTTTTTCAAATTGAAGGTTTGTGGAAACCTTTTTTTTGAGCAATTCTGTAGTGCCATTTTTTTCAACGGCATGTACTCACTTCATGTCTCTGTGTCAGCATTTTTTAGCAATAAAGTATTTTTAAACTAAGGTGTGTACATTTTTTAGACATAATGCTATTGTACCCCTAATTAACTATAGTATAGTGTAAACACAACATTTATATGCACTAGAAAACCAAAAATGTGTGTGACTCACTTTATTGCAATATTTGCTTTATTTTGTTGGCCTGGAAGTGAGCCCACAATATCTTCAAGGTATGCCTGTACATATATATACATATTCATATATATGTGTGAGTGTGTGTATATATATGAACATACTATACACAGACAATCTAGATCCAATCTGAGTAAGAAAAAAATTTTCCTAAATGAAACATATTCTGCATGGATCTCTGCCCACAACAGAAGAAGGCCATGTGAGACCTAAGACGGGGAGAAGGGGAGCAATTAGACTTATTATCCACCTAGCAATGGTTCCACAAACATCCTGCATAAGCTTTGCAATTACCAGTTTCCTGTACATTTATAGATGCTATCAAGCCATTTACTCTAAATTGAAGAGGAATAAAACAAGGATTTATCTTCCTGACGAAATATACTCCTCCAATTATATATATTTTAGCACCAGGCACACAGTAGACATGTAATAAATAGTAGCTATTATTGAATTGCCTTGATTGTGTCACTCATAATTCAGAAATATGAGATTTAACCTTTCTAATAGTCCTGCATTTCCTGAACCTAATTCTCTTAACAAAGACATTAGCCTCATAGACATCACCATAATTTTTTTCCTTTCTAAAACTTGTTTTATTCATAGAGTTTTTGGAGCTTGTGAATACAAGGCTACACTCATCACAGACTGTCAAGTAGTCCCCTCTATAACAGTTCTCTTTATGGTAAGATTTTTTAAAAGTGAGTTGTTAAATGTCACACACACTCAGCTACGTTAAGAGCAGATGTGATTAGGTCACGGCAAAACAAGCAGAAACCCTGACATTTAACCCTGTGGGTGAAACTTTTACAAATAGAGTGGAAGCTAGTTGGTGGTTTTCTTTACATTATTTAAATTTAAAAACAGATTATGCATTTTTTAGTTAAAATGTAATCAATTTCTTCCAAATTGATTAAACAGGGTCAGATGTAGAATGAAAAATATCAGAAAAATCAGAAAAATAGCAGTAGGCTAAATGATGGGTTCAGAGCTCAAAATACATGACCTTGGTTTCCAATTTCCTGTTTGTAGTATAAATCCTTTGTTCCTAGCACTTATATCATTATTGTTATCTGAGGTTTAGTTTGGGCTTTCAGAGAAACCAGTGCATTTCCATCATTTCATATTCAGGAAAAGAAACTAAAGTATATTGACTGATTGCTTCATGCTGGGTACTTTCATAAGCATTGTCTCACTTAATCTGCACAACAATCATGTAATATATGGATCATTATATCAACTTCAGTGCTGAGAAAAATAAGCTGAGACACTTTAAGTAATCTATTCATGGTCACACTATTTTTAACTGATGGTCTTTACAACCAAGCCCACGTTACAGCAGGTATTGAAAAATTGTCTAAAATTCTGATGCTTCATTAATTCAAACAGTTCTGTTCCCAATTAATTCAAGTGACTGATGCTGGACTATAGTTCAAAAGCAACTGAATTTGCATAAGGTTATTTCCATGTCTACAGAAAGTATTATTCCACCTTTTCCTAAAAGATTTGTACACACTTGTCTCTTGCTTTTTCCTTCTAAGAAAAATGTGCTCAACTCTCTCCCACATGCACAAATAGACTGTTAATATTACTTAATAACTGATCTTATTTGTGATTATATACCAGGTATGAATTTCAGTCCACAATGTCAAATGCACAAGAAAAATTACTTTCTTTGTTTTTCTATAATGCAAATTTACTTCTATTTTGAGCTCCATTTCACTGAGATGGCAAAAACATAATCTCGGTCAATGTTAGGTCCTCCTATTTTCCCAGGGTTATATCTACATTCCAGGAACCTTCTACAATACCAAGATAAAAGAGGGTGTGGAATCTTGTTCTTGAGCTAAGCACACATCCCTCAAGATGTCTTTTGCTACCTTAAGATCCTGAGTCCTTCTGAAGCCTCTGCATCACACAGGAGTCTTTTTGTTGCTTCAGTGCTGGAAGGAGAAGAAATGGTGAGTTTGGTAGGGACCCATCTGTGCAGACACCACTCACAGTTATTGCCTTGCCACTTCTCTGGTGCTCTGTCTGGGAAAAGAAAACAGTTTACAGGACCCCCCTTTCCAAGGCCCGCTAACATTTGTGCTCTAATCAAATTCTCTCCCTCCAACATAGAGAAAACTTTCTCTGGTCCAGTAGGGGAGAGCCACCATTTCTTTCCTTCTCCTACCTTTCACCCCCGCAAAAATCTTCTAAGTAACTCTAAGGGCTTAGGCTTCTGAAGCACACACTAGAGAGAGGACTTGCACACTTTTTCTGCTTTCTGCCCTGTCATCTCTCTCCCCTGATATAATGAGCATAGAGACAGCTGTGTGCCTGAACACAGAAATGAGAAAGAGGTAAATACATAGAGGAAACACAGCTCAATATCTCAAAAATATTACCCCACCAAATTTATATGACCTTTTTGAAATGCACATCCCCCCATCTGCCCCATCATTCATTTAAAAGGTATTCAATGAATGATGCCAAAAAGGCATAAAATAGGATCATAACCTCATCTAAAAGATAGGACATGCACACTAAAAGACACCTAATGCGCAAAGAATCAACCATATGCTAGCAACCCAAATAAAACCTAATTTGAAGACTAAAGGAATTCTGGGAAAGGAGTAATTGCCAGAGGCTAAGGCTTTCAGGGATATTGCCGAGAATACCAAGTATATGACAAATCTTGAAGGTCTTGTGCGTTTAGAAAATTGAGAAGTGGTTCTGGGCTGGCAAGATGGCCGAATAGGAACAGCTCCAGTCTGCAGCTCCCAGTGAGATTGACACAGAAGGTAGGTGATTTCTGCATTTCCAACTGAGGTACCCGGCTCATCTCACTGGGACTGGTTAGATAGTATGCAGCTCACAGAGGGCGAGCTGAAGCAGGGTGGGGCATTGCCTCACCCAGGAAGCACAAGGGGTTGGGGAACTCCCTCCCCTAGTCAAGGGAAGCTGTGAGAGACTGTGCCATGAGGAACAGTGCATTCCAGCTCACGTATTACACTTTTCCCATAGTCTTCACAACTCACAGAACAGGATATTCCCTTGGGTCTCTACACCACCAGGGCCCTGAGTTTCAAGCACAAAACTAGGTGACCCTTTGGGCAGACACTGACCAAGCTAGCTGCAGGAGTTTTTTTTTTTCATACCAGTGATGCCTGGAACACCAGCCAGACAGAACCTTTCACTTCCCTGGAAAGGGGGCTGAAGCCACGGAGCCAAGTGGTCTAGCTCAGTGGATCCCACCCCCATGGAGCCCAGCAAGCTAAGATTCACTGGCTTGAAATACTCACTGCCAACAAAGCAGTCTGAAGTCTACCTGAGATGCTCGAGCTTGGTGGGGGGGAAGGGTTTCCACCATTACTGAGGCTTAAGTAGGCAGTTTTCCCCTCACAGTGTAAACAAAGCCCCCTGGAAGTTCAAACTGGGGGAGCCCACCACAGCTCAGCAAACCCTCTGTAGCCACACTGCCTCTCTAGATTCCTCCTCTCTGGGCAGGGCATCTCTGAAAGAAAGCAGCAGCCCCAGTCAGAGGCTTGTAGATAAAATTCCCATCTCCCTGGGACAGAGCACCTGGGGGAAGGGGCAGCTATAGGCGCAGCTTCAGAAGACTTAAGCGCTCCTGCCTGCCGGCTCTGAAGAGAGCAGCAGATCACCCAACACAGTGCTCGAGGTCTGCTAAGGGACAGACTGCCTCCTCAAGTGGGTACCTGACCCCCGTGCCTCCTGACTGGGAGACACTTCCCAGCAGGGGTCAACAGACACCTCATACAGGAGAGCTCTGGCTGGCATCTGGCGGGTGCCCCTTCTGGGACGAAGCTTCCAGAGGAAGGAACAGGCAGCAATCTTTGCTGTTCTGCAGCCTCCGCAGGTGACACCCAGGAAAACAGGGCCTGGAGTAGACCTCCAGCAAACTCCAGCAGACCTGCAGCAGAGAGGCCTGACTGTTAGATGGAAAACCAGCAAACAGAAAGGAATAGCATCAGCATCAACAAAAGGGATGTCCACACAAAAACCCCACCCGAAGGTCACCAACAACAAAGATGAAAGGTAGATAAATCCATGAAAATGAGGAAAAAGCAGTGCAAAAAGGCTGAAAATTCCAAAAACCAGAATGCCTCTTCTCCTCCAAACGGTCCTCCAAAGGATCACAACTCCTCGCCAGTGAGGGAACAAAACTAAATGAAGAATGAGTTTGACGAATTGACAGAAGTAGGCTTCAGAAGGTGGGTAATAACAAACTCCTCTGAGCTAAAGGAGCATGTTCTAACCCAATGCAAGGAAGCTAAGAACATTGAAAAAAGGTTAGAGGAATTGCTAACTAGAACAATCAGTTTAGAGAAGAACATAATGACCTGATGGACCTGATGGATCAGAAGAACTTCGTGATGCATACACAAGTATCAATAACCAACTCAATCGAGTGGAAGAAAGGATATCAGAGATTGAAGATCAACATAATGAAATAAAGCATGAAGACAAGATGAGAGAAAAAAGAATGAAAAGGAAAGAACAAAGCCTCCAAGAAATATGGCACTTTGTGAAAAGACCAAATCTACACTTGATTGGTGTACGTGAAAGTGACAGGGAGAATGGAAGCAGGTTGGAAAACACTCTTCAGGATATTATCCAGAAGAACTTCCCTAACCTAGCAAGACAGGCCAACATTCAAATTCAGGAAATACAGAGAACACCACAGAGATACTCTTCGAGAAGAGCAAACAACTCCAAGACACATAATTGTCAGATTCACCAAGGTTGAAATGAAGGACAAAATGTTAAGGGCAGCCAGAGAGAAGGGTCGGGTTTCTGACAAAGAGAAGCCCATGAGACTAACAGCAGATCCCTCTGCAGAAACCCTACAAGCCATAAGAGAGTGGGAGGGTAATATTCAAAATTCTTAAAGAAAAGAATTTTCACCTAGAATTTCATATCCAGCCAAATTAAGCGTCATAAGCAAAGGAGAAATAGAATCCTTTACAGACAAGCAAATGCTGAGAGATTTTGTCACCACCAGGCCTGCTGTACAAGAGGTCCTGAAGGAAGCACTAAATATGGAAAGGAAAAACCCGTACCAGCCACTGCAAAAACATACCAAATTGTAAAGACCATTAACACTATGAAAAAACTGCATCAACTAACATGCAAAATAACCAGCTAGCATCATAATGACAGGATCAGTTTCACACATAACCATACTAACTAACCTAAAATGTAAACAGGCTAAATGCCCCAATTAAAAGACACAGAGTGGCAAATTGTATAAAGTGTCAAGACCCATTGGTGTGCTGTATTCAAGAGACCCATCTCACATGCAAAGACACACATAGGCTCAAAATAAAGGAATGGAGGAAGACTTACCAAGCAAATGGAAAGGAAAAAAAAAAAACAGGTTGCAATCCTAGTCTCAGATGAAACACACGTTAAACCAAAACAAAGATAAAAAAAGACAAAGAAGGGCATTACATAATGGTAAAGGGATTGATGCAACAAGAAGAGCTAACTATCCTAAATATATATGCACCTAATACAGGAGCACACAGATTCATAAAGCAAGTTCTTAGAGACCTACAAAGAGAGTTAGAGTCCCACACAACAATGGTGGGAGACTTTAACACCCCAGTGTCAGTGTTAGACAGATCAATGAGACAGAAAATTAACAAGGATATTCAGGACTTGAACTCAGCTCTGGACCAAGAGGACCTAATAGACAACTACAGAACTCACCGCCCCAAATCAATAGAATATACATTCTTCTCAGCACCACATAGCACTTATTCTAAAGTTGACCACGTAATTGGAAGTAATACAGTCTTCAGCAAATGCAAAAGAACAGAAATCATAACAAACAGTCTCTCGCACCACAGTGCAATCAAATTAGAAGTCAGGATTAAGAAACTCACTCAAAACCGCACAACTACATGGAAACTGAACAACATGCTCCTGAATGACTACTGGGTAAATAACAAAATGAAGGCAGAAATAAGTAAGTTCTTTGAAACCAATGAGAACAAAGACACAACATACCAGAATCTCTGGGACACAGCTAAAGCAGTGTTTAGAGGGAAATGTATAGCACTAAATGCCCACAGGAGAAAGTGGGAAAGATCTAAAATCCACACTCTAACATCACAATTAAAAGAACTAGAGAAGCAAGAGCAAACACATTCAAAAGCTAGTAGAAGACAAGAAATCACTAAGATCAGAGAAGAACTGAAAGAGATAGAGACACAAAAAAACCCTTCAAAAAATCAGTGAATCCAGGAGCAGGTTTTTTTGAAAAGATTAGCAAAATACATAGACCACTAGCCAGACTAATAAAGAAGAAAAGAGAGAAGAATAAAATAGACACAATAAAAAATGATAAAGGGGATATCACCACCGATCCCACAGAAATACAAACTACTGTCAGAGAATACTATAAACACCTCTACGCAAATAAACTAGAAAATCTAGAAGAAATGGATAAATTCCTGGACACATACACCCTCCCAAGACTAAATCAGGAAGAAGTCGAATCCCTGAATAGACCAATAACAAGTTCTGAAATTGAGGCAGTAATTAATAGCCTACCAACCGAAAAAATTCCAGGACAAGACGGATTCACAACCGAATTCTACCAGAGGTACAAAGAGGAGCTGGTACCATTCCTTCTGAAACTATTCCAATCAATAGAAAAAGAGGGACTCCTCCCTAACTCATTGTATGAGGCCAGCATCATCCTGATACCAAAACCTGACAGACACACAACAAAAAATAAAATTTCAGCCAATATCCCTGATGAACATCGATGTGGAAAGCTTCAGTAAAATACTGGCAAACTGAATCAGCAGCAAATCAAAACACTTATCCACCACGATCAAGTTGGCTTCATCCCTGGGATGCAGGACTGGTTCAACATATGCAAATCAATAAATGTAATCCATCACATAAACAGAACCAATGATAAAAATCACATGATTATCTCAATAGATGCAGAAAAGGACTTTGATAAAATTCAACACTGCTTCATGCTAAAAACTCTCAATAAACTAGGTATTGATGGAACGTATCTCAAAATAATAAGAGCTGTTTATAACAAACCCACAGCCAATATCATACTCAATGGGCAAAAGTTTGAAGCACTCTTTTTGAAAACTGGCACAAGACAAGGATGCCCTCTCTCATTACTCCTATTCAACATAGTATTGGAAGTTCTGGCTGGGGAAATCAGACAAGAGAAAGAAATAAAAGATATTCAAATAAGAATTGAGGAAGTCAAATTGTCTCTGTTTGCAGATGACATGATTGTATATTTAGAAAACCCCATCGTCTCAGCCCAAAATCTCCTTAAGCTGATAAGCAACTTCACCAAAGTCTCAAGATACAAAATCAATGTGCAAAAATCACAAGCATTCCTCTACACCAATAATACACAAACAGACAGCCAAATCATGAGTGACCTCCCATTCACAATTGCTACAAAGAGAATAAAATACCTAGGAATCCAGCTTACAAGGGAGATGAAGGACCTCTTCAAGGAGAACCACAAACCACTGCTCAAGGAAATAAGAGAGAACACAAACAAATGAAAAAACATTCCATGCTCATGGATAGGAAGAATCAATATGGTGAAAATGGCCATACTGCCCAAAGTAATTTATAGATTCAATGCTATCCTCATCAAGCTACCATTGACTTTCTTCACAGAATTAGAAAAACTACTTTAAATTTCATACGGAACCAAGAAAGAGCACGTGTAGCCAAGACAATCCTAAGCAAAAAGAACAAAGCTGGAGACATCATGCTACCTGACTTCAAACTATACTACAAGGCTACAGTAAGCAAAACAGCATGGTACTGTTACCAAAACAGAGATACAGACCAACAGAACAGAACACAGGCCTCAGAAATAATGCCACACATCTGCAACCATCCGATCTCTGACAAACCTGACAAAAACAAGCAATGGGGGAAGGATTCTCTATTTAATAAATGGTGCTGGGAAAACTGGCTAGCCACATGCAGAAAACTGAAACTGGACCCCTTCCTTACACCTTATACAAAAATTAACTCAAGATGAATTAAAGACTTAAATGTAAGACCTAAAATCATAAAAACCCTAGAAGAAAACCTAGGCAGTGCCATTCAGGACATAGGCATGGGCAAAGACTTCATGACTATAACACCAAAAGCAATGGCAACAAAAGCTAAAATTGACAAATGGGATCTAATTAAACTAAAGAGCTTCTGCACAGCAAAAGAAACTTATCATCTGAGTGAACAGGCAATCTACAGAATGGGAGAAAATTTTTGCAATCTATCTATCTGACAATGGGGTAATATCCAGAATCTACAAGGAACTTAAACAAATTTACAAGAAAAAAAAACAAACAACCCCATCAAAAAGTGGGTGAAGGATATGAACAGACACTTCTCAAAAAAAGACATTTATGCAGCTGACAAACATATTTTAAAAAGCTCATCATCACTGGTCATTAGAGAAATGCAAATAAAAACACAATGAGATACCATCTCACGCCAGTTAGAAAGACGATCATTAAAAAATCAGGAAACAACAGATGCTGGAGAGGATGTGGAGAAATGGGAATGCTTTTACACTGTTGGTGGGAGTGCAAATTAGTTCAACTATTTTAGAAGAGAGTGTGACAATTCCTCAAGGATCTAGAACCAGAAATATCATTTGACTGAGCAATCCCATTACTGGGTATGTACCCAAAGGAATATAAATCATTCTACTATAAAGACACATGCACACATATGTTTACTGCAGCACTACTCACAATATCAAAGACTTGGAACCAACTCAAATGCCCATCAACGATAGACTGGATAAAGAAAATGTGGCACATATACACCATGGAATACTATGCAGCCACAAAAAAAGGATGAGTTCATGTCCTTTGCTGGGACATGGATGAAGCTGGAAACCATCATTCTCAGCAAACTAACACAGGAACAGAAAACCAAATATCACATGTTCTCACTCATAAGTGGGAGTTGAAAAATGAGAACACATGGACACAGGGAGGGGAACATCACACACCGGGGCCTGTCGGGGGGTGGGGGGCTAGGGGAGGGATAGCATTAGGAGAAATACCTAATGTAGATGACGGGTTGATGGGTGCAGCAAACCACCATGGCACGTGCATACAAATTTAACAAACCTGCACGTTCTGCATATGTATCCCAGAACTTAAAGTATAATTTTAAAAAAAACTGAGAAGTAAGGGGAAGGATCCTACAGGCAAGGCAAATGGACAAATAACCTGCTTCTGTTTTCTCCCCCTTCTCATCCATCCTGTACATTGTTGCTGTGATAATTTTCCCAACACAACAATTTCATTCAGACTTTCAAGGGCATTCAGCTCACTCTTCAGCCTCACTTGCAAGACAATGGTACATACTGGCTAAGAGTGTAGGACTTAAAAAACTTGGTGGTTGAAGATATATGCTTCCACTACCTCATGAAACATCAGGAAAATTATAAAGTAATAGATGGAAACATACATACACACACACACACACATACAGAGAGAGAGGGAGAGTCAGGATAGGAGGAGACAGTAGAATCAAAATTTTAGAAGTTGGAAAGCAAAAGGACAGGTGATAACTGACTTAGCAAACACAAGAAACCTGATGGAGCCATAAAAAGGAAGGAGATCATGTCCTTTGTAGGGACATGGTCTCAATCCAGATCTGCAGAGAGGGTTCTTGAATCTCACAGAAGAAAGAATTCAAGGTGAGTTGCAGAGTGCAGTGATAAGATATTGAAAGCTACACTGTTACAGAGTAGGGCATCCTCAGAAATTAAGAGAGGAATGCACTGTCTTCAAGCTTTTCTTATATAAGTGTCCTGTCTATGCAAAGACTAAACTAAGCTGTGACTATGTGCAGGAGAGCAGACAGCATGAGAAAATTTATTATTCTGTTGATTTAAAGAAAACTATCCTTGATATTTTAGTGGGTAAGTACATCAAAGAATAACTATAATTATTTTAAACCATGTATTGTCACGGGTATTGGGACATCTAGACTTTCTGCTATTGTAGGTGTGTGTCCTTGTAGGTTTTCCTCAACTATAAACACTTTATAACCATGAATCATGGCTGGAACCGAAAGTGCCTTTTTAGTCTCAAGATGGAGCTGAACTTAAAACGGTGTCACTCTGGTTCTGCTAGGCTCCTGTTTCCCTAACAGATATTTTACTGAGGATGTCTAAGTAGCATATTAATCAATTCCATATCATATCATGGCAGACGCTGTTGGTTGCCTTTCCAAGAATTATTTTCTCTATGTATTTTTTTCTTCACTGATAGGAGCATGGTCTTGTCTAGGGAGGAATGCACCCAATCCAAACAAATCATGACATGCCATTCCCATTGACCATTGACTGGTATAGAGATGGGTATATGTGAAACTGTTTTTGGCCATCTAGATGTAAGAGAAAGTTTATTTGGGGCCATACAGTTCTACCTTACAGAGAACTATATAAAACAGGGTTTGTTTGCCCTCTTCCTTCCCATTATACTTTGTATCTTGTTGTGTGAACATCTGGAGCTTCAGTAGACATCTTGTAACCAAGAGGCAATATGCCCAGGAATGGAAGAATAGAATTATGAAAAGAGCTTGGCTTGTGGACTATGACTTTGAACACTCAAACTATGACTATCTTCTACCAGATTTCTTGTTCACTAAACAACTAATATATTCCTGGTTTAAACCACTGCTGGTTTGAGTTCTGTTACTTGCACTCAAAAACAGTACACACTGAACAATTCCATTTTTATGTTTAACAGAAAACCCCACATCTATGGATATACATATGTTCCTTGTGGATCTTTTTGCTAATGTAAAAAGGTGAAAGAAAAATGGACAACTACCAGTTGAAGAATGACTGAAGACTATTACGCAACCATTAAGAAAATATTTTGGCGGTCACTTCAGCAGCATATATACTAAAATGGAATGGTAGAGAGAACATTAGCATGTCCCTTGCACAAAGATGACATGCAAATTCAGGAAGCATTCCTTATTTTTCTTCATAAGCGAATAAGAAAGTAAGATCCTTTTCAGACAAGCAAATGCTTAGTGAATTTTTCAACACCAGGCCTGCCTTGCAAGAGCTCCTGAAGGAAGCACTGAATATGGAAAGGAAAAACCACTACCAGCCATTATAAAAACACACTGAATTACACAGACCAGTGACACCATGAAGCAACCACATAAACAAGCCTGCAAAATAACCAGCTAGCATCATGATGACAGGATCAAATTCACACACAAAAATACTAACCTTAAATGTAAATGGACTAAATGTCCCAATTAAAAGGCACAGACGGCAAGCTTGATAGAGTCATTGTGTCTGGAATTGGTGGGTTCTTGGTCTCGCTGACTTAAAGAATGAAGCCGTGGACCCTCGTGGTGAGTGTTACAGTTCTTAAAGATGGTGTGTCTGGAGTTTGTTCCTTCTGATGTTCAGATGTGTCCGGAATTTCTCCCTTTTGGTGGGTTCGTTGTCTCACTGACTTCAGGAGTGAAGCCACAGACCTTCGCAGTGAGTGTTACAGCTCTTAAAGGCAGCGCGTCCAGAGTTGTTCATTTCTCCCGGTGGGTTTGTGGTCTCGCTGGCTTCAGGAGTAAAGCTGCAGACCTTCAGAGGTGAGTGTTACAGCACATAAAGGTAGCGTGGACCCAAAGAGTGAACAGCAGCAAGATTTATTGTGAAGAGCAAAAGAACAAAGCTTCCACAGCATGGAATGGGACCACAGCGGGTTGCCGCTGCTGGCTCGGGTGGCCTACTTTTATTCCCTTATCCGGCCCCACTCACATCCTGCTGATTGGTCCACTTTACAGAGAGCTGATTGGTCCACTTTACAGAGAGCTGATTGGTCCATTTTACAGAGAGCTGATTGGTCCGTTTTACAGAGAGCTGATTGGTCCATTTTGACAGAGTGCTGATTGGTGCATTTACAAACCTTTAGCTAGACACAGAGTGCTGATTGGTGCGTTTACAATCTTTAGCTAAACAGAAAAGTTCTCCAAGTCCCCAGCCAATTAGCTAGACACAGAGCACTGATTGGTGTGTTTACAAACCTTTAGCTAGACATAGAGTGCTGATTGGTGCGTTTACAATCCTTTAGCTAGACAGAAAAGTTCTCCAAGTCCCCACCCATCCCAGAAGCTCAGCCAGCCTCACCTCTCACTGGCATTCACCACGGGACTTTGAGGCACCTAGCCTGAGGGAGCTCATCCAGACAGCAGCCCAGCAGCCGAGAGGGCTCCAGAGGGCTCCAGCAGCCCAGAGGGAGCTCATCCCAGACAATCAAGAGGAAAAGAGGGGAAGTGAGAAAGAGACGGAGACCTGCTATCGTGGCCAACGGTCCCACGAGGAGGGAACAGTGGTCCACACACAGGATTCAGCCTCTGATCAAGCCCAGCAGGCCCATGCTCACCTGGAACCTGCGCTGGCCTGTGAGCGCTGCGTGCAGCCCCGGCTCCCACCCACACCTCTCTCTTCACACTTCCCCGTGAGCAGAGAGAGCCAGCTCCGGCCTCGGCCAGCCCCAGAGAGGGGCCCTCGTAGGGCAGCGGTGGGCTGAAGGGCTCCTCAAGCACGGCCAGAGCAGACGCCAAGGTCGAGGAGGCACTGAGAGCGAGCGAGGGCTGCTAGCATGTTGTCACCTCTCATCATGACCCATTGGTATGCTGTCTTCAAGAGACCCATCTCACATGCAAAGACACACATAGGCTCAAAATAAAGGGATGGAGGAAATTTTATCAAGCAGATGGAAAACAGAGAAAAGCAGGGGTTGCAATCCTAATTTCTGACAAAACAGATTTTAAACCAACAAAGTTCAAAAAAGACAAAGAAGGGCATTACATAATGGTAAAAGGTTCAATTCAACAAGAAGAGCTAATTATCTTATATATGCACCCAATATGGGAGCACCCAGGTTAATAAAGCAAGTTCTTAGAGACCTACAAAGAGCCTTAGACTCCCACACAATAATATTGGGAGACTTTAACACCTCAATGTCAATATTAGATCATTGAGACACAAAATTAACAAAGATATTTAAAACCTGAGCTCAGCTCTGAATCAAATGGAGCTGATAGGTGTCTACAGAACTCTCCACCCAAATTCAACAGAATATACATCTTCTCATTGCCACATGGCACTTACTCTAAAATTGATCACATAATCAGAAGTAAAACACTCCTCATCAAATGCAAAATAACTGAAATCCTAACAGTCTCTCAGACCACAGTGCAATCAAATTAGAACTCAAGATTAAGAAATTGACTCAAAATAACACAATTACATGGAAATTGAAAAACCTTCTCCTGAATGACACTTGGGTAAATAATAAAATTAAGCAGAAATCAAGAAATTCTTTGAGACTAATGAGAAAAAAGAGACAATGTACCAGAATCCCTGGGATGCAGCTAAAGCAGTGTTAAGAGGGAAATTTATAGTACTAAATGCCCACATCAAAAAGCTAGAAATATCTCAAGTTAACAACCTAACATCTCAACTAAAAGAACTAGAGAAGCAAGAGCAAACAAACCCCAAAGCTAGCAGAAGACAAGAATTAACTAGGATCAGAGCTGAACTGAAGGAGATAGAGACACAAAAAACCCTTCAAAATAACAACAAAACCAGGAGCTGGTTTTTTGAAAAGGTTAATAAAATAGACAGACCACTAGCTAAACGAATAAAGAAGAAAAGAGAGAAGATGCAAATAAACACAATCAGAAATGATAAGGGGGATATCACCACTGACCCCACAGAAATACGAACAGCCATCAGAGAATACTATAAACACCTCTATGCACATAAACTAGAAAATCTAGAATAAATGGATAAACTCCTGGACACATACACCCTCCCAAGACTGAAACAGGAAGAAATTGAATCCCTGAATAGACCAATAATGAGTTCTGAAATTGAGGCAGTAATAAATAGCCTATCAACCAGAAAAAGCCCAGGACCAGATGGATTCACAGCTGAATTTTACCAGAGGTACAAAGAAGAGCTGGCATCATTTATACTAAAACAAATTTTAAAAATTGTAGGGACTCCTCCCTAACTCGTTTTATGAGGCCAGCATCATCCTGATATCAAAACCTGGCAGAGGCACAGTGAAAAAAGAACACTTCAGGCCAATATCCTAGATGAACATAGATGCAAAAATCCTCAATAAAATACTGGCAAACAAAATCCAGCAGCACATCAAATAGTTTATCCACCATGATCAAGTTGGCTTCATCCCCAGGATGCAAGGTTGGTTCAACATACACAAATCAATAAATGTGATTCATCACATAAACAGATCTAAAGACAAAAACCACATGATTATATCAATAGATGCAGAAAATGCCTTTGATAAACTTCAACATCCTTTCATGTTAAAAGCTCTCAATAAACTAGGTATTGAAGGAACATACCTCAAAATAAAGAGGGCCATATATGACAACCCACAGCCAACAGCACACTGAATGGGCAAAAGCTGGAAGCATTCCCTTCGAAAACCAGCACAAGACAAGAATGCCCTCTCTCACCATTCCTATTCAACCTAGTATTGGGAGTTCTGGCCAGGGCAATCAGGCAATAGAAAGAAATAAAGCATATTCAAATAGGAAGAGAGGAAGTCAAACTATCTTTTTTGCAGATGACATGATGCTATATCTAGAAAACTCCATTGTCTCAGCCCAAAAGCTTCTTAAGCTGATAAGCAACTTCAGCAAGTTACAGGATATAAAATCAATGTACAAAAACAGCTAGCATTCTTATACACCAACAACAGGCAAGCAGCGAGCCAAATCATGAATGAACTTCATATATGAAACATATATGAAAACATACGTGTATGAAACATATATGAAAAACATACGTGCATGAAACATATATGAAAACATATGTGTATGAAGCATATATGAAAACATACATGTATGAAACATATATGAAAACATACGTGTGTGGAACATATATGAAAAACACGTGTATGAAACATATGAAACACATACACGTATGAAACATATATTAAAAACATACGTGTATGAAACATATATGAAAAACATACGTGTATGAAACATGAAAAACATACGTGTATGAAACATATGAAAAACATACATGTATGAAACATATATGAAAAACATATATAAAAAACAATATATGAAAAAAGCTCGACATCACTGATCATTAGAGAAATGCAAATCAAAACCACACTGAGATACCATCTCACACCAGTCATAATGGCTATTTTTAAAAAAGTCAAAAAACAACAAACACAGATGCTGGCAAGGTTGTGGAGAAAAAGGAACACTTTTACATTGTTGGTGGGAGTGTGAATTAGTTCAACTATTGTGAAAGACAGTGTGATGATTCCTCAAAGACCTAGAGGCAGAAATACCATTTGACCCAGCAATCCCATTACTGGATATACACCCTAAGGAATATAAATCATTCTATTATAAAGATACATGCAAACGTGTTCATTGCAGCACTGTTCACAATAGCAAAGACATGGAATCAACCTAAATGTCCATAAATGGTAGACTGGATAAAGAAAATGTGGTTATGCAGCCATAAAAAAGGAATGAGATGATGTCCTTTGCAGGGACATGGGTCAAGTTGGAAGCCATTATCCTCAGCAAACTAACGCAGGAACAGAAAACCAAACACCACGTGTTCTCACTTATAAGTGGGAGCTGAACAACGTGAACACATGGACACAGGGAGGGGAACAACACACAATGGGACCTGTTGGTGGGTGGGTAGGGGAGGGAGACCATTAGGAAAAATACCTAATGCGTGCAGGGCTTAATACCTAGGTGATGGATTGATAGGTGGAGCAAACCACCATGGCACACGTTTACCTTTGTAACAAACCTGCACATCCTGCACCAGTACCCCAGAACTTAAAATTTAAAAAGTAACCTGAACCTTAAGCAGATAGTAGAGGAAACCAAGAAACAACATGACTTGTACTGAAGAGTCTCCTTAAATCCCAGGAACTGACTGTACCAAGTACCTCTGGAAAGAGGGGGGAAGAAGAGGTTGAAAACAGCAGTGCTTGAAAGTCTGAACATCTGGAGTCTCAGATGTATACTCCTTTGATCCCTGGCTGTGTGGTTGACTACTGTTCCCCAAACTCATCAGAGGACCAAAGGTATAGCCTGTGTAGAAGATAAAACATATGTCTGGACTAGAGAATATGAAGCATAGATGAAGGTGGAGATACCATATCGAAAACTGGGATTAAGTAAAATTCTCTGAGCACTGACTATTGACACCTTAAACCTTCTTCATCAACTGGGATCCCAAAACACTAGATTGTACATTCCAGGCAGGAGATGGGAGGATGTCTCTCTGCAGGATATTACTAGCACAAGAAGAAAAATCTAAAAACACTGAGTCTAAAGGTACTGACAATCAGGGGTTCCCCAATGAAACAGTGCAACTATACCATTGGCAGTGAACCCTACAGCCCAAAAACCCTACCCACATGCTCAACGTTGCTAGTAATCTTTTTAGTATCTCCCTCATAACTATGAATGGACACCTAAAGATCACAGACATCTGGAGAAACTCTGACATGAGAGAAATCAAAACAAGCAAACAGAGGTGAATAACCTGAAAAAGAGAGTGATGATTCAGGAAGATGACAACTTCAAAAACAAAAACAAAAAAATCATACACATTAATGTGCCCAGCATCACAATAATGGAAACACTGAATATTGTTCTAACCAATGCGTAGTGAGGAGAGAGAAAAGAAGAAACAGGAAGTGTGATTGTTTGGGGAGTACAGGCAGTGGTTGCATAGAGTGAATTAGAAAGCTTTTCATTTTTGTTATATGACTAGCACAATTTGCATAGCATTACAATGATATGTCTATTGTAGATTTGATGGAACTCTACTGTAAAATCATCTGAGTCAGATACATGGTAAGGGTAAAATTTTTGAATATCTTTTCCTATTCTTATATTGTTATTTTCCTATTCAAACTTTCTACTATTTCTTCAGGTATTTTCTGTAATCATGAGTTTAAATGTAGGGTATAAAATTGTACATATAGAATTCTTCTTACAAATTTTAAAATATGCTCCATATATTTAATTCTGCTTTCTCATTCTTAACTTTACTTGGGTGTTTGCTCTTTTTTTCATAATCACACTTGTCAAGTTTTTTTTTCTTGTTCTTTCCAAAACCAAATTTCAGTTTTGTTGATTTATTTAATGTATTGTTGGCTTGTCTTACTGTTTTCTATAGCATTATCTGTATCAGCTCTTTCTGATTTCTTTGGGCATATTTTTTCTATTAATTTTCTAGTTTGTTGAATTAAGCACTTAATTTTTTCCCAATATTTACTGTTTTGTAATACATATGTTTAAAGCTGTACCTTGTCCTCTGAGTACATCTTTGAAGCATTTCATGGGTTTGAATATATACTACAATAACTGTTTTTCATTTTTAAATAAGTTATAATTTGAGTTTTTATTTCTTTTTTTTTAAATCCAAGAGTTATTTAGAAGGGTGTCATTTCACTCCCTGATTGTGATGGATAGGACAACCTCCTCCCCCAATCTCCCTGCAAAGATGTCCATGTCTTAATCCCTAGAAACTGTTACATTACATGGCAAAAGGGTCTTTGCAGATGTGATTGTCAACTATCTTAAGATAGGGAGGGCCCAATATAATCTCAAGAGTCCTTAAAAGATGAAAGAGAAAGGCAGCAGAGTCAGAGAAAGAGATAAGGCAATACAGAGTGATGAGGGTAACCTCTAGAAACTGGAAAAGACAAAAAAAGAATTTTCCCCTAGAGCCTCCAGAAAAAACAGAGATCTGTTGACACTTGATTTTAGCCTCATAAGATCTACTTCTGATTTCTGATCTCCAAATAATACATTTACGTTGTTTTAAATCACTAAGTGTGGGGCAATTTCTTACAGCTATAATAAGAAACTAATATATAGATTAATTTTATTACTGTCTTTTTATTAAATTTTTGATTTTGCTTCTGTGTTAAGAGAAAATGACTTGCTTAACTTCTGCTTTGGAGAATGTGTTCTTTTCCTTTGTGGCCATATTCATTATCAATCTTTGTAAATCTTTTCCTGAAAAAGATGTGAAGTCCTTCTTTGATGGATGTATGTGTGGATATGTATTATAGATATAGATATACATATAAATATAGATATGTATATAATATATATCTTAGTTGACAAGATACATATATATTCTCTTGAAAGATAATAGATTGTACTAATATACTAATATAAGATAGATCTCTATGTCTCATTTAATTGTTATATATATATATATATACCACATTTAGCATTTGGCCTTAAGTTATATCTAGTATTGATATGTGCTTTTTTAAAACATGCATTTGCCTGGTGTTTATTTCCCTATCTCTTTATTTTCAAATTCTCTGTGTCATTTAATTCATTTGGCTTATTTCTAGTATATTTCTTTATGGTATATAAAGAAATTATACCATACCATATTGTTAGAAGGGGAGTTGTGTTTAACTCTATTTAAATGTCTGTCTTTTTCTTTGAATCAGGGAATTTAACCCATACATATTTATATGATTAATGATGCTCTATTTTATGTCTTATATTTACCTTTCTTTCCTTATTTTTTTCTTTTCCACTTCTATTCCCATTCTTTTCCTTACCTTCCCCTCCCTTTTACTTTCTTGCACTTTGTTGGCTTTTTCTTTTTTGCCCCTATGCAGCTTTGTTACATTCCTATTTCTATTATTTTAGTGGCTACCCTTAAACTGTTAATAAATATTAAAAATTAACATTTTCCTTCTTCATGTACAATTAACAGGTATCTATACACTTCCCCTGAAAAAGATGAGATCTTTAGCACTCCATTACCCTTTCAGCCTGCCCTGTCCATCTTCCATATTATAGTGATCTGGAAAATTAGTTCTAGGGATTTTTTTTAAGTTATGCATCAACTGTTATTTAAGCACATATATAAGTATTTCTAGCCTCTTCGTGTACTTTTGTTTCTTGCATTTCCAATTTTCTGCCTTGGATTTATTTTTCATTTTGCTACAGTAGCTTCTTGAGTAATTTTTTTCAGTGAAGTCTGCAGGGAATAACTTTCTGACTCTCTCCATGTCTGAAGGAATCCTTATTTTGCCTCACTATAGTGTTAGCTTGACTAGATACAGAATTGTAAGTTAAAAAATGGTTTTCCCTCAGGACTTTGAAGGTATTGCTTCTTTTTCTCCTTATACAAATCTGATTTTTACTCCTTTGGACAAAATTTTCTTTCTGGCTCTGTCTCCGTAGAAGCTTCTGGAATTTTCTTTTACCCTTGGAGTTATGAAATACATAAGAATATGCCCAGATGTGGGTCATTTATTATTCTTCTTGGTCAGCATTGGATAAATCTCTTTATTCAGAAAATTCCTTTTTTAAGCTTGGGAACCATTTTTCTGTTTTATTATTTATTTGATTATTTCTCCCCTCTTACTATGTTGTCTCTTATTAGATTAAACTTCTAGGATTGATTGACAACATCTCTTAACTTTTATCTCAAATTTTCATCTCTTTAGCTTGTAGGAGATCTTCGTTTGTTGGTTTCTAGATTTCATTTTTTTAAATCCTTGACTTTATTCTCCAGAGCCCCAATTTGCTCTTCAATCATGCACATTCTATTATTTAATACTTCTCTTGCATTTTTCTTATTTTGCTAAAAAGATAATTTCCAAGAACTGTTTCTTGTTCTCTAATCTTTGTATTGCTGTGAAGCTTATTTTATGAATGAAAATTATTTTTTTCAAATTCCTCAAAAATTTTATTGTTATTGTTGTATTCCTCATCTGTTGCATGCATTATATCTATTTCCTCTGAGATCAGTTGTTCTCGTGGTTTATGGTGGCCTTTCTGTTTTATGCAGCTCTCTAGAGGTACTTGGCTATCTATTCATGTCTATGAATGAAGGGCTAGGTTCCGAATACAGGTAGTTTTCATGGATTTCTCTGCAGTTGTATGTGTTTCCCTAACAGGATGTTCCATTGAATGGGCAGTATTGTCTGTGAACTCAGCTATATGTAAATGGATAGGGCTTAAAGCATGTTTAGACATCGTTGCTTAAATGTATGTCAACCTAAAGTAGACCATCGCCACTGCAATTGCTGATATATTGAAGGGTTTATTTCTCTCCTGAGTAGCAGTATCTTTCTCAGCTACCTAACTCAACTGCCTAGCTGAAATTCTTTTCTACTTCTCTCTCATACTTCGGTACCCACACTGAAAGCAGTTCCTTTCAGTCCAAGGGCTAGTTCACTTGTTAAAAGTGCAGTTTCTTTATTGTCCACCTCTCCATGGTTAAGTGTGTAACAGCCTTCAGCTCAGTAAGAGGCGGGTATTGTAAGAAGGTATTGGAAAAGATGGAGAAACAGCCCCGTGATTTTAATTTAAGTATTTAATTAATTTCACTGATGGTTTCCACAGGGCCCCTTTTGCCCCACAGCATTTATTGCTTCTGAGTTTGAAGACTTTTTTTTGGAGGGGCGGGGGGGTGTTGCTCTTACCTCTGCAGTTTTCTACCACGTGTTTTGGAATGCGGTTTTATCTATCTGATCCTGTCTGCTCTCTAACCTCTGGGAATTTCTTATAATTTCTGGTTCACTGGTGATATACTGTCTTATCAGCATTGTTATGCATTCAACAAATACTATGGAGCTCCTGCACTGTGCCAGTCACTGTTTTAGGTACCAGAGATATAGCCATGAACAACAACAACAACAACAAATTCTCAGCTGTCATGAAGCTTACCTTCTAGTGGAGGGAGACAGACAACAAATACATCATTAAAATGCGTAGCTTATCAGATAGTGATATCTGCTGGGGTTTGAAGGGGAGGAATTTAGCAAGAAATAGGAAAAAAGAGTATCCGTATCCGTGTACCTGCTTGGGTCACGGGATGGGGGCGTTGTGTAGCAACGTAGATTGAAGCAAGTAAAGGAAGAGATGAAGGGAGCCATGCAGATAGCTAAAGATAGAAATCCAGACAGAGAGAACAGCAAGTACAAAGACACTAATAAAGAAATTGCCTGGAGTTCTGTAAGAACAGTAAGAAGGCCAAGGTGGATTTGCTTCTACATCACTATTTTACTAATTTTATAAAATTTGGAATAGAAGGGAAGTAAATATTTGTGCTCAATTGGCATACTTAATCCAACTTTCCATTGGGATTTCATTCTCTGAATGTATATGTATTAGCCTCATTCTCCATACAACTTATTTATAATTATAGATCCTCTCATGACATTTTATTTTGCTATACCATGTTATACAAGCAATGGTGTGCTACAGCCAGCTCACACCAGCTTACAAGACTTGGTTGTTAAATACTCAGGAGTTTTGCAAGCTGGTTGTTGAACCATTGGTAGCTTGTAGTTAATTGGCCATGGTGGGAGTATTTACCCCATGGAATCACCAAAAGCTATAAATCAGGTTTTTTATAGAGACCCACTTCACCAGTGCAACAGTATAATTAATTTTCATATTACATAACTTTTTATTTATGTCTATTTTGCCTCCCACAATAAATTAATACCAGAAGTTTCTTAAAGACCAAAATTATCCTTTGGCATAATCAGAAATAATAAATAAATGTCATTATGTACATAACAGTGCCCTGCAGTTATTTATTAGATAAAGGAAACAATTAGGGCAACTAGAATTTTCTAGTTCAACAGGTGGCTAAGACTAACAGATATGGACAGAAGAGCAAAACTGATGTCATTAAACCTTGAGGCTATCTATCCATTGAATCCTTTTGTAATTCATATCAATTAACCATGGCATGTCTTAGTCTTTTTTATCAATGTTATAGTTAACAATTTTTAGTACTAACTATGCATAGGTGATAAGCACTTTATGTGTGTTCTTTCACTTACTCCTCAACAAATCCTAGGATGGGGTACTATAAATGGCTCTATTTTTTGGATTAAGAGACTGGCCTGGAGTCATACAGTTAGTGTGGGACAGAACCAAGACTCTTGTCTGGCCTGTATGGTTTCCTATTCCATGCTCTTAACCACTGCATACCATCTCCTAATTCTTCCCAAAGTGTCACTTCATGTAGCCTCATATTACCACTAATAGCCCCCATACTATGTGTTAATTTAAAATTAGGTTGAAATGGATTACTTTTTTCAATTTTAACTGAGGCAGATGTGAAGATTCTAATATTGACAGTGAGATGTTTTGCTAATTAACACTTCAGTTTAATAGCTTGAGCATGGCTGAAATTTAAGCTCAACTTGTCTTTGCAGGTCCTCTTGTGGTACAACTCAATTACTGCAGTTTGGATCTATTAGATAACACAATTTTGGAGATTTTCCAAAAGTAAATAGTAAAAGATACAATAAGTCAACATTTAAAAGCCTGGGAACTTTAGTCTGAGAAATATATTTTTTTAGGAGAGTATTCTGTTTATTCACTTTGTAAGTAATTATGTTAATGTCATAAAAGTATATAACAATAGAACTACCTTCTAGGTGACATTTGTACCTGACTTGCAGTTAGCTATCATATTTCTAGAGCTGCATTGTGCAATATGGTAGCCATGAGCCACATGAGAGCTTGGAATGTGTATAGTGCGACTGAGAAACTGGTTTTTAAAATTTTATTCCACTGTATTTGATTTTAATTAATTTAAATTTAAAAATTGAAGCAGTGTAAAATAATTTCTCAGTTAAATTTTTATTTTGGTAGAACTACTTTTCACTGTAACCACTAAAAATTTAGCATCTGAACTGAAATGTGCTGTAAGTATAAACTATATACAGATTTCAAGTACTGAATTTTAAAAAGTCAAATATCTCATTAATAATTTTATATTGACTACATGTTAATACATTTCAAATATATTTTTAAGTGAAGAATAATATTAAAATTAATTTTACTCCTTTTTACTTTGTTGGAGTGACTAGTAGATTATTTAAAAATATATATGTGGTTCACATTATATTTCTGTTGGACAGTGCTGCTCTAGAGCATTGAAATATTAATGAGTTCTAGTAGAGACCCAGTTTTGCTGAGATCATTTGTAAATGGGATATTATACCTGCAGCAATGGTTACAGTCATGCCTAATCTTCCTCATAACCCAAGGAGCATTTCTTATAGCCCAGAGTCTCAACTGGTGTGCAGGAATAGGATATGGTATGCAGTGACAGGGATTGCCATTCCCTTCCTGCACTCAGGGTGGTGGGGGCTGGGAGTGGAGTAGCATCCAGGCAGAGGCTTCTGGCTGGCACATCTCCAAACATTGGCCCCAATATCTGTCCTTACATGCATTGGATATTTCTGTCCATTTGTGGCTGACATGACCTTTTGGTGGTGTCCAAGCTAGATGCAAGTTAATTGCTCTAAGAATATATAGAAGTTCTGCATTACTTTGAAAAACTAGATATAAAAATATTCAATTTGATACAAAAATATACTTATTACAAAAATGTCAGTGTCACATTTGTTAATGAAATAAAAGAGCTGTTGAAATATTTATATCATTTTAGCCATTGTACATTTGTAAATGCAAACATTGATTTTACATTTTGAACTGTCTCACTTATGATAACTATCAAGAATTTAAAGAGATGGGCCAGGCACAGTGGCTCACACCTGTAATACCAGCACTTTGCGAGGCCGAGGTGTGTGGGTCACTTGAGGTTGAGGTCAGGAGTTCAAGACCAGCCTGGCCAACATGGTGAAACCCCTTTTCTACTAAAAATACAAAAATTAGCCAGGTGTGGTGGTGGGTGCCTGTAGTCCCAGCTGCTCAAGAGGCTGAGGCAGGAGAATTGCTTGAACCTGGGAGGCAGAGGTTGCAGTGAGCTGAGGTCTGGCCACTGCACTCTAGCCTGAACGACAGAGTGAGACCCTGTCTCAAAAAAAAAAAAAAAAAAGAATTTAAAGAGATGATCTATTAAAAAGTCTTGATCAGGAACAGCAAGGAGCCTTTTAAGCATCAAATCTTTCTTTACTGCTTTTTTCCTTTAACAAATATTTACTGTGTACCTACTTTGTGCTCAGAGTTGTTCTAATGCTTGGAATCTATTAATGAACAAAACAAACAAACAAAACACCCTGAGCTCAAAATGCCAGAGGTTGGATAAGAAACATGGATTATTGGCCACTTCTACTTTTAAATGCACTTCTCAACAGAAAATTCACTTTGTTATAACATGTTGCACCATCTATTCATCCTAAGAGGACTGAGATCTATATATCATTTGGTTATGCTAATTTCTTTCATTTCCCAGAATTTCATGATTTATGATTTAATATTTCCCAAAATTAGTATGTGTGCTTCATTGCTCCTAGATCCCCATTAAGAAGTTTGCTTTTCCCACCCTTCTCCAACCCTTCAATGGAGAATAATAAATTCTTGTTCACAAAGAATAGGACTAAATCTCATTAGACTGGAACTTACCTACCCTAGATTAAAGAAAACTGCTAATTTGGCTGCAATGATATATTCTTATGGAAAAATGCCAAACTGTACCTATCTGTATAAAAAACCTTTTATAAAATCCCAAGAACTTTGAGTCTGCCTACAAGCCTCAAGTCGTAATGTTGAGTTCTCTGTCTTCCTGGGGCACCCTTTTCTAAAGATTTTGCTGCCGTCATCTCCCCTATTTGCTTTGAGTGAGAATATCCCTGAGATCTAACTGCAGCTTTCAGGGTCCTCTCTACAGTTCTTTCTAAGAGGTCCAAGGATTTTTATGCAAATGACTCCAGTGCTTTCCCAGACCTTCCAAAGTCTCTTGCAGTGAGTTATGTTACCCATACATGACTAGCCCCACTTGAACCCTATTCTTTAAGGCACTGCTCCCCACCTTTTGCATACTAGAGCAATTGTAGGAAGTAATATTTGCAATGGGCACTAGAGTAAAGTGGAGGGCTTCAGGGGCAATAAGAGGGAGTTGTTTAAAAACGCACATTACATTTATGTTATATAATGATAGAAAATGTTAAGAAGGCCGGGTGTGGTGGCTCACACCTATAATCCCAGCACTTTGGGAGGCCGAGGTGGGCGGATCACCTGAGGTCAGGAGTTCAACACCAGCCTGATCAACATGGAGAAACCCCATCTCTACTAAAACTACAAAATTGTCTGGGCGTGGTGGCACATGCCTGTAATCCCAGCTGCTTGGGAGGCTGAGGCAAGAGAATTGCTTGAACCCGGGAGGCAGAGGTTGCGATGAGCCTAGATCGCGCCATTGCAGTCCAGCCTGGGAAACAAGAGCAAACCTCCATCTTAAAAAAAAAAAAAAAGAAAGAAAGAAAGAAAATATGTTAAGAAAAATAAAAGACTAAGCATTATAGAATAAATTATATATTAAATTTGATGAAAATAATAATTTTAGCCTTCCTTTCATAAATACAGCTTTATATCTGCTTTGCAGCAAAGGTATAGTATAAATAGACCAAATCCATATCCCTCTTTTGAATTAGTAAATAAAATACAAGATTTTTTCCATTAAAAAAAGAGTCACCAATAGTCTGTCAAGCTCCTCTCTTTTCCATTCTAATTCCTCTTCCTTCTTGCATAAGTTTGTTTTAGTAACCATCCCTGCCCCATTCACCCTTTCCCCACCACCTCCCCCATTCCCCAGATGAAGCTCTGCATGTTATTTTCCTTCTTAATCTTCCAGCATTTATAAAAACAAAGCATTTATGAATATATAGTCTTATCTTTCTCCACCCTTTTTTATCCCAGAACAATGCACTGTTCTACACATTGCTTTATGCAACTAGCAAAATATGCTAGAAATCTGAGATGTTTTATTATCACTGCATAGAGATGACTCTCATTATGTTTTCAGCTACATCCTAGCCTATCTTCTAGATGTTTCACAATTTATTTAAATAGCCTACAACAGCAGACCTCTTGATCTCTTTTACTATTACAAACAATGCCATATATATATATATATTATATATATATATATTATATATATATATTATATATATATTACATATATATATTATATATATATATTATATATATATTACATATATATATTATATATATATATTATATATATATTACATATATATATTATATATATATATTATATATATATTACATATATATATTATATATATATATGAGGAAGTATAACTGTACAGGTAAGGGGAAGTGAGTGCAACTGACAAAGTACTGAGTATTGCAATTTAGTAGGTATAGCCTTTTATAGAGGTTATGCTATTACTCATCCCACTAGCAATGTATGACAGTGTCTGTTTCCCTACAGCTTTTCCTTCCATTCTCTCTTGAACTCTTTCCAATCAGGATTCTGTGTGAAAGAACCACATTTAAGAAGTCTTGAGGCCAGGCGCGGTGGCTCACGCCTGTAATCCCAGCACTTTGGGAAGCCAAGGCTGGTGGATCACCTGAGATCAGCAGTTTGAGACCAGCCTGGCAAACATGGTGAAACCCCGTCTCTACTGAAAATACAAAAATTAGCTGGGCATGGTGGTGCACACCTGTAATCCCAGCTACTTGGGAGGCCGAGGCAGGAGAATCGCCTGAACCCAGGAGACGAAGGTTGCAGTAAGCCGAACTTGCGCCACTGCACTCCAGCCTGGGTGACAGAGCAAGACTCTGCCTCAAAAAAAAAAAAAGTCTCAGAGGCAATACGAAACATAGTACATTTAAGCCCTTTAAATAATTCAATATGGCTGAAGTATCATATGGAGAGGAGACAGAAAGGTGGATATAAACACAGGTGTAAAGATGAGGTTAAAGGCAAGAAATTAGGCAGGATAGGTATGCATACATACACACATATACACATAGAGCAACTTCAAATAATTGGATATTGCCAGCATAGTATATGGTTGTGGAGGAGAGCAGGAAAACAGATGTAAGCACATATGTAAAGATGAGTGTAAACCCTGAATAAAAATAATGTACTTTTTGATGGAAGAATGAACCAAAAATTAAAACTAAAATGGTTACATATAGGGAAAGAGAGGGAACAAGTAGAAGGAGACAAGGGTTGAAGCTACATGTCTCTGAATATGCCTTATTTTGTAAATTTCATTTTGGAACTATAGTAATGTTTTTACATAATTATAATGCAAAATTAAATTTTAAAAAAGCAATTCACAAAACTCTGTTTCTTTGAGACAGGGTCTCCCTCTTTCTCCAGGCTTCAGTGCAGTGGCTGGATCATGGCTCACTGCAGCCTGAAACCCCCAGGCTCAAGCGGTCCTCCCATCTCAGCCTTCTGAGTAGCTGAGATTACAGGCATGTGCCACCACATCTGGCTAATTTCTTTTTTTTTTTTTTTTTTTTGTAAAGGCAAGGTCTCACTCTGTTGCCCAGGCTGATCTTGAATTCCTAGCCTCAAGTGATCCTTCTGCCTCGGCCTTCCAAAGGGCTTGGATTATAGGCATGAGCCATATCCATAAAATTCTAAAGCAAAACAAAGAAAATTAGCATAACCATTTACAGAGTGGTGGCATAACCTCAAAAAAATAAGGATACAAGTCTATTCTTGCATACATGTAAAATTTTCTATGAGTGGGAGAGGGAGAGGGAAAGGGATGAGGAATGGGGGATGAGGGATGAGGGATGAGAGATATCATCCAGAAAGATAGGAGGAAAACATAATGTGAAGTCAAAGAAACTATTCTTTAAGCAAGAGAGAATAATCAAAACAATGAAATGCTGCCCAGAGGTCAAATAAAATGAGGAGTATGAAACATCCATTGCACTTAGCAACACTCAGTGAGTTGATTTAAAAACATTACATGAGCTAATTTTTGTATAAGTTATAAGGAAAGGGTCCAGTTTCTGTATTCTACATATGGCTAGCCAGTTTTCCCAGCACCATTTATTAAATAGGGAATCCTTTCCCCATTGCTTGTTTTTGTCAGGTTTGTCGAAGATCAGATGGTTGTAGATATGTGGTGTTATTTCTGAGGCCTCTGTTCTGTTCCATTGGTCTATATATCTGTTTTGGTAACAGTACCATGCTGTTTTGGTTACTGTAGCCTTGTAGTATAGTTTGAAGTCAGGTAGTGTGATGCCTCCAGCTTTGTTCTTTTTGCTTAGGATTGTCTTGGCTATATGGGCTCTTTTTTGGTGCCATATGAAATCTAAAGTAGTTTTTTCTAGTTCTGTGAAGAAAGTCAATGGTAGCTTGATGGGAATAGCATTGAATCTATACATTGCTTTGGGCAGTATGGCCATTTTCACAATATTGATTCTTCCTATCCATGAGCATGGAATGTTTTCCCATTTGTTTGTGTCCTCTCTTATTTCCTTGAGCAGTGGTTTGTGGTTCTCCTTGAAGAGGTCCTTCACATCCCTTGTAAGTTGGATTCCTAGGTATTTTATTCTCTTTGTAGCAATTGTGAATGGGAGGTCACTCATGATTTGGCTGTCTGTTTGTGTATTATTGGTGTAGAGGAATGCTTGTGATTTTTGCACATTGATTTTGTATCCTGAGACTTTGCTGAAGTTGCTTATCAGCTTACTGAGTTTTTGGGCTCGTGATCACTGGTCATTAGAGAAATGCAAATCAAAACCACAATGAGATACCATCTCACACCAGTTAGAATGGCGATCATTAAAAAGTCAGGAAACAACAGATGCTGGAGAGGATTTGGACAAATAGGAATGCTTTTAGACTCTTGATGGGAGTGTAATTTAGTTCAACCATTGTGGAAGACAGTTTGGCGATTCCTCCAGGATCTAGAACCAGAAATACCATTTGACCCAGCAATACCACTACTGGGTATATACCCAAAGGATTATAAATCATTCTACTATAAAGATACATGCACACGTATCTTTACTGCAGCACTATTCACAATAGCAAAGACTTGGAACCAACCCAAATGCCCATCAATGATAGACTGGATAAAGAAAATGTGGCACATATACACCATGAAATACTATGCAGCCCTAAAAAAGGATGAGTTCATGTCCTTTGCTGGGACATGGATGAAGCTGGAAACCATCATTCTCAGCAAACTAACACAGGAACAGAAAACCAAACACTGCATGTTCTCACTCATAAGCAGGAGTTGAACAATTAGAACATGTGGACACAGGGAGGGGAACATCACACACCAGGGCCTGTCAGGGGGTGGGGGGCACGAGGAAGGAGAGCATTAGGACAAATACCTAATGCATGCTGGGCTTAAAACCTAGATGACGGGTTGACGGGTACAGCAAACCACCATGGTACATGTATACCTATGTAACAAACCTGCACGTTCTGCCCATGTATCTCAGAACTTAAAGTATAAATACATACATACATACATACATACATACATACATACATACATACATTACATGTGGTTTGAAAAGGGCAAATGTTCTTACAGGGATACCATGATAGAAGGTGAAATCAAGAATGATCTGCACTACCCAGGATGTGTGAACATAATTCTCTTACTTCTGGCTTTCTACGCTTCCAAATTCTGACCCAAACACCATTTATCATATCCCGTTGCATAAGACAGGTTCAACTCCACCAAAATGAGGAGCTTACTTCATTTTGGTGGAGGCTCCAAGTTTTTGAAGGCCTCTGTAAGTGGCTCCGAAGGCATGAGAAGGAGTTAAGGAGGTAAGATTTGATCTGCTTGAGATGCAGCATGTTACACTGTATATTATTATTGTTGTTATTACTATTTATTTTTAGAGATGGGGTCTCACTATGTTGCCAAAGCTGGTCTCAAACTCCTGGGCTCAAGCAATCCTCCCACATCAGCTTCCTGAGGAGCTGGGACTATAGGTGTGTGCCACCACACCTACTTTATTATTATTATTATTATTACTAAATGGATACTAATATTGTGTTTACTAAGTACCAAATGCTATTCTAAGCACTGTATAAATATGGACTCATTGAATCCTCTCAAGCCCCCTATAAGGTGGATGATACTGTTATAAATTTTTGCTCTGGCTCTATTGCTTTCTCACCATGTGAGCTTGATCAAGTCATTTCTCCACTCTGTGCTTCAGTTTGCTCCTCTGTAAAATGCAGACTTTCATCTTGGGATTGCAAAAGTTCTTTTCAACCTTAACACTCTATAAGCTGTGATAATGAGAAATGAGCATTGCCCACTGACTTAACATGGTAGGGATGAGGATAATACTGACCTGGCCCTTTCTTTTTCCCATCTTCTCCCAACTTAGAGTTCTATTATCTATATTCTGTTGTTCCCCATACAGAAGGTGGAAAATGTTGAATAACTACAGTCCCTGGCTCTACACAGATGTTCAACAAATATTTTTAAATGTATTAATGAGTGAAAAATTCAACTATTCTAGCCTCCATTTCTTAGAGACCCTGTAATGATGTTTCTTTACCCAGAGAAGTGGTGACATTTTGGCCAAGGGTGTGTATATGTGCATACGTGTGTGTGTGCATGTGCTTGTGTGAGCATTTTTACAACCATGCTGCATTCCTGTCCAGATTCTTTTTACTCAAGAAAAGGACTGCTGTGGTCATTCAAAAGCTTTCAGTAAAGAATGTTCTGCAACACAAATTCATGCCGGTTGCTAAAGGAACAGATTTTTGAGAGCAGTCAAAAGTGGCTTGAGGCTCTTAAGAAAGTTGACTAAGTACTCTAAACACTAAAGAGAAAGCTGCATGTCAAGCTCTGCTGTTGATGGATTTAATTAAATGGCTGTTCCTTCAGGCTGTACGCAGGTTTGTTAAAGCATTCTTATGTATGCTTGCTTCTAAATTAATCAACAAATAATTAAAACTCAACTCTTCATTCTTTAAAGGTTTTCCCATAAAATTATTAAGGTAAAAGAAAAATGGTGGAGCCTCATGCCTTCAGAAAACCACAACTCAGAAATTATACATATTACATGAGGATTATTCGTGTTCCAAAAAAGTTCACTGAATGCAGTTCCTTTAAATAGCCTGCTCCCTCAGTGCGCTTAAGATGTGACTGGATTTTCCAAAGTTGTATCAACACAAAGCTTTTCAGGAAAACACATGTTTTGTAAAGTGAGGCTCCTCTATATTTGAACTGAGCAACCTTAAGTTGCCACTGTGTATCCAATAATTTTTATAGTTACTTGAACTGAAAACTCACTTTGAAGATGCAAAAAACAAAATTGTCCCATTGGAAGCTTTTCAGTAAACACAATACAGAAAGTTCGCATAACAGGGAGGAATTTCAAGTTAATTGTATCAAATACTTGGGTATCTTGTGATGGAACTACTGCATTTTATTAACAGCTGCAAATTAATTTCTGGATGATAGTTTCTCAGAAACTAATGTGCATATTTCCCAAATACAAAGTGAGTACATTCAGTATAACTCCTTGGTTGGGGTTATCAGAAACTCTTGGAAAACCTTCTTTGTTGTTCATTAGTTAATTTATGATTTAAAATGTTACCCAATGCAGTAGTCATGATTAATATATCTTATGAATTTTTCCCCTTGTGGTATATATGTACTAGGCAATACATATATACTATATACTATATATATAACACATATACCAAAAGGGGAACATTTCTTAAGAGATATTAATCATGACTACTGCATTGGGTAACATTTTAAAACATATGTAAATCTTTCTTCCCCACTACCACATGCAGATTACATTCGGATCTCCTTTTCTGTAATCTGCATGCGGTAGTGGGGAAGAAAAATAAGATTTAAAGCAGGAACATTTGAAAATGAGAAGCAGAAAAAGTGGTGCTCCTGAGGGAGTAGTCTTTCTCGTGGCATGCTGCCCAGATACTGCTATTCCTTCCTGGCTAAAGCCACACGGAAGATGAAAGGCAGAGGCCAAGAAACAGAGTGGAATTGTGGTGGGAAACAGAGCTTCATGGACGTCAGCAATTTGCAAAGCCGGAATGTCCAGTTTGAGAGTAACGCAGGCCAGGAAGCTGTAATGGTCAGTCAGTGGCACCTGGGCAGGGCAGCGTGGGCATCAGGGCTGTCACTCAGAAAGTCAGTGTTCCCAGTAAGAGTGGGACCCTGTGGTCATGCAACCAAGGGTGGAGTTTCTCAGAAGGATCATGTGACCTACAGCCCACCTTTTGTGAGAATTGTGCAGTATTGAGAGATGATGCAGACAAAAAATGGAGACACAAGGAAATATGATCCCACAAGACAACACAAAGAACAAATATGCAGAGGCCAAGAGAAAACAGTGTAAATGGCAGTAGCCACAGGAACAGCAGCAGGAACAGCAGCAGAAAACTGGAACACAAAGCATATGATTTTGCATCAGGATCAAAGACACTAGGAAAATGCAGCAGGAATCTGAGAGCCCCAAATGTACACTAGCAAGTACCGGTGAGATATTCAAAGTAGGGATAGCATGTGCTGTCAAGGGGGAAAAGAAAAAAAAAACAGAATTGAAACTTAGCCTACCACCTTAATATTTCATGATGTGTCAGGGCATGAAAAAAATATGTCCAGTGTGATGAGGTAGGACAGACAAAACCAGGACCTAGAGCAAGGTGTGCCTGCTATGGTGGGGCATGGACTTCTTGACAAAAGAGATTCCTAAATACCCTTACCAGGAGAACACTCTTCCAACAGGTTTAAGAGAACACTCTTAAACCATCCCCACCCAGCTGACTCTGGGTGATTTCAGCAGTGGGGGCCCCTTCAGCCATCTCCTGCCTGCAGCTGAACTCACTCCAGGCAAGCTGGTGCCAGCAATTAACCCTACAGGTCACAGTTTCCCCCAAGGGATGTGACACCTGGTTCTGCAGTTTTAGCAGGATCCCAGGCTGAATTCCCTTACATTCTATTGGCTTGTTTATTAAGCCCACATCTACTAAAACTGTCAGAAAAGTTTCAAGCTGGTTTCTCATGACCAAAAACATAATCCTATAATCCTTGAAAAATATTTTTGAACAGATAAACTGTACAGCGTAGTATCTGACACAGCCAGGAACCTGCAGGCCAACCCATCCCCCAAAGTACAAGCCTCCTCACAGCAGTCTGGTCTGGTTAGTGGGCCCCATCCAATACAGTTAACCCTTTCATGCCAATCAGGGTTCCAATCCTTCCTTGGAACTATAATCTTCTTAAATATTTTCTGCTAGGGTGCAGGTTACATGCAAAAAAAGAATCAATAAATAACGCTGCATGGAATAAGTGTTAATTTTCAACGAAGAATGCTGTTGGTTGGCCAAAACACCTAAACAAGATACACTGAAGGTAATATTTGCCTTCAGTAAGTCTAAATATTTTACCTTTGGATGATTAAAAGTTTAATACAAGGGTCTGATTTTTTTAAAAAAAGAAAGGTCTCTCATGTAATGTTTAAAAGAAAGCTCTCTCATGTAATGGAGGTCTGTTTAGGTTGATTTTTTTAAAATAAAATCTTACTTAAAGTTTGATCTTAGGTGGTTTTGAATTTTGAAAGTTTCATTTCCCTGAAAGAATATTGACAAGGAAGCAAAAGCTCTTATTCAATATGAAGCGAGTATAGTATTCCAATTGCCTAGGATTCTAACTTCCAGTAACTTTAACCAACAAGCTCAAACTGGACAATGAAAGTAAGTGAAAATGTCCCTGAGCCCTTGATGAAACTATAACAAAGGCCATACACTTTAGTAAGTAGTAGGTGAGGAAGCTGCTCTCCAGCCTTTCAACTAAAATTGTTGTTTTTGAATTATGTGTAATAATGAGGGGGTGAGAAATAAAACTGTGAGAAGAAGGTTCATTAATGAACTACAAAGAGAGAGAAAAGTCACTAGATGAGCCACAGAAGCCTGAGGAAATGCTCTAAGTGAACCCTGAGTACCCTGACAGGGCTACAAATAAAATACAATCTATGATGTTCCAAGGAATCATCAAGAAAGGGTTAAGTCAGGTTAAGTACTTTATGTTGAATAAAGCACAGAAAGTGCTTGAGGCATTTTAGAAATTTTCCAACTTTTGGGAAAACAAAGGGATAGACATTAGTTACGATGGGAAAATGCATTTACAGAGACTACCCCATTCCTTCATAGATAATACTCCATTCCCTCACAGAGAATACTGTATCCCTTATAGCTCAATAATAAATAGTAAGAATGGTTCTCAATGATTGAGTACCTTCACTCAGATAATCAGTGCTGGAGTTCAGGTTCAAATCCAGGATGGTCAGGCTTCAAACCCTTCCCATTACACAACAGCTCGACAATAAGAAAACCTGATTAAAAGCAGGTAAAGGATTTCATTAGAAATTTCTCCAAAGATTATAGAAATGGTCAAGGGGTACATGAAAAGATACTCAACATCATTAGTCATCAGAGGAATACAAATCAAAACCAGAATGAGATACCACTTCACACCTTAGAGCTTCCATTTGTATTCATGACCTCCTTTGCAAAGTAGAAATTGAATTATTGTTGTGGTATAGATTTGTTCTATATAACCTTGGGAGAGGGATGGCTATAATCAAAATGACAGATAATAACAAGTGTATGTTGGGTGTGGTGGCTCATGCCTGTAATTCCAACACTTTGGGAGGCCAAGACAGGAGGGTGGCTTGAGCCCAGGAGTTTGAGACCAGCCTGGGCAAAATGGTAAGTCTCCATCTCTACAAAAAATAAAAACTAAATAGCAAGTGTTGATGAGGATGTGGAGAAATTGGAACCCTCATACGTGCTGCTGGAAATGTAAAATGGTGCAACTGCTTTGCAGAACAGTCTGTCGGTTCTATAAAATATTAAACATAGTCACCATATGACTCAGCACTTTCACTTCTATGTGTGACCAGAGAGGAATGGAAACAAATATCCACACAAAATAGTTCATAGCAGCACTATTCATAATAGCCAAAAAGTGGAAGCAATCCAAATGTTTATCAACTGATGAATGGATAAACAAAATGTGGTATATTCGTATGGCAGAATATTATTCAGCCATAAAAAGAATGAAGTACTGATACATGCTACAATATGGACAAACCTTGAAAACATCACGCTAAGTAAAAAAGCCAGTCAGAAAATACCACATATTATACAATTCCAATTATAAGAAAACACAGAACAGGAAAATTTGTAACCACAGGAAGTAGATTAGTGGTTACCAGCAGCTAGGGTAGTTTGAGGATGGGAGGGATAGGGAGTGATGGCTAAGTGGTGTGGGGTATCTTCTTGGGGGTGATAAATATGTTCTAAAATTAATTGTGTTAATGGTTTCACAACTCTGTGAATACACTAAAAAACACTTAACTGTACACCTTAAATGGATGAATTATATGATATTTGAATCATATCTCAATAATGCTGATACATATGAAGATAGCACTTTTCTTCAACCTGCATATCTGAAGGACTCAACATTCAGCTTATTTGCTACTGAATTTTGTAAATTGCTCATGAAACGCTGTTGGTTGTGGAGTTATAGTCAGCAATGAACTTTTGCTGCTTTGTTTTAAGTGCACGTTCTTCTAAAGGTGCTGAGTGAAGTGAAAATGTTATGTTGTTATTTATTCCCAAGAACAGGAAAAAATATTTAGTAATTATATTTCATAATATATTAATATTAAATCAAGAGGTAAATCTATCTTGGCATGTGGAAGTTTTTATTTAATTATTTATTTGTACTATATATACTTAAGGTGTACAACATGATGTTTTGAGAAAAATCTACACAGTAAAATGATTACTACAGTCAAGCAATTAACATATCTATCACCTCACATAGGTTACCTTTCTGTGCATTCAATTTCTACACTTATTCGTCTTACACAACTGCAAGTTTGTATCCTTTGACCAAGATCTCTCCATTTTTCCCTTTCTGTACCCCTGGTAACCACGATTCTATTCTCTGTACCTATGTATTAGCTTTTTGGTGGGGAGGTTATCCATCCCCTCAAGCATTTATCCTTTGAGTTAAAAACAATTCAATTATACTCTATTAGTTACTTTTAAACATACAGTTAAGTTATTATTGACTATAGTCACCCTGTTGTGGGATCAAATAGTAGGACTTAATCATTCTTTCTATTTTTGTACCCATTAACCATCCCCACATCCCCCCCAGCCTTCCACTGTACTTGCTGCTCTCTGGTAACCACCCTTCTACTCTCTATGTTTCTGAGTTCAATCGTTTTGATTTTTACCTCCCACAAATAAGTGAGAACGTATGATATTTTTCTGTGCCTGGCTTACTTCACTTAGCATAATGATCTCCAGTTCCATCCATGTTGTTGCAGATGACAGGATCTCATTCATGTTTCTGGATGAACAGTACTCTATACTCCATTGTGTATAAGTACCACATTTTCTTTATGCATTCATCTGTTGATGGACACTTAGGTTGTTTCCAAATCTTAGCTACTGTGACCGGTGCTGAAACAAACATGAGAGTGAAGATTATCTCTTCAATATATTGATTTATTTCTTTGGGATATATGCCTAGCAGTGGGATTACTGAATCATATGGTAGCTCAATTTTTAGTTTGTTGAAGAACCTCCAAACTGTTCTCCACAGTGGTTTTAGTAATCTCCATTCCCACCAACAGTGTACAAGTGTTTTCTCCACATCCTCTCCAGCATTTGTTATTGCCTGTCTTTTGGATATAAGCCATTTTAACTGGCATGAGATGATATCTTGTTGTGGTTTTGATTTTCACTTCTCTGATGACCAGTGATGTTGAGCACCTTTTTGTGTTCCTGTTTGTCATTTGTATGTCTTCTTTTGGGAAATGTCTGTTGAAATCTTTTGCTCATCTTTTGATCAGATTATTAGATTTCTTCCTATAGAGCTGTTTGTGTTCCTTATACATTCTGGTTTTGAATCCCTTGTCAGATGAGTAGTTTGCAAATATTTTCTCCCATTCTGTGAGTCATCTCTTCACTTTGTTGTGCAGAAGCTTTATAATTTGATGAGATCCCATTAGTTCATTTTGCTTTGGTTGCCTGTGCTTATGGGTTACTGCTCAGGAAATTTTTGCCTAGAGCAGTGTCCTAAAGATTTTCCCCAAAGTTTTCTTGCTATAGTTTCATTGTTTGAGGCCTTAGATGTAAATCTTTAATCAATTTTGATTTGATTTTTTAATATGGCAAGAGATAGAGGTCTAGTTTCATTCTTCTGCAGATGGATATCCAGTTTTCCCAGCACCATTTATTGAAGAAACTCCCTCTTCCCCAGTATGTGTTCTTGGCACCTTTGTTGCAAATGAGTTCACTGTAAGTGTGTGGATTTGTTTCTAGTTTCTCTATTCCATTCCATTGGTCTATGTGCCTGATTTTATGCTGGTACCATGTTATTTTGGTTACTATACCTCTGTAGTATAACTTGAAGTCAGGTAAAATGATACCTGCAGTTTTGTTCTTTCTGCTTAAGCTAGTTTTGGCTATTTTGGGTCTTTTGTGGTTCCATATAAATTTTAGGATTATTTTTTCTATTTCTTTGAAGAACGCCACCTGTCTACCTTGTGTTCTATTTTATTGTGGCTAAGCTGGCACTTAAACTGCAAGACACAGTCTTTCCCACTCTTTCCTCCCCTTTCCACAAGCAGAGGAGTCTCACCCTGTAGCCACTGCCACCCCAGGCCATGAGGAGTACTGCCAGACTACCAACCAACATTCTCTTAAGACCCAGGGGCTCTTAAGTCAGCTTGTGGTGAATGTTGCCTGGCCTGGGACTCACCCTTCAGAGCAGTGGGCTCCCCTCAGGCCCAGGGTAAGTCCATAAATGCAGTCCAGGTGTCAAGTTTCGGAATTGGGGAACCCAAGAACCCATTTGGTGCTCTGTCCCTCTGTGGCTGTGTTGATACCTAAGGTGCAAGACAAAGTCCCTTTTACTTTGCCTTCTGCTTTTTTCAAGTAGAAGGAGTTTTGCCTCATAGCCACCAAAGCTGAGAACGTGCTGAATTTCACCTGCAGCCAGCAAGTCTCAGATGCTCACCAAAGACCCTTAATGTAGTACCTGGGTTTTGCAGCTGGTTATTTAGGGCCCAGGGCCTCCTCGGTTAGCAGGTGATGAATGCTGCCAGCACTAGGTCCTTCCCTTCAAGGCATCAGGTTCTCTTCTGGCTCGGGGTGTGTATTGAAATATCATCTGGGACCTAGGGCCTCGTATGGGTACTTCATGCTGGCTGGTGCCTTAGATGCAAGACAATGTCCTCCCCACTCTTCCCTCTCCTCTCCTCAAGCAGGAGGAATGGGTTTGTATTGGAGACTGGAACTGTGTGGCCCGGGGTGTTATAGGACGGGTGACACCAGCACTCCCTTGGCTGCCCAGCTGACGTCTCAGTATGTCACGTACCACCCCCAGTCCACTGACTCTGGGCCTAGTTCAGCACTGGGCCTTGCCTATGAGTTGCAGTCCTTATGGCCTAGACTGCCTTTCAAGTTCATTTAGAGACACAGAGCACTGTAGCCCTTGGTGGTGAGGTTTACAGGAACTCAAGGTTTGACCACTGGGATCAGCAATTCTCCTCTGGCTAGCACTAGTTTAAATGCTCCCTTAGTAAGCAGGTGTCAGCTGAGTTTGGTCCACTTTTCTTTTCTGCTCTAGCAGGACAACACTAAGTTCGGTTCCGCATAATTGCTGTGCTCTCCCTCCCCTGCAGCATCTGGAGATGCTCTCGGCACCAAGCTGCTGCTGTTGGGGGTGAGGGAGAGGTGACATTGGCTATTCAAGACTTTTTAAAAATCTCTTCAGTGCCTTTATCAGTGATATGAAGTTAAAGCCAGGTGCCACGAGTGCTCACCTGATTTTTGGTTCTTACAAAGGTATTTTTTTTTTCTGTGTAGATAGTTGTTTACTTGGTGTCCTTGAAGAGGGGGAGGATTGGTGGAGCCTTCTATTCTGCCATCTTGCTTCACCTATCTATCACACGTGGAAGTTTTTTCTTTACATTTTTAATTCATAAAATTATTTTTCCTGCTAAAAAATAATGCATAGCAAAAGCCTTTTGCCAGGATGGATTTCAGTCAACATGATCAGCCTCCTTTTTGAAGTACATTATTATCGTGACCAAGAGATTGTGTGAAACACTTCCAGTGCCCTGTGAGGGACTATAAAGGTAACCAATTATGGAAGAGAAGAAATAGAAGGAGCTAATCTTCTCTGTCCTGGCTTGCCTTTGCCCCGAACTCTTAAAAGAATTAATTCACTTCTCTGGGAGATACTGGGAAACTGAGGTCGTTATTGGCAGCCTTCAAACACTGTTCTTAATTTATGGATAGTTACTAAACCACATAATCACCGAGTTATCCCATTACAGGGCTCAGCAGAACCTAGGTCTGCAGCCCTGGGTGTGAAGTTCAATTGTGAGAGGTTTTGAGAGTGTTTATTAAAGAGGGCGTGAGTGTGCCCAGCCATCATGCAGACCATTTAGGCTCCCAACACACAGCCGAACGAAAGGATCCCATGCATAGGATTTGGCATTTATCCATTGAAATAATTTCCTTTCATTGATTTAAAATGATAATTCAATTAAAATAATTATTCCAATCAAACTTCATATCTTTTTGGCAGGCTCCGGGGGGGGGGGCCTCTGCCCTCAATGTTATTTTAGTATTTGCTTCATTTGTTTTCTCACTGGGCTGACTTTGGCTCTCTGACTCTTTGGAAAATTTTATGTCATTGAGCAATTACTGCACCCTTCTGGAGCTTTCCACTCAAGATGCAGAGAACAAGGGAAACAAAATATCCTAGAGAAATGTTGCACTTTGAATTCTGACCAGTGGAGGCCAAGAAATAACTGAGAATGGAATATGGTTGGGGTCACCCACCCATTCACCTAAATGTATACGTCCAAGAGGCTAGCCAGCCTGTGTTAAAGCTGTAAGGTGAGGATGAATGATAGTCTCACCATCTGATTCCTATCTTTTTAAAATTTCTTCATTTTTCTTTCAACGGCTGTTGTACTCTTGAAATGTATAACAGTTGTATCAGATCTCAGAAAATCTCTGATATGGTTTGGTTCTGCATCCCCACCCAAATCTCATGTCGAATTGTAATCCCTATGTGTCAGTGGAGGGGCCTGGTGGGAAATGATTCGATCATGGGGGTGGCCTTCCTTCTTGCTGTTCTCATTATAGAGTTCACATGAGAGCTGATGGTTTAAAAGTGTGGCACTTCCCCCCTCACTAGCTCTCTCTCCTGCCACCATGTAAGACATGCCTTGCTTCCCTTTCGCCTTCTGCCATGATTGTAAGTTTCCTGAGGCCTCCCCAACCACACAGAACTGTGAGTCAATTAAACCTTTCTTGTTTATTAAAATAAATAAATAATGCAAAATCAACATGGAAAATTCAAAAACTGCAGAAAATACAAGCCAGTCAATTCTATTCTCGCGCACAATATAACAACTGTTAACATATTGATGTATTTTGTCCTTTGTTTTGCAATACATATTTTTTCACATATTTGTGATCACATGGTGCACTTCAACATTTATCCCCTATCTACTTTCATTATTGCTTTGAGAAATGAGCCTAGTGAAATGTGTACCAGAGCACTGATCTATCTCTTAAGGTACATCTTCCCTCCCCTCTTAACCTTCTTTTCCCTGGAGCTCAGCCCCATCATCAATTGAGCCTGAAGACAATGAAATCATTAAGAAGAAAAGCTATGAAAAAAAGGCTTGAAGTGTCCATCATCTTGAAGTGTCCATCCATCACCATAAAGCTTACTGTTGTCTCTCTCAGGGTTACATGGAATGAATCAATACCGCAGCAACAGTTGAATTTCATCTTTGTAAATAAGGTCATGAATAAAAACAGAGAAGTTAAAGAGACTAAGCACTCTTCTAATCAAGTATCTGACCCCTTCACCACATCACAGGAGATCTGTTATGCTGTCACAATCTTCTCAATATATAACCTCTTTCATGTTGTTAATAGAACAACACACCAGTTCTCCAGAAAGTAGAAGGCTGTGTTGCCACTGTTAGGGCATGATCATTAATACTGTAAAATCATTCCAGGCTGAACGTTGTATTTTAAAAGCTGTTGGGCATGGTGGCACACACCTGTAACCCCAACTACTCAGGAAGCTGAGGTGGGAGGATCACCTGAGCCCAGGAGTTCAAGGCCAACCTGGGCAATACAATGAGACCTCTGTCTCTAAAAAATAAAAATTTGTAAAAAGACAATGATACAAATTGCATCTATAAGCAGTGTGAAGCCTGTTTAAAGCATCAGGAAACAGAAGCTGTGCATTAGTCCAGTCTCACACTGCTATAAAGAAACACCTGAAACTGTGTAACTTATTTTTTAAAAAAAGAGATTTAATTGGCTCACGGTTCCACAGGCTATACAGGAAGCATGGTCGGGGGAGGCCACAGGAAACTTACAATTATGGCAGAAGGTGAAGGGGAAGCTGGCATGTCCTACATGGCTGGAGCAGGAGAAGACAGAGCAAAGGGGAAAGTGCCACATGCTTTTAACCATCAGATCTCATGAGAACTTACTATCATGAGAGCAGCAAGGGGAAAATGTACCCCCATGTTCCAATCACCACCCGCCGGGTCTCCCTCAACATTGGGAATTACAAGTCAACATGAGATTTGGGTAGAGACGCAGAGCCAAGCCATATTAAGCTCCATCTATTCCAAAGTCCCCAGCCAGCAAAAGCTGATAGATCCAAAACTTGCAAATATAATAAATATAAAGGAGTTATTGTCCTATACAGCAGTTGTCCCCAACCCCCAGGCTATGGACAGGTACTGTTCCATGACCTGTTACAATAGTGAAACCAGGCCACACAGCAGGAGGTGAGTGGTGGGCTAGTGAGTGTTACCTCCTGAGCTTCACCTCCTGTCAGATCATCAGGCATTAAATTTGCATAGGCGTGTAAACCCTATCGTGAACTGTGCATGGAGGAATCTAGGTTGCATGCTCATTATAATAATCTGGTGCCTGATAATTTGACATGGAACAATTTTATCCCAAAATCATCTTCTCCCATCTCGCAGTCTGTGGAAAATTTGTCTTCCATGAAACGGGTCCCTGATGCCAAAAAGGTTGGGGACCGCTGCTATACAACTTTATAAAGTCCCTGTGCCTGGGAAATGTACCGGTGCGCATATGTGTTCTGTTGCGGGAAGTGCTATTTGATCCAACAAAGCCCAAAGCCCCACATTTAAAAAATGTTTGCTGAAGGTAAGATCCACAGATACACACTGCAAGATCTACCAAGGCAACAGCCTTGATGACCATGGTAGCAAGCCTGAAGTTGCTGAAATGTTGAGTAGGTATCAGATAAGAGACCTGCTGCTAATACCCTTGTGAATCATTAGGTCGCAGTTTTCTCCTTTACATGCTCATTATTAAAGTGCCTTAGACCCCCTTGTGTACAGATGAAAAATAATACATTAAAAGAAAAAGAAATCACCTTAAGCCAGTTGTTCTTTGGATCTAACTGTGATTGAAAGTGCTATTAGGACAAAAGCAGAAAGAAACAGATTATTCAAAGCCTGTAACATTAGTCACTAATAGATTCTGTGGGAGAACTAAATGTAATCAGATAGGTACATTGTATGATGTCAAATTAACCCATCTTTTCAAGGACTATGGTGCTGAGAAAAACGAAGCAAAAATGTGTGTAGTTGTGAATCCAAAGGTTTACAGTTATGAACAATACTCAATTCGTGCAATTTACTAGAATGACCTGAAGTAAAAGTAGCCAGTCCCTTAGGCAGGAAAATATTTGGCTAAAACACGGCAAGAAGCACAAACCAACTCTTGAGGAAGTGTGAGTGTTATGAGAAGCCAGTTGGGGTGGAATAATTTGTTAAATGAATGTTTTCTTCTACCTTCACCTTGATAAACAAGCACCTCTGAAGTGAGCAGAAGCCTTAAGGAACAGCTATCTTGTGCAAGGATGATGACCAGACTTCAGTAAACAAGTGGTTGAACTCAAAGGACCCTCCTAAGGCTAATATTCACCAAAGGTTTCTTCTAAGGCTAATCCACTAATTTATATCAAAGCATCAATGAGTCCAAATGCCCAATATAATAGATCCAACACAGAAAAGATAATTTAAATATGGAAAAATATTGAACTATCTTATAAGTTTTCCCCAAATTTAGTCTTGCTGTTTCAGAATAACTGGAAAAAGACTGATACTGTTTTTCATGCTGGGGGCAGGGATTTACAGAGTATTCTTTAGGCCATTCTGTAGTTTCTGTTTGGATTAGAGAAAAATAATTTGGAAAATTCATTCTCAATTTCCATTTGTCATCTTTCTATATCAAAGACAGATGGAATTAGATGCAAACATATGGGAAGATTTTTTTTCGAAGCCTAAAATGTCTTGTATATTTGTGTATACTCTCATTAGTATACAGGACGGGACTGTCACTTGGCTGTCACCTTAAAGTAATTTCATCTGGGACATAGAGAGTATCTAGGCCTAGGTTAATTCCACCATAGGAAAAATGAAGAATATATAGAACAACTTCACTAAGCAGCCTGTTTTTTCTCTACCATTCATAAAAACTACTTCTGACCAATGTGCTCAGGGCAGTTTCAGCTGCACTCCTCTGGTGCTTCTCTCTCAGCAAACTTTGGACCCTATATCAGGTGTACAGGATTTTCCATGGCACAATTGCTTGCAAAATCAATTTCTGCGTTATCTTTCCATTTGTATGGTTATACTCATCTCTCGTTTTTGAAATTGAACCAGTCATATGCTTTCTCATCAACATTTGAGGTCTGTTTGCCACAAAACACTTATTGTCTTTAAATAAGCTCCCCAGGATTTACCTTATCTAGTTGCCATCACTACCCACCAATAAACATTTTAATATAAAATATTTCTTTACATAGTTGGCAGGACGGGTTTCCCACGTTCAGTGGTAGTAGATTAAGTTTGATTCCTCTATTTGTTTGTACCCACCTCCCTGAATCACTCCTTCCCCAGTGTCAGATAAGAAGTGAAAGAGGGTACCATTCCAGCTATTTTAAGTTAAAATGAAACCATGAAAGATTAAGAAGAAAATATGGAAGGATATTAATCTTTTCTCAGAGTGGAATAGGCTTTTGTAAACACAAGAGCAAAAAGGAAAAGTCATGAAATAAAAGATGTGTGGACCTAACAACTAAAAAATACAAATCTTCTGTATGTTGAAACAAAATTAAATTGTAAACAAGAAGCTGGGAAAATATATTTACCAAACATATGTAATACGTGAAAAGATAATAGATAAAAACATAACTTAGTAAGTTAGCCAACAACAGCACATGGTCTTTTGCCCATTTATCTATTTGAATATAAAACTTTTTTGTATTGGTTTGTAAAAGCTATTTGTATATTAACAATATTAACCCTTTTTGTGCGTCACTGGCAAAATGACACAAGGGTAGGGGTAGTAATGTGACACAGTCTTGCAAGCAAGTATCTGCTGGAGGAGAGAGGCATTTCTAGGAAACCTGGTTATGTTAATTAAAAATACAGACATCACATATATTTATTCATCTCATTCTTCCTGCCTTGGACAAGGATGGGATGGCTGAAGCTGGGGCAGTCATCTTGCAAACATGATATCATTGAGCTGCTCAGACCAGGACTTACACCATTGGCTCCTCTGCTTCCCAGGCTTTCAGAGTTGAACTGAAATTGCAACACTGTTCAATTCCTTAGCTTGCAAATAAAACAATTTGATTCCTCAGCTTGCAAATAAAACAATATCAGCAGCTGCTTACTTCAAGACATCTGTTTGTGTGAGGAAAAAATAAACCCTTATTAGTTTAAGCCACTGTTAATAAGGTTTCAGATACTTTGAGCCAAAAACATTTCTCACGGATGTTCCTCACATGATTAAGCAATTCACACACAAAAAGTGAGATACAGATGGACAATAATTATGAATATTATTTCACTTCTGTGATAGTTAATTTTATATGTCAACTTGACTGGGATAAAGCATGCCCAGATAGCTGATGAAACATTATTTCTGGGTGTTTCTGTGCGAGTATTTCCAGAAGAGATTAGCCTTTAAATTGGTAAACTCAGTAAGGAAGATTATTGTCACCAATGCAGGTGGGCATCATCCAATCCTGTTAAGGGCCTAAATAGAACAAAAATGCAGAGAAAAGATCTATTTGCTTCTATTTGAGCTGAGACATCCATCTTCTCCTTCCCTAGGACATTGGTGCTCCTAGTTTTTGGGCCTTCGGGCTCAGACTGGGACTTACACCATTGGCTCCTCTGCTTCTCAGGCCTTCAGACTTGAACTGAATTGGACTGAATTGCAACACTGGCTTTCCTGACTCCTCAGCTTGCAAATGACAGACCATGGGATTTCTAGGTCTCCATAATCACATAAGTGAATTCCTATAATAAATCTCCTCATATATATATATATATACACACACACACACATACATATGCATTGATGTATAATTCCATTTATTGATATTGAATTTATATATATGTGTGTTTGTGTGTGTGTGTATATATATATATACACACACACATATATATATATACACACATACATACATACATATATATATATACACACATACATATATATAACTGGTTCTGTTTCTCTGGAGAACCTAACTAATACAATTTCACAAATAATAAAATACATTAAAAATAAGATAGCCACCTTGAAGACACTATGCCAAATGAAAGAAGCCAGTCAAAAAGGACAAATATTGTATGAGTCCGCTTGTATGAGGTCCCTAGTGTAGTCCAACTCATAGGGACAGAAAGTAGAAGAGTGGTTGCCAGGGGCTGAGGGAAGGAGGAATGGTGAGTTAGTGTTTCATGGGTACAGAGTTTCAGTTGGGAAAGATGAAAAAGTTCTGGTGACGGATGGTGGTGATGGTTGCACAACAATATGAATGTACTTAATGCCACCGAACTGTACACTTAAAAATGCTTAATGGTAAATGGTAAAAGTGGTAAATGTTGTATTATATATATTTTACCACAATAAAAAAAGTTAAAAATCAGAACAAAAGAGTATTTTAAATAATAATTAATACTATTTTTCAATTTTAAAACTGACTACCTTTAAACATTTCTTATTAATTTTGTTAATGATGGTCTGCTGGTTCTGAGTGTGGGGAAACAGGGATTCTCACATACTATTGGGGGCAGTCTAAACTGGCCAAACCACTTTAGAGGGAAATATGGTCAACTGTACTCAAAAGTTTATACACTTTAACAAAGTGATCCTATTTCTAGGAATACAGCCAATAAAATAATCAAAATTGTAGATAATGTTTTGTGTCCGAAGATGTCCATAACAGCATTGTCTATAATATTAAACCATTTGAAACAGCCTATGTGTCCAGAAAGTGGTTGATTAAAATGCATTTCTATGTATTCCTTCCATGGAACACTGTATCAGCATGATGAAAAATGGAGTAGATTAGCTCTGCATATTTGCTGCTCATTTGAATCACCTAGAGCGATTTTACAATTCCTAGTGCCAGCCTTATCTCATATCCAGTAAAGCAGTATTTCTGGAGGTGGGGCCCAGGGATCAGTACTTTTTACATCTACCCTCTCCCCCACCACCCACTGATTCTAATGTGCAGCCAAGTTTAAGAACTACTTATGTAGATTTCTATTTATTGACATGGAAAAAATATAAATATTCACTAGAATTTGATGATAAAAGCAGATTATAGAACAGTCTGTATAGCATGAGCTCATTTAAAAATATAAATGTGTGGGCCTTCTGAGTAAAGATGATGGATTGAACACCTACATTTGCTTTTACTTCCCCCTGAAACTCCACTAAAACAACAATAAAAAGATATTTTAAAAAGTGCAAACTGATGAGGAAAAAATAACTGGGGGGGGGAGGAACAGCAACAGAATTTTGGAAATTAGAAAGCATTTGAATGGTGACTTAGTAGAATGAAGTTGAATCTCAAACCAACAGTGGTTGGTAAGCAAATTTACAATGCAGAACTCCCATCCTTTATGATAAACTAATTAGCAGACATGGATACCTCTGGAAGGGATGAAAGAAAATATCACTAGAAAGTTTATTTAGGAAGCAGTTAAAGCTCCATATTCTTTCCCCAACCCCAGCAGGAGTTAGTTTATTTTCTGAAGAGAATAAAATAAAGTGTCTCCAGACATAGTCACCAGACACAGTTGTGGACTGATGGTGCTGTGCTAATAGTGGATGGATTCGGTTAATGCCAAGATCTCCAGCTCCTTTTCCCTACTTAGTTTCCAGAGTTGTATTTGCCTGGTTTATAATCTTCCAGGAAGGAATTTGGGAGCAATCTGAGTAGCCCAAGAAGAGAGACATAACGGTACTTGTTATAGGCTTATCGGGCTCTCCAAAAATTCATATGTTGAAGTCTTACCACAGAATGTGACTGTAGTTGGATATAAGATCTTTGAAGAAGTAATTTAGGTAAAAATGAAGTCATTAGGGTAGGCCCTTTTCCTATATGACTGGCATCCTTATAAGAGAAAATTTGGACACAGACACATACAGAGGGAGGGCTATGGTGAAGATACAGGGAGAAAACATCCATAAACAAGCCAAGGAGAGAGACTTTAGAAGAAACAAACCCTGACAACACCTTGCCTTGGACTTCTGACCTCTAATATTGTGAGAAAATAAATTTTTGTTATTTAAGCCACTCAGTATGTGCTACTTTGTTATGGTAGCCCTAGGAAACTAATACAGTACTATACTAGAAATCTCCCTGAAATGGCCTCACCATACATGCACGCTGCAGTGAAACTGTAAGTTGACAAGACCTACACACTCTTAGATATTCCAGTTAACTTCTGGTCCCCCTCTTTTAAAAATTAGCAGATATCCCCTTCCTGTGTCCATGTGTTCTCGTTGTTCAATTCCAACCTATGAGTGAGAACATGCAGTGTTTGGTTTTGCGGTGTTTGGTTTTTTGTCCTTGCGATAGTTTGCTGAGAATGATGATTTCCAGTTTCATCCATGTCCCTACAAAGGACATGAACTCATCATTTTTTATGGCTGCATAGTATTCCATGGTGTATATGTGCCACATTTTCTTAATCCAGTCTATCGTTGTTGAACATTTGGGTTGTTCCCAAGTCTTTGCTATTGTGAATAGTGCCGCAATAAACATACGTGTGCATGTGTCTTTATAGCAGCATGATTTATAGTCCTTTGGGTATATACCCAGTAATTGGATGACTGTTGTGGGGTGGGGGGAGGGGGGAGGGATAGCATTAGGAGATATACCTAACGCTAAATGACGAGTTAATGGGTGCAGTACACCAACATGGCACATGTATACCTATGTAACAAACCTGCACATTGTGCACATGTACCCTAAAACTTAAAGTATAATAATAATAAAATTAAAAAAAAAATTAGCAGATATCCAAGGCTTATCAGACATTTGTGGAACACTTCCAACATGAAAGATAGAATCCAAAGCAAACAAACACAAAGACTCAGGGAAAGCAGGAACTATTCATGAAGGACAAAACCACATGCTACAACATGGATGAACTTTGAAAACATTATGCTAAGTTAAAAGAAGCAGACACAAAAGGCCACATATGTTATGCTTCTATTGACATTAAATGTCCACAATAGGCAAATCCATAATGATAGAAAGTAGATTAGTGGTAGATACAGAATTGACTGCCCTACATCTTTTCTTTTTGAAACCTTCCATTGCCTTACGGGGGAGAAAAATCCATCATCACACAACTCTGCTTCCCCTACCTCAAGAGTGTTCACTTGCCCCAGGTTGATCAATATATACCATCCTCCTGATCATGCTGGTTGTTTCCTAACATTGTACAAATAAAGCCAAGCCTGGATCTTTTTCAGGATTGATATAGACATTGGTTATAAAAGTGCCTCTTCTAAGACTGAAAGCACCAGGGACGATGTAAGCCTGGAGTTGTCAGAAGCTGCCTTTGCAGCCTAGTGTGAGAGGACTGCTTAAGAATGAAGCCAACACTAAGGTAAATAGAGCAAAGAGATGGAAAGAGAAAAACAGAATTGAAATGATATTATTTGAATGCCTGGAACTAGCTTCACCTTTGGCCATGAAAGATTATGTGAGCCATCAGATTCATCAGATTCTTTTTTTTTTTTTTGCTTAAGTTCATTTGAGATAAGTTTTTGTCAAAATCAAGAGTCCTGACTAATCCAATAATTCATTGCATTGGTATTTCACAGCAGAATAACTATATGAGAAGTGATATGGTCTTGCTTCGTGTCCCCACCCAAATTTCATGTTGAATTGTAATTCCCACTGTTGGGGGAGGGACCTCGTGGGAGGTGATTGAATCATGGGGGCAGATTTCCCCCTTGCTGTTCTCATGCATGATAGTGAGTGAGTTCTCATGAGATCTTAATCTGGTTGTTTAGCACTTCCCCCCTTCTCTCTCTCTCTCTCTCTCTCTCTCTCCTGCTCTGCCATGGCAAGACATGTTTGCTTCCCCTTCACCTTCTGCCATGATTGTTAAGTTTCCTGAGGTTTCCCCAGCCATGCTTTCTGTACAGCCTGTGGAACTGTGAGCCAGTTAAACCTCTTCTCTTTATCAGTTACCCATTATCAGGTAGTTCTTTATAACAATGTGAGAACAGACTAACAAAAGCAGTCATCACCAGAATATGCTACTTTTGTCAGTTTCACAAAGGTGGATTCCAATAGTAGCAAGGTTTCTTTAGACAGTCAAAAAATTTCAGTTATAAAAGTTTCTGCCCCCTGGATTTACGCATACTTCAATGAGATTTTTTAATGGAATAGGGATCCTATTTGGCAATCAAATAATATTGTATCCGTAATTCAGCATTAGCAATATGTGTCCAAAATGTTAATTTTTAAAAAGCAGGGCTATTTTCAAAAATGGCATATGTCTTAAATTTGAGCTATAAGATACATGATACAGTTGAAGACATGATAAAAGGAGTTTATAATTCTAACCTAAATTTCACAAATAGGGAGCAAGATGGCGCCATAGAAGGCTCCACCAATCAAACTCTCTTCAAGAACACCAAGTAAACAACTATTCACACAGAAATAATACCTTCATAAGAATCAAATATCAGGTGCACACTCATGAGTACTTGGCTTTAACTTCATATAACTGATAAAGGCACTGAAGAGATAGAAAAGCAGCCTGGAATTGCCAACACTGCCCCCAACCCTGCAGCAGCAGCATGGGGTGGGGAGTATCTCTGGGTGCTAGGAGAGGGAGAGCACAGCAATTATGAGGCACTGAACTCAGCATTGTCCTGTTAGAGCAGAAAAGAAAACCAGACCAAATTCAGCTGATGACTGCCCAAAGAGGGAGCATTTAAACCATCCCTAGCCAAAGGAGAATTGCTGATCCCAGTGGTCTGAACTTGAGTTCCTGCAAACTTCGCACAGAGGGCAACTGTGCTCTAGGTCTCCATGAAAACTTGAAAGGCCACCAAGGCCATAAATATTGCAACACTTAGGCGAGTCCTAGGGATGAAATGTGTCCAGAGACAGTAGACTGGGGAAGGTGCACACGACCTACCAAGACACCAGCCAGGGCAGCTAAAAGAGTGCTGGCATCACCCCTCCCCTAACCACAGGCTGCACAGCTCTCAGCCACAAAAGAGACCTCTTCCTTCTGCTTGAGGAGAGGAGAGAGAAGAGTGGGGAGAACTATGCCTTGCATCTTGGATACCAACACAGTCACAGCAGGATAGGGCACTGGACAAAGTCATGAAGCCCCTTTTCTAGGCCCTAGCTCCCAGATGATATTTCTAGATATGTCCTGGGCCAGAAGAAACCAGATGCCTTGAAGGGAAAAACCCAGCCCTGGCAGCAGTCATCACTTGGTAACTGAAGGGCCCTTGGGCCCTGAACAACCAGCAGCAACACCAGGTATTACACCAAGGGCCTTGGGTGAGATTCTGAAATTTGCTGGCTTCAGGTGAGACTCAGCACATTACCAGATGTGGTGGCTATGGCATGAAACTCCTTCTGCTTGAGAAAAGCAGAGGGAAGAGTAAAGGGGACTTTGTCTTGCACCTTCGTTACCAGCACGGCCACAGGGGAATAGAGCACCAAGTGGGCTCTTAGGGTCCTTGTATTCAGGACTTCACTCTTGGATGGCATCTCTGGACCTGTCCTGGGCCAGAGGTAAAACCACTGCCTTGAACAGTGAGTCCCAGGTCATGCAACATTCACTGCCCTGAAGAGTGAGTCCCAGGTCATGCAACATTCACCGCCCTGAATAGTGAGTCCCAGGTCATGCAACATTCACCACAAGCTTGGGCCTTAAGGGAATATCAGCAGTAGTCTGGCAAAACTCCCCATGACCTATGGTGGTGCCTATGGGGTGAGGCTTCTCTGCCTCTGGAAAGAGGAGGGAATAGTGGGAAGGACTGCATCTTGTCGTTTGAGTGCCAGCTCAGACACAGTACAATGGAGCACCAGGTAGAATTCTAAGGTTTTTGACTCTAGTCTTTGTCTCCTAGACAGCACCTCTGGAACCACTCAGGGCCTGGGGGAACTTGCTGCCCTGAATGGAAGTTCACAGATGTAGCCGACTTTTTCATCAGCTGATTGTAGAACTGCAGGGCCTTGAGCAAAAATAGGCAGTAGCCAGGGAGTGCTTACAGCAGGCCTTTGGTGAGACCCAGTGCTGTGCTGGCTTCAGGCCTGATCCAGCATAGTCATAGTGGTGGTACCCACAGGGGTGCTTGTAGCACTCCACCCCCAGCTTCAAGTGGCTCAGAACAGAGAGAGAGACTCTGTTTGGGAGAAAGTAAGGGAAGAGAACAGGAGGCTCTGCTGGGTAATTCAGAGAATTCTCTTGGATCTTGTCTAAGACCATTAAGGTGGTATCTCTACAAGTCTGAAACAACCACAGCATTACTGGGTTTGGGGTGCCCCCTAAAGTAGATACTGCTTAGATCACAACACCCAAGTTCTTTCAAATATCTGGAAAGACTTCTCAAGAAGGACAGGTACAAATAAGCCCAGACAGCAAAGACTACAATAAATACCTAATTCTTTAATGCCCAGACACCGAAGAACATCTACTAGCATCAGCACCAAAAAGGGAAACATAACCTCAACAAATGAACTAAACAAGGCACGAGGGACTAATCATGGAGAAACAGAGATATGTGACCTTTCAGATGAAGAATTCAGAATAGGTCTCTTGAGGAAACTAAAATAAATTCAAGATAACACAGAGAAGAAATTCAGAATTCCATTAGATAAATTTAACAAAGAGATTGACATAATTTAAAAGAATAAAGCAGAAATTCTGGAGATGAATAATGCAATGGATACAGTCTTTGAAAAGCAGAGTTGATGAAACAGAATAAAGAATTAATGACCATGAGGACAGGCTATTTGAAAATACACAATAAGACCAGACAAAAGAAAAAGGAATGAAAAACAATGAAGCAAATAGCCTTAAAAGGGCAAATCTAACAGTTATTTGCCTTTAAAAGGAGGTATAGAAAGAGATAGGTGTAGAAACGTTATTCAAAGAGTAATAACCGAGAACTTTCCAAACATAAAGAAATACATCAATCTCCAAATACAAGAAAGTTATAGAACACCAAGTAGATTTAACCCAAAGAAAACTATCTCGAAGCATTTAATAATCAAACTCCCAAAGATCAGAGATAAAGAAAAGATCCAATCCCAGCACTTTGGGAGGCCGAGATGGGCGGATCACGAGATCAGGAGATTGAGACCATCTTCGCTAACACAGTGAAACCCCGTCTGTACTAAAAATACAAAAAATTAGCTGGGCATGGTGGCAGGCACCTGTAGTCCCAGCTACTCGGGAGGCTGAGGCAGGAGAATGGCATGAACCCGGGAGGCAGAGCTTGCAGTAAGCCGAGATCGTGCCACTGCACTCCAGCCTGGGCGACAGAGCAAGACTCCATCTCAAAAAAAAAAAAAAAAAAAAAAAAAAAAAAAAAAAATCCAAAAAGTAGCAAGAGAGAAGAAACAGATAACATAAAATGGAGCTCCAATATGTCTGGCAGCAGACTTTTCAGTGGAAACCTTACAGGACAGGAGAGAGTGGCATGACATATTTAAGGTTCTGAAGGAAAAAATATTTTACCTTAGAATAGTACATTCAGCAAAAAAATATTCTTCAAACCTGAAGGAGAAATAAAGATTTTCCCAGACAAACAAACCCTGAGGGACTTAGAGGGACTTAATCAACACCAGACCTATTTTACAATAAATGCTAGAGGGAGTACTTCAATCAGAAATAAAAGGATATTAATACACAATAAGAAATTATCTGAAGTATAAAACTTCCTGGTAATAGTAAGTACACAGAAAAACATAAAATATTACAGCACTGTAACTATGGGGTGTAAACTACTCTTATCCTAAGTAGAAAGATTATGTGATGTCCCAATTAAAAATAATAACTACAAGTTTTCAAAACATAGTACAAGAAGATGTAAATGGAAACAAAAGAAAAGTGTAAAGAAAAGGGGGACAAAGTTAAGACACAGAGTTTTTATTAGTTGTTTTTTTGCTTGTTTGTTTATGCAAATAGTGTTATGTTGTTATCAGGTTAAAATAGTGGCTTATAAGATAGTATTTGCAAGCCTCATGCTAACCTCAAGCCAAAAATCATACAATGGAAGTAAGGAAAATAAAAAGCAAGAAACTAAGTCATATCACCAGAGAAAATCACCTTCACTAGAGGAAGACATGAAGGAAAGAAAGAAGAAAGAGAAGACTACAAAGCAACCAGAAAACAAATGATGAAATAGCAGGATTATGTCCTTATTTACTAATTGTAACATCTAATGTAAATGGACTAAACTCTCCAATCAAAAGACAGACTGGCTGAATGGATGAAAAAAACAAGACCCATTGATCTGTTGCCTACAAGTAACATATTTCACCTATAAAGACACATATAGACTGAAAATAAAGGATGGAAAAAGATATTCCATGCCAATGGAAACCAAAAAGGAGCAGGAGTACCTATATTATATCAGACAAAATAGATTTCAAGATTTTAATACAAAAAGTGTAAGAAGAGACAAAGAAGGTCACTATATAATGATAAAGGGGTCAATTCAACAAGAGGATATAACAATAATAAGTATACATGCACCCAACACTGGAGCACCCTGATATATAAAGGAAATATTATTAGAGCTAAAGAGAGAGAGATGGACCCCTATGCAATAATAGATTGCAACTTCAACACTCCACTTTCAACATTGGACTAATCTTCCAGACAGAAAATCAACAAAGAAACATTGGACTTAATCTGACCTATAGAATAAATGGATCTAATAGATATTTACAGAACATTTCACCTAAGAGCTGCAGAATGCACACTCTTCTCCTCAGCACATAGATCATTCTCAAGGATAGAATATATGTTAGGTCACAAAACAAGTCTTAAAACATTCAAAATAATTGAAATAATATCAGGCATCTTTAGGCATCTTTTCTGACCACAATGGAATAAAACTAGAAATTAATAGGAATTTAGGAAACTATACAAATACATGGAAATTAAACAATATGCTCCTGAATGACCAGTGGGTCAATGAAGAAATTAAGAAGGAAATTGAAAAATTTCTTGAAAGAAACGGTACTGGAAACATGACATACAAAAACCTACGGGATATACCAAAAGCAGTACTAAAAGGGAAGTTTTCACTATAAGTGCCCACATCAAAAAAAGAGGAAGACGTTCAAATAAACAATCTAATGATACATCTTAAAGAACTAGAAAAGCAAGATCAAACCAAACCCAAAATTAGTAGAAGAAAAGAAATAATCAAGATCAGAGCAAAAATACATGAATTTGAAATGAAGAAAACAATAAAAGAGATCAATGAAACAAAAAGATGGTTTTTGAAAAGTTAAAAAAAAATTGACAGACCTTTAACAAGACTAACTGAAAAAAAAAGAGAGAGGCTCAAATAAATAGAAACAGAGATGAAAAAGGAGACATGAAAACTGATACTGCTGAAATTCAAAGGATCATTAGTGGCTACTATGAGCAAATATATGCCAATAAACTGGAAAATATAGGAGAAATAGACAAATATCTAGACACATACAACCTACCAAGATTGACTCCTGAAGAAATCCAAGACCCGGACAGACCAATAACAAGTAACGTGATCAAAGTGGCAATAAAATTTCTCCCAGTAAAGAAAAGCCTGAAACCCAATGACTTCGCTGTTGAATTCCACCAAACATTTAACAAAGAACTAATACCAATCCTACTCAAACTATTCTGAAAAATACAGGAGGAGGGAATCATCCCAAACACATTCTATGAGGCCAGTATTACCCTGATGCCAAAACCAGACAAACACACATGAAAATGAAAAGTACAGGTCAGTATCTCTGAGGAATATTGATACAAAAATCCTGACAAAATACTAGCTAACCAAATTTAATAATAAATTAAAAGAATCCTTCATCAGAACAAAGCCCTGGGATGCAAGGATGGTTCAACATATGCAAATCAGTATGATACATCATATAAACAGAATTAATGATGGAAACCGTATGATCATTTTGATTGATGCTGAAAAAACATTTGATAAAATTAGACATCCCTTCATGGTAAAAACTCTCAAAAAACTGTGGATAGTAGGAACATACCTCTGTATAATAAAAGCCATCTACAACAGACCCACAGCTAGTATCATACTGAATGGGGAAAAACTGAATGCCTTGCCTCTCAGGTCTGGAATACAAGAATGCCTACTTTCACCACTGTTATTCCACATAGTACTGGAAGTCCCAGCTACAGCAATCTAAGAGAACACATAAAGGGCATCCAAATTGGAAAGGGAGAAGTCAAATAATCCTTATTTGCAGGTGATATTATCTTATATTTGGAGAAACCTAAAGACTGCAACAAAAAACTATGAGAAGTGATAAATTCAGTAAAGTCGCAGAATACACATCAACATACAAAAATCAGTAGCATTTCTATATGCCAACAGGGAACAAACTGGAAAAGAAATAAAAAAGTAATCCCATTTACAATAGCCACAAATAAAATTAAATACCTAGGAATTAATCAAAACATGCACAATCTCTACAATGAAAACTATAAAACACTGATGAAAGAAATTGAAGCAGACACCAAAATGTTGAAAAATTTTCCACGTTCATGTATTGGAAGAATCAATATTGTTAAAATGCCCATACTACCCAAGGCAATTTACAGATTCAATGAAATCCCTATCAAAACACCAATGACATTCTTCCCAGAGATAGAAAAAAATGATCTTAAGATTTATATGGAACCACAAAAGACCCAGAATAGCCAAAACTATCCTAAGCAGAAAGAACAAAACTGCAGGTATCATTTTATTTAACTTAAAATTATATTGCAGAGCTGTAGTAACCAAAACAGCATGGTATCAGCATAAAATCAAACACACAGAACAATGGAACAGACTAGAGAACCTAGAAACAAATCCACAGACTTCCAGTGAACTCATTTGCAACAAAGGTGCCAAGAACATACACTGGGGAAGAGACAGTTTCTTCAATAAATGGTGCTGGGAAAACTGGATATCCATCTGCAGAAGAATGAATATCCTTCATTCTTCTAGATAGATAGATAGTCTATCTCTTGTCACATTCTATCACTTGCCACATTCAAAAATCAAATCAAAATGGATTAAACACTTAAATCTAACACCTCAAACAATGGAACTATTGCAAGAAAACATTGGGGAAAATCTCCAAGACATTGGTCTGATCAAAAATTTCTTGAGCAGTACCCCATAAGCACAGGCAGCCAAAGCAAAAATGAACAAATGGGATCTCAAGTTATAAAGCTTCTACACAGCAAAGGATACAATCAACAAAGTGAAGAGATGACCCACAGAACAAGAGAAAATATTTGCAAACTACTCATCTGACAAGGGATTCATAACCAGAATGTATAAGGAACACAAACAGCTCTATAGGAAGAAATCTAATAATCAAATTAAAAGATGGGCAAAAGATTTGAACAGACATTTCTCGAAAGAAGACATATGAGTGGCAAACAGGAATATTAAAAGGTGTTCAACATCATTGATCATCAGAGAAATGCAAATCAAAACCACAACAAGCTATCATCTCATGCCAGTTAAAATGGCTTAAATCCAAAAAACCGGCAATAGCAAATTCTGGAGAGGATGTGGAGAAAAGAAAACACTTGTACACTGTTCCCCCTCTTGGTGGTGGGAATGGAGATTACTACAACCACTATGGAGAACAGTTTGGAGGTTCCTCGACAAACTAAAAATTGAGCTATCGTATGATCCAGCAATCCCATTGCTGGGTATATACCCAAAAGAAATAAATCAGTATATTTAAAAGACATCTTCACTCCCATGTTTGTTTCCGTACCATTCACAACAGCTAAGATTTGAAAGCAACCTAAGTGTCCATCAACAGATGAATGCTTAAAGAAAATGTGCTACTCATACACAGTGGAGTATGGAATACTGTTCAGCCAGAAACAGCCAGAATGAGATCCTGTCATCTGCAACAACATGGATGGAACTGGAGATAATTATGCTAAGTGAAAGAATGAATAAGACATACCATTTGATCCCACAACAAGGTGACTATAGTCAATAATAACTGTACATTTCAAAATAACTAATAGAGTGTAATTGGATTGTTTGTAACACAAAGGATAAATGCTTGAGGGGATGGATAACCGATTCTCCATGATGTGATTATTTCACATTGCATACCTGTATCAAAACATCTGATGTATTCCACAAATATATACACCTATTATGTACTCACAAAATTAAAAATTGAAAAAAAATTAAAATTTATCAAAAAAGGGGGACAAGGGGAGGGATAGCTTTAGGACACATACCTAATGCATACTGGGCTTGAAACCTAGATGATGGGTTGACGGGTACAGCAAACCACCATGGCACATGTATACCCAGGTAACAAACCTGCACATTCTGCACATGTATCCCAGAACTTAAAGTAAAATAAACAGAAAAATTATCAAAAAATAAATTTCACAAATAGTTTGCAATCTCTTAAATTTTTTAAACATTATTTTGTAATCATTATAATGTACTCTTTATAGTCTGTGTGTGTGTGTACATATATATATATTCTCCTTAGAGCATATTTTCAGAATTAAAAGAGAAAAATGTTTTCAATTACTATTGGCAAACAATGAGTTTGTGTGGGACTCAGATTAGTGTGAGTTTTTACTTTGGTGTTTTTCTTTTGGAAATTGAATATATTAATTTTCATTTACAGAGAAAGGATGGAAGTAGGGAGAGAAGAAGGAGAAGAAGGGAAGAAAAGGAAATACATAGGAAAAGGGAAGAATAACTAGTACTTGAATGATTTGTTAATTATAAGCATAATTTTAAATTTTCAGGTGCAAAAGTAGAAGGCAAAATATTTTGCATAATTATGAATCTATCAAGCCAGATTCTGAAATGGATGTGTTCTAAGTTTGGTATAAACAGATTAACTCAAGGGTATGTATTTTACCACGCTTAATTATCACAAAAATGTCCAGTTTTTTTTAATCTTGTTTAATCTTGTCTGAGAGCCACACTTATTTAATGTAAAGGTTGAAAATACCAGCCACCTAATAAAATAACATCTCCTTATAATCAGTAAGGATCTCTTCAGATGAAACCAGTTTTAAGCATATAAAATACAATATAAGGAAATGTCATTTGTATAAATATCCAATCCATTAGCATAATAAAACTTCTAAGTCTAATTACAATCTAGTATTTATAAAAATAATTTGTATTTTAATATTTAAAAGGCAATCAAATTTACTTCTCTTCACAATCAGTTAAGAGTGAACTACGGTAATTCAGACATACTGGCTTATGATATGGTTTGGCTGTGTCCCCACCCAAATCTCATTTTGAATTGTAGTTCCCATAATCCCCATCGTGGGAAGGAACCAGTGGTAGGTAATTGAATCATGGGGGGTTTTACCCCCATGTTGTTCTCGTGATAGTGAGTTCTCACGAGATCTGATGGTTTTATAAGGGGCTTTTCCCCCCTTTTGCTCAGCACTTCAACTTCTTGCCATCATGTGAAGAATGACATGTTTATTTCCCCTTCCTCCATGATTGTAAATTTCCTGAGGCCTTCCCAGCCATGCTGAACTGTGAGTCAATTAAACATTTTTCCTTTATAAATTACCCAGTCTCAGGTATGTCTTTATTATCAGCATTAGAACAGACTAATACAGCTTATTCAACATGTAACAAACTGCTACTTTCCCTGTCTTAATTTTTATTTTATCAAAGTAATGAATGCAAATGGTACCAAAAAGTACAGAAAATCCTATGATGAAAGGCCCAGACTCTCTCCAACCTCACTCTTCCGCAACCCTGAACCCACTCTCTAAAGCAGTCAATTTTTACTGTTTTGTACTTTTAGCTCTCTGTAAGCATGGATGATGTGCTTAGACCGCTATTTCATGATTTGTATCTGTTGAGACTCTCATAGTCCTGATATGAAAAACAAGCACTTAATTCACACAATCCCTCTGGTCCTCTCTCATCTTCCTGATTTTTGATCTTCGTTATTTTTAATTTTCCCCTGGTTGCCTAGGTAACTTTAAATACTTGTGAAATGTGATATACAAAATGGTATCACTCTGCTTCAGAGCTCTAAAATGGAGTCAGAAAGCCATTCTAAAAAGGACTACCTGCACAGCTTGCAACCTTGCAAAAAACAAAAACAAAACAGAAACTTGCCTTGAACTTTTGAACTGGGCCAAACTGCAATGACCACAGCATCTTGGAAAACAGCCAAATTTCAACAGCACTACAACTCCTGAACAGCAACAACCAATGAACTATGGACTCACGTACCAAGCCAGCCACCTGCACCAATGATAATTCTTTCAAAACAACTTGCACAATCAGCATTCTTTTAAAAATCTCTACTCTCCTTTTCCTTTTCCTCTTTGGAACACAATTTCACTTCTAGCCCAATCTGTGTCTCCTGAATTGCAATTCCTAAGACCCCAATAAACACTTTGTCTTACTGCTTTACTGTCTGGTCTTTTGCCTCTTCTTGGTTGACATTAAATGGTGTCAGAATAGAGTGGGGTACAACGCAACTTTCCCCTGCGTTCTGGCACTGCCATGGATTCAAGCATGGTACCTGTAGGATCCCTTTGTGTTCCATCGTCTCCCCAACAGCCCAGGACCTCATTGGTGAGTCCTCTTGTGTCCCTGAACCTCCCTCCTCGGTTAAGTTCAGCCTTTTATTGAGTGTCTTTTGTTGCTGGCTGTCGACAAAGGAATTTTTCCCTTTTTTGTTAGTACTCATAGAGACGTTTGCTTCTAAGGGTATAGGTTATGTCATTCCCTTTTGGAAGCCCTGCTGGGTTTTTGTACAAAAAAAAAATTATGATCCTTCATTTTATAAATTTCTTTCTTGATGGATCAACATTACTAAAAATGATTTGGAATTATAATGGCCAACCTGAGGATTTTTTGATCTCCTGAAACTTGTTTTCCTCCATGGACAAATTAGAAGGGCTAAAAAGAAATATTAAAAGATTAAACAGCCCAAATGGCACATCTACTTTAATTTGGTATCATGCGGCAGCTAAAATACTCCAGGAATGTAAACTAGTGTCCCTAAGTGGTAACAATACCAAATGAGCTCAAAGACCCTAAACTGGGGGAAAAAAAAGTAGAAGCTTCTATTAATAATAACAAAACAAATCTGGAATTGTGCATGCCTCTGTTTGTCCTTGTCCTGTGTTGCCTCCCGCTCCTAGTGAACCCCTTCCATCCCGCTACTACCCTCTACACCCTCTTGCTTATGTGGTAAAAATCTATTCTAAACTGGAAAAATTATCTCCTGGGCTCCATGGAGGGGCTTATTGGAGGGAGTCACTATTGGAATAGGAACACCATTACAGATTCTAATCATCAGTGGCCAAAAGATGAATCCTTTCAATTAGAAAGACTCCTTTATTTGAAAAATAGTTCAGAGATTTCTCATTCTAAATAATTATTTGTATTTATGGGAGGATTAAAAAAATTTAAGACACATAATAATGTCATGGCTAGCCTTACAAATTCTGACAAAATTAAAGAGCAAAGATCTGATCTCAAACAAAGTCAAAATCCTTTGTATGCTCACACTGCCTGCTTTGGGTTCCCTGTGGGATTTACACAGAACGGGCATTCCATCCTATGGTCTAGTGGCTAGGATTTGGCACTTTTACTGCTTTTGCCCTGGTTTAATTCCCAATCAGGAAACCATTCCCTGCTGATGTAAGTCTTTTAAATCAGGAGAAACATTTACTTAAAAACTCATTTGATATTTGTGTGACTCAACATTTTGGGGTACTAATTTGTTATTGATCCTTTTTCCTTCTATGGACAACTTTTGATTTTCTGTCTTACCAACTGATATGGTTTTGGTATTTGTTCCCTCCAAATATATTTCAAAATTTGATCCCCAATATTGGAGATAGATCCTGGTGGGAGGTATTTGGATCATAAAGGCAGGTCCCTCATGAATTGCTTGGTGTGTCTTCACAGTAATGAGTGATTTCACGTTCTATTAGTTTACGTGAGAGCTAGTTGTTTAAAAGAGCGTGGCACACCTCCCCTCTCTTGCTCCCTATTTCATCATGTGACACGCCTTTTCCCTCTTCACTTTCCATCATAATTGTAAGCTTCCTAAGGTTCTTACCAGAAGCAGATGCTGGTGCCATGCTTCTTGTACAGCCTACAGAACTGTGAGATAAACAAACTGCTTTTCTTTATGAATTACCTAACCTCGGGTATTCCTTTATAGCAATGCAAAATAGACTAAGACACTAACTGACTTTTAAAATCTTTTATATATGGGGCACAAGGGATGGTTGACTTTTGTGTGTAGATGGTCTGCTGAGAAGCTGAGATCCTAGAGAATTTGGCAGGAAAGAAATATGGGTTGTACTTTATTTGTGGCTGGCAAAATTTTATTTAGCTGCCTTTGAGATGCCTCTGGATCTTGTGAGGACTGCTTTGCACCTCTTTGGAGATGTCTCACGCATTCTTATTTAAGTCATAACCTTAGTTAAGGGGTTTTGGTTTTGGTGAGTTATTTGAAAGATAACTTCGGGGGGGAAGTTTGAAAGCCAAAAATATTGGCTGTTTGTCCCAGCTAAAATTTCATCATGAGAGATTTAAAATTTTTTTTTTTTTTTTAAAAAAAGCTCTATGGTCAGAAGTCAGCTTAATTAAAAGCTGATATTCAGACTATAATACTTTTTTAAAAAATAAAAGTTCCTTCTACTTTTTCTCTTTTGGATTCTGCTAGTGGGATTTACTTTTCAGTCAACTGAAACCCCCTTTTAATTATGTGATTGGTTATTCTGTTTCCTTTTTATCTTTTTCACATGATTTTTGCTAAGAAAAATGTAAATCTTCATTGGCCCTTCTGGAAAGCTTAAAATATCCAAATTGGTACATCTAAGACTTGTTATTTCATTTTCTTTCACTTCTACTCCTCCTTCTTTTTTGCCATCTTCAATTCCACATAAAGAAATCTAGACAGGACTTCTAGCAGCTCTAAGACCCCTTAAGGAACACAGAAAAAGTGCCACACACCCCCTTTTCGGGGTCATATATTTTTCTCATGGATCCCCAAGAGTTGTGGACAGGTTCCTCTCAGTTCTAAGGCTCTGCTGTTTTGCATTAAATTCCGTGATCTCTCTAACTTCTGGGGGTACCAGGAATTACTTCGTACTGTGAGAGAAAACTTAATCTTTGTGTGTGTGATAGCTAGTGGGTCACCAGCAAAGGCTGCAATTCTGGGGGGTGGCTGAGAGCAGTTACAATGGATGGTTATTACTGTATGGGGCTATTCATTTGTTTGTGCATTTAGATCAGAAAAGTGAGGTTTGGAAACTTGGAGGCTATGGCTACATCACATCATCAAGGGATAAGACTCCCATGGGGGATGAACTGATCACAGAGTGGGCTGATTGACATTGGGTTACCTTTGCCGTGAGGTGCCGTGAGGTACCCTGTGGAAGTGTTGCACAGCTTGGTCCTGTGGCATTTCCTTTTTTTTTTTAAGGTCCCAGGATTCACTGTAAAAAATGAGGTTCTTGATTTCTGAGGATCTAGACGATTTGCCTTCCTACTGCTTCTGCTTTTCACTATATAAGTGAAAAGACCTCAAAAGCTGCAAATGTTTTGTTTGCGCTATTCATTAATGGGCTCTACCCTGAGGTCAGTGGTCCAGTTTTAAAATGGAGACTAAATTAAAAGCCACCTATCTAACTAAAATTGGTCTCCTTATAAAATCCTCTGGTGATTCTCAATGATTTTGTGTTACCTTAGTATTCATTTTAATTTTCCTCTAACATACCCAAATTCTTTCTTCAAAAAGCTTAAATTCTCTCTTTGTGCATTGAGATGTAAATTTGCAACCCTGGTTTCTCTAAAACTCAATAAGCACTTCAACCATGCGGGACAAATAAACTTTATTTAAAAATATTTTTTATTTTTTATTCTTTTAGAGACAGGGTCTCACTCTGTCACCCAGGCTGGAGTGCAATGTTATGATCCTAGCTCAGGGTCACCTCAAATTCCTGGGCTGAAACTATCCTCCCACCTCAGCTTCCCAAGTAGCTGGGACTCCAGGCACACACCGCCATGCCTAACTAATTTCTTTATTTTTTATGTTTTAGTATAGACGGGGTCTTGCCTTGTTGCCCAGGCTAGTATTGAACTCCTGGCTTCAAGTGAACCCCCTCCTGCGTGAGGCATTGCACCCAGCCCAGACAATCTTTAACTTGTTTCATTTACAGAGGCACAAATTAATCTAACTGTCCTTTTAAACTAGTGAGTTTTATCTGTCTCATGACTAAAATTTTAAAATAAAAGCAAATATAGTTTACATATTTTCCCTACCCAAATCTTATGTTGAATTGTAATCCCGAATGTTGGAATTGGGGCCTGCTGGGTGGTGTTCGGGTCATGGGGGTAGATCTCTCATGGCTTGATGCTGTCCTCAGGATAGTGACTGAGTTTTCCTGTAATCTAGTTGGTTAAAGTGTGTGGCACCTCCCCCACTCTCTCTCTTGCTCCTGCTTTGCCATGTGAAATGCCTGCTCCCATTTTGCTCTCTGCCATGAGTAAAAGCTTCCTGAGGCCTCACGAGAGGCTGAGCAGATGCCAGCACTATGCTTCCTGTACAGCCTGCAGAATCATGAGCCAATGAAATCTCTTTTCTTTATAAATTACCCAGTCTCAAGTATTTCGTTATAAAACAGCCTAGCAAAAAAGCTATAAAATCTTTATTTGTGTTTGTATATTATGTATAAATGTGTATATGTCTGTGTTTGTATATTGTCTACATGGTACTGAGTTGACTTATAAATAAATGAGTACTCATAAATTAAATAATCTCAAAATTTTTAAATTCATATGACTTTAGTAACCTTTGATATAAAAAGCAGATTTTTAAATTGTTGGTAAAATAAAATAGAAATGTCTTCAGAGTTTTAGACTTCTTTATCTTAATCTACTGGTCAAACAAATGTATGTTGTTTCTGCTAAATGTTTTAAGGTCAAAAAACTTGTTTCTGTGATATTTTTGATAATTGCTTGATTTGTCTTTAAGCATATGTCTTTGGTTTTGAGCCTTTAGATTCCAGAGTCTAGACAGGTGGTCATGGTGAGGCTTCCACAGCACCTAGACCACCAGCTGCAGGGTAGAGTCAAGCCCGATACATCCTCCCTGGCCCAGCTCTGCCTCCTGGCCATGCTGGAAGGGGATAGATCCTCCATTAACTGTCTTCGCAGCTCTGTCATTTGTCCTGGGCTTTGCATTTGATACATAACAATTAAAATTGCTTTACTTCCTAGCTTTCTCACTCGAAATTGGGGTTACTAGAGTTAAAATTGTAGATAATATATGTAATTAAAACTACTAGATATAAGAGAAATAATTCTATATAAAGAGTGTACAAAGAATGTAGGATGTGTTTTGGGTGAGGAAGGTTATAAGAAAAACATGAAGCCATATGCTGTGGCTCATGCCTGTAATCCCAGCACTTTGGGAGGCTGAGGCAGGAGGACTGCTTGAGCCCAGGAGTTCACGACTAGCCTGGGCAACATAGGGAGACCCCATTTCTACACACACACAACTTGAGAATGTGGTTTTTGTTAAAGGAAAAGTATTTTTTTTCTAGTTTAGAGGTTATTTGAAGGCTCCTTTAAGTTGAAAGGATAAAAAAGAATGACAGGAAAAACTGAATGGATATAAAAAATTGGGGAAAGAAAGAGAATTGAAAAAATTGTGAGAGATTATAAAATGTTCATGCAAATCTTTTCTGTAGTCAAAGCTGATTGAGATTAGATGGATTTGTTTATATTTTATTAAATTAACTTTAGTGTTAATAATACACTGATGAAAAGTACAATTTGGTTTTCTCTTTTGAACAAGATTTTCATGTAGTACTAATAAGAAATGGTAAAATATTTGTTCACCTTTTCAGTAAAAAAGGAAGAAGACTTTGCCTCATGCTGTCTTTATTAGGTCTTTTGATTGTTTGGAAAACTTGATCTCCTCTCTATCAAATAGTAAAGGGTTTTTTTTCACTTTTTGAAATCTTTTAATTATCATTTTGACTAAATGAATGACTAATATTTTATAGTGACTTGTGATCTTATTTTGATATCAAGTGTTTTAAACCTTTAATATTTGACAAACATCCCAAAATCAAATTTCAAATTCTAAATTAAGTGTTTTTTAAGCTTGAACTAAATATTTGGACATTCCAAAAAGAGCCCCTGGAAGTCCAAGAGAGACATATTAGGCTTATTTGGTATGTTAAAATTATATGGGAAGCATTGTCAAATAAAAAGTGATGTCTAACTTTCTTTGAGTTATATTCATATGGATATGTTATTAATGTATTCCAAAATTGTATGAGATTCCTAAAATATTATATATCTTGGTATATTCAGTAAATTGCTTAATTCTGATGCTCTTTTTCTAAAAGCTCTCTGTTCATTCTAAAGTGATGTGTCTTCAAGGAAGTTCATGGGAAAGACTGATAGGTAATCTGAAATACAGTCCTCTGCTTATGACTTTGAGATTACACAATTGGACTGGGGGGTAGAAAGTTAAAAAGAAAACTCTAATGAAAAATTAGACATAAAATTGGAAAATTGCTAACCTAACATCAAGTAGAACAAGAACATGAGACTAAAGTGATGAAGGGCTGAAATGATTTTTCATGACTTTTTGCTTAAACATGGATGATTCTTTTTCTGTTTTGTTTTCTAGAATCAAGAAACCTTTTTCCCTCTGAAGCTATTCATAGCTTAGAGTAATTGGGTGAAATATAGTTTTGTAAGAAAATGGAAACATTTACCTCATAGGAATGTTTTCTTCTTTAACAGGACACAATTGAAAACACTGGTTATATTACAAAAGCTTTGACTGGTAATTTTGTGTCATATTTTCAAATGTGACCAGGCTGCTTTGAGGAATTGCAGTTTACTTTAAAGCCAACAGACTTGGAAAAAGACTGGCCGGGTACCATATCTACACTGTTCCCTTACAGGGTTCCTGACCTTGTGGTAAGTAAAAGTTGTCACTTTCTGACAGAATAAGCTACCTCAGATATTTTGGGGACCTCAAGAAGAGAGAAATTCACACAGGTATTACAAGCCCAGTCTGAAGATGAATCCTTCGCTTAGTGTCCTAGCCTCAAGAGGCTTTTAAAAGTCTATTCTGGGATTTCTTATTTAAAAGTTCCAGCAAGGCCAACTAAAAAATAGCCTATATGGCCGATCACTACTCTTACTGCAAACAATCAGGCAAAGTATACTAAGACTAAAAGTTATTTTGCAAATAAATTGGTCCTCCTATGTTTCAGCTTTGGTAGAAATGGGAGACTAAAGAGAGATACATTATTTTTCAGAAGAAAACTATAGTACACGTTATTAGATTCTAGCCTTGTCCTTTGTTTGTGAGTTTTTATTATTTGATTACAACAATTTGGACTGAATCCTGAATTCTTTCCTAGCTACAAATCTCCAAACTAACATTTTCATATCTTTCCATTTTTCTGACTTGGACTCAGTGAAATTGCAGCTTGCTCCTGAGGCCCTGCAAGCTGAAGTTCACATGTAAACAACCTTGTGATACACAAACTACAGACCAGAAAAATGTGACAGATTGCCACTGCCTACTTCCACTTTAACTGAAGATGGTTTGAGTCTAACATCTAGCACTTCAACTGATTGCCCCCCAAACTCTAAAGAAACTGGTTTAAAAAGTGTTCCAAACCGGTGAAACCCCGTCTCTACTAAAAATACAAAAAATTAGCCGGACGTGGTGGTGGGCGCCTGTAGTCCCAGCTACTCGGGAGGCTGAGGCAGGAGAATGGCGTGAACCCGGGAGGCGGAGCTTGCAGTGAGCCGAGATCGCGCCACTGCACTCCGGCCTGGGTGACAGAGCGAGACTCCGTCTCAAAAAAAAAAAAAAAAAAAAAAAAAAAAAAAAGTGTTCCAAACATCTGGGAGGCTGAGGCGGGCGGATCACGAGGTCAGGAGATTTGAGACCATCCTTGCTAATCGCTGAAACCCCGTCCCTACTAAAAATACAAAAAATTAGCTGGGCGTGGCCGGGCGCAGTGGCTCACGCCTGTAATCCCAGCACTTTGGGAGGCTGAGGCGGGAGGATCACGAGGTCAGGAGATCGAGACCGTTCTGGCTAACACGGTGAAACCCCGTCTCTACTAAAAATGCAAAAAATTAGCCGGGCGTGGTTGCAGGCGCCTGTAGTCCCAGCTACTAGGGAGGCTGAGGCGGGAGAATGGCGTGAACCCGGGAGGCGGAGCTTGCAGTGAGCAGAGACCGCGCCACTGCACTCCAGCCTGGGCGACAGAGCGAGACTCCGTCTCAAAAAGAAAAAGAAAAAAAAAAAAGGGTTCCAAACATTAACCTTTCTTCTTCTTCAGTTTGAGAGAGCCTGACTGCAACACCGTCTCCTGAAATGAGACACAACTATTTAATTCACTGGCCTATTCTCAGAAATAGACCAGTTTAGTGGTATCCTTTGCCACTCAGCTATAAACTCAATTTTTCTCTCCACAGCCACCAACTCAGCTTTTAGTGTGTAAAACGTCCAGGGAAGTTTCAGGAAAGAGAATGTTGGGCTGCAGAACATGATTTTCCAAAATATGGCACTTTGGCATGCTGAATGCTTTTGAAAATTGAAAGGCATCAGAAATAGGACGTTAGGCTAGCAATTTTATAAGTCCTCAGAATCAAAGTCCATCTAACCTTGTCTTGTTCCTCCCACTCCATGGCCAAGGAGGTACTCTCTCTAGAATTTCCTTCCAAGTAGCTAGAATTACAGGTGTGCCCCACCATGCCTTGTAAACTTCCCTTTTATCCTATCCCTGAAATCTCACAATCTATTTCAGAAAAGAAAACTGAGTAATGACCTACAGACATGGTTAATCAGTTATACCCTTCTCCTGACATACAGCTAATCACCATAGACTAATGCAGACCTCCTTATGAAACAGGCGTTTCTACCTCCAAGGGAAAAAGATAACAAATCTTTGGCTGACCAACTGATGTTTATCAGCAATGCTTCCTCACATCAAATCTTTATCAAAATGAAGAAATGTGAAATGTGATATACAAAACAGTATCACTTGGTTCAGAGCTCTAAAATGGAGTCAAGAAGCCACTCTATTACTACCTACACAACATGAAACCCTGCAGGAAAAAAAAAAAGGAACAGGAACTTGCCTTGAACCTTTGAACTGGGCTAAACTACAATGACCACATCTTAGAAAGCAGCTGAATTTCACCAGCACTGCAACTCCTGCATAGCAACAACCAATGTACCATGGACTTATGTACTAAGCCAGCCACCTCCACCAATGATAATTCTTTCAAAACAACTTGTGCAATCACTCTCGGCATCCTTTGAAAAATTCCTACTCTCCTTCCTGTCTTTGGAAAACAATTTGGCTCTTAGCCAAATCCGTGTCTCCCAAATTGCAACTTTTAAGGCCTCAAATGCCTAGTCTTACTGCATTGCACTCTGGTGTTTTGCCCCTTCTTACTTGACATATTATACTTACATCTCCATTTCTAGTTGTGTTGATTTTTTTATTTTTTTATTTTTATTTTTATTTTTGGATAGTGTCTCACTCTGTCACCCAGGCTGGAGTACAGTGATGCTGTCAGGGCTCACTGCAGTCTTGACCACCTGGGTTCAAGTGATCCTCCCGCCTCAGCCTCCCATGTAGCTGGGACTACAGGCATGCACCACCATGCCTGGCTAGTTTTCTTACTTTTGGTAGACACATGGTTTCACCATGTTGCCCAGGCTGGTCACAAACTTCTGGGTTCAAGTGATCCACCTGCCTTGGCCTCCCGAAGTGCTTGTATTACAGGTGTAAGCCACTGTGCCTGGCCTTGTATCAACTTTTTGATAGTATCTCTTGACAGAATGTAAATGTGAGTAATACAGACTCAGCATGGTAGAGAAATGATATATGAAGGAGTGGTATTACAGAGACAGGATAGATTATTCGATAAATTCGGCTCTGGGACAATTGGATATCAAACCATATGCCCTATTCAAAAATCAGTTGTTGGTGGATCAAAATTTTATTTTAAAACTTTATTTTTTAAATAAATTTTTGTTTTATTTTATCATATATATGTGTGTGTGTGTATATATATAAGCATCTGCATGGAATTTTTCCCATCTTTTTAAGTGTTTGAGGGTACACAGTAGATATATATATATTTATGGGGTACATAAAATATTTTCTACAGGCATGCGATGCAAAATAGTCACATCAGAGTGAATGGGGTAGCCATCCCCCCAGGCACTTATTCTTTGTATTATAAACAATCCAATTGTACTCTTTTAGTTATTTTGAAATATAGAACTTAATTATTTTTGACTACAGTCACCCTGTAGTGGTAGCAAAATACTAAGTCTTATTCATTCTTTCAAACTATTTTTGTACCTTTTAACCATGCCCAACTCCCGCCTGCCCAGGACCCCACTACCCTTTGCAGCCTCTGGTAGCCATCCTTCTACTCTCTATGTCCATAAGTTCACCTGTTTTGATTTTTAGTTCCCACAAATAAGTGAGAACATGCAAAATTTTTCTTTCTCTGCCTGCCTTATTTCACTTAACATCATGACCTCAAGTTCCATCCATGTTGTTGCCAATTACAGGATCTCATTCCTTTTTTATGGCTGCACAGTACTCCATTGCTTATATGTGCCATATTTTCTTTATCCATTTATCTGTTGATGGAGACTTAGGTTGCTTCCAAAGCTTGACTGTTATGAATAGTGCTGCAATAAACATGGAGTGCAGATATAACCTTGATACACTGATTTCCATTCTTTTGTGTATATACCCAGGGGTGGGTGTATATACCCAGAGTGAAATTCCGTCTCGGAAAAAAAAAAAAAAAAAAAAAAAAAGAGTTCTTTTGTGACCTAAATATGGTCTATCCTTGAGAAAATCTATGTGCTGAGGAAAGATGGTGTATTTTACAGATGTTGGATGAAATGTTCTGTAAATATGTATTAGGTTCATTTGGTCTACAGTTCAGATTCATTCTGATGTTTCTTTATTCACTTTCTGTTTGGAAGATCTGTCCAGTGCTGACAGTTGGGTATTAAAGTCTCCAGCTATTATTGTACTGGGGTCTATTTTCTCTCCTTAGCTCTAATACTATTTGCCTTACATATCTGGGTGCCCCAGTGTTGGGTGCACATATATTTACAATTGCTATATCCCATTGCTGAATTGGCCCCTTTATCATTAAATACTGTCCTTATCTCTTCATATAGTTTTTGTTTTGAAATATATTTTTTTCTGATGTAAGTATAGCTACTCTTGCTCTTTCTTGGTTTCCACTTGCATGCAATTTCTTTCTCCATCCCTTTATTTTCAGTCTGTGTGTGTCTTTATAGGTGAAATGTGTTTCTTATAGGCAACCAATCATTGTGTCTTGTTTTCATTTTTTTTTAATCCATTCAGCCACTCTATTGGAGTGTTTAGCCCATTTACATTCAATGTCATTATTGGTAAGTAATGACTTCTGCCTTTTTGTTATTTGTTTTCTGGTGGTTTTGTGGTCTTCTCTTCATTCTTCCCTTCCTTCCTGTATTCTATTCAGGAAAGACGATTTTCTCTGGTGGTTTTAATTTGGTGATTTTGATTTTTTTGTGTATTCATTATGTTTTTGATTTGAGGTTACCATGAAGCTTGCAAGTACTATCTTAGAATCATTATTTTAAGCTGATAAGAACATAATACTGTTTGCATAAACAGAGACAAAAAGAAACGTAATAACAATTCTACATCTTAACTTACCCCCCAACTTTCTTTTTGTTGTTTCTATTTATATCTTATTGCACTATGTCTTGAAAAGACATTTTAGTTATTATTATTATTTTTTTTTTTTTTTTGAGATGGAGTCTCACTCTGTCACCCAGGCTGGAGCGCAGTGGCACGATCTCGGCTCACTGCAAGCTCCGCCTCCCAGGTTCACGCCATTCTCCTGCCTCAGCCTCCTGAGTAGCTGGGACTACAGGCGCCCGCCACCATGCCTGGCTAATGTTTTTTTTTTTTTTGGATTTTTAGTAGAGACGGGGTTTCACCTGTGTTATCCAGGATGGTCTCGATCTCCTGACCTAGTGATCCGCCTGCCTCGGCCTCCCAAAGTGCTGGGATTACAGACATGAGCCACCGTGCCTGGCAGTTATTATTATTATTTTTAATTGGTTTATCCTTTAGTCTTTCTACATAAGAGGAGTTCACTCACCACAGTTACAGTGTTATAATATTATGCATTTTTCTATATACTTATTATTGCCATTGAGTTGCATACCTTCAGATGATTTCATCTTGATCATTAACGTCATTTTCTTTCTGATTGAAGTACTTCCTTTAGCATTTCTTGTAGGGAAGCTCTGATGTTGATGAAATCCCTCAGCTTTTGTTTGTTGGGAAAGTATTTCTTCTTCAGATTTGAAAGCTATTCTTACCGGATATACTATTCTAGGTTAAAAGATTTTTTCCTTTAGCACTTTAAATATGTCATGACACTCTCTCCTGGCCTGTAGGGTTTTCACTGAGAAATCTGCTGCCAGATGTATTGGGGCTCCATTGTATGTTATCTGTTTCTTTTATCTTTCTGCATTTAAGATCCCTTCTTTATCCTTGACCTTTGGGAGTTTGATTATTAAATGCCTGGAAGTAGTCTTTTTGGGGGTTAAATCTGCTTAATGTTCCATAACCTTCTTGTAATTGATTGTTGATATCTCTCTCTAGGTTTGGGAAGTTTTCTGTAATTGTCCCTTTTAATAAACTTTCTAATCCTTCTCTTTCTCTATCTCCTCTTTAAGGCCAATAACCCTTAGATTTGCCATTTCGAGGCTATTTTCTATATCCTGTAGGCATGCTTCCTTGTTTTTTATTCTTTTCTGTGTCCTGTGACTGTGTACTTTCAAATAGCCTGTCTTCAAGATCGCTAATTATCTCTTCTGCTTTATCAATCCTGCTATTAAGAGAATCTAATGCATTCTTCAGTATGTCAACTGCATTTTTCAAGTCCAGAATTTCTGCTTGATTCCTTTCATTTATTTCTGCCTCTTTGTTACATTTATCTGATACAATTCTGAATTTCTTCTCTGTGTTATGTTGAATTTCTTTGAGTTTCTTCAACACAGCTATTCTGAATTTTCTGTCTGAAAGTTCACATCTCTGTTTCTCCAGGATTGGTCCTTGGCACCTTATTTAGTTCATTTGGTGAGGTTCTTTTCCTGGATGGTGTTGATGCTCTTGGATGTTCATCTGTGTCTGGGCATTGAAGAGTTAGGTATTTATTGTAGTCTTCGATGTCTGGGCTTGTTTGTACCAATCTTTCTTAGGAAGGCTTTCCAGGTATTCAAAAGGACTTGAGTGTTGCGATCTAACCCATATTTGCATTAGGGGGAAGCCCAAGCCCTGTAACTCTGTGGTTCTTGGAGACTCGTAGAGGTACCACCTTATGGTCTTGAATAAGATCTGAAAGACTTCCCTGAATTACCAGGCAGAGACTCTTGTTCTCTTCCTTTACTTTCTCCCAAACAAATGGAGTCTCTCTCTCTGTTCTAAGCTACCTGGAGCTAGGGGTGGAGTGATACAAGCACCCTTGCATCCACCACCACTAGAACTGCACTGGGTCAGACTTGAAGCCAGCACAGCACTATGTGTTGTCCATAGCTTGCTGTAACCACTACCTGGCTACCGCCTACATTTGCTCAAGGCCCTGGGACTCTACAATCAGCAGTTGGTAAAGCCAGCTAGCCTCTTGTTCTTCTCTTCAAGGCAGCAAGTTCCCCAGGGCCACAGGCAGATCCAGAGGTGCTGTCCATCCAGGAGCTGGAGACTGGAGTCAAAAACCTTAGAAGTCTACCTGGTGTTCTACTGTACTGTGGTTGAGCTGGCACTCAAACCATGAGATGCAGCCTTTCCCACTGTTTCCTCCCCTTTCCAAAGTCAGAGGAGCCTCACCCCATAGCCAGTGCCACCACAGGTCATGGAACCTACTGCCAGACTACCGCAGATGTTCCCTTAAGGCCCCAAAGGATTATCAGTTAACGTGTGGTGAATGCTGCCTGGCCTAGGACTCAGGTTTTGGGGCAGTGGGCTCCCCGCTGGCCCAGGGCAGGTCCAGGAATGCCATCAAAGAGTCAAGTCCTGGAAAAAGGAATCCCAAGAGTCTGCTTGGTACTCTGCCCCACTGTGCCCAAGCTGGTTACCTGATTTGGGATTCTTATGAATGTGCTTTTTTGTTTTTAGTATGGATGTTAAATTGGTGTCTTTGCGGGTGGGACAGTTGGTGGAGCATTTTATTTGGCCATCTTGCTCTGCCCTTCTCCCATTTTGGGGGTTAAAATTTTAATGTGACAAAACAAATTTTAAAATTTAAAACATACCATGGGACTATATCTTTACAAACTCACACTAAGAAAGCATTTCTTAAGACACATAAAGAATGACAATAAAATAATAACTTTGAATTTATTAAAATCATTAACTTTTGTTCACAGAAAAAGACAACCCATAATCTGTCATTGGATTAAGAATTTTTTTTTAAAAAAAAGCAAAAAGCAAAGTAAAGACAAATTAAAAAGACAAGTCAAACTATGAGAGGATATTTGCAACAAATATGCCTGTCAAAACATTAATATCTAGAATACATAAAGAACTCCTACAAATCAATAAAACAAACAATTGAATAGAAAACTGGGTAAAAGTCGTGAACAAACATTTCACAGAAGGTGAAAAATGAATGTCATATAACCATGTAAAAAGATCTTCAACCTCATTAATAAATTAATAATCAGAGGAATATAAATATAATTTTATATCCACTAGCTTGTCAAAAATTCAGAAGTCTGATAATACCAAATGTTTTTCAGCATGAATATCATTAGGAAGTACTGGTGGGAGTATGTACACATATAAACACTTTGGAAAACAATTTTTTAGTTCATTTTTCATTAGGAATACCCCAGTTTTATGTGATGATTCATGAGTTTATCTTCTGTCCTGCCACAGTCATTGTATTCTAACCCCACATTTTTTTTTTTTTTAACTGAGATTGGCAAGCATGACAGCCATAGCTTCAGCTCCGGTTCTAGCTTACCCCAGTGGTTTTCAATTTCATTTGGTTCATTCCCTGGGAATTGCCCTTATTTGCTTTTGAGCTCAGATAACACTTTTGAGATGTTTGGAATAGTTTATCCAACATTTTTCTGGTGGTTTTTGCCATGGTACATTGTAAATTATTTTTTCAATCTCTTACATGAAATTAGTCTTTTCCTTTTTCTAACTTCTACTTTGGTCAATTTTTGTTATCATATACTAAAAGGAAATCAGTAAGCCCTCTCTGTTTTCAGATCTGCTGCTAAACACACATATGTAATTATTTACTTATAATTCTCACTATATATTTTATATGTGTTTACATCTTCTTTCTGCTTGCAAATTTTGTTAATTTTTGGTTTCTCTACGTTTTTTCTTAATCTTGCAAAGGGTTTAGCTAATTTATAGGTATTTTCAATGTAAAAGCATTTGCGTTTTATCCTATCTACTAACATTTTTCTTAATTCATTAATTTTAGCTTTTACATTTCTGAATTGCTTTTTCACTGTTCTTTTTCTAATATTTTAGATGAATAATTATTTGTTATATTCTTTTATTAAAATGAAGACATTTAAGGCTATGAATTTTCCTCTGAGAATACATATTGTGGTTTAAATTACTCCCGTTGCTTTCTGAATAGTTTTCAATTTTCTTTTTTTCTTTGATCCAAAGTTTATTTATAAATGTGTTTTTAATATAAGCAGATAAAGGCCGCCTTTATATTATCATTTTATTTAAATTGGATCTGTAAATTATATTTACAGATTAAATATAATCTGTAAGGGAACTAATTTTAAAATTCTGTTTCATCTTTCTTTTTGGACCAAATCCTGATTGATATTTTAAATATTCCATTACTTTCTCCCTTTTCCTCAAAAATAGTATGCTCACCAATCCACACATACCTATTAACTCAAGTTTATTGATTGTGTTATTTAAATCCTCTATGTATCAGACAGGAATTGTTTTCAGCTGCTAGAAAGAAAACCAGCACAACAGTAATTTCAACAAGAAAGAGATTTATTTTCTCTCTCTCACACACACAAAGCAAATCTGGCAACAGATAGTCCAGGAAAGATATGCCAGCTCTATGATGTCATTAACAATCTGGATTCCTTTGAGCTTTGCAATCTTGAATTCTACTTTGTATCCTCAAAGTTGCTTCATGGCCACAAGATGGCTGTTGCAATTTCGGCCATCATATCCAACATTATGGACAGAAGAAATAAGAAAGGGAAGGGGCAAAAGACATTTTCCAGTTGAGTCAGCCTTCTTTACATATCTTTCCTAAAACCTCACCCAATAATTTCTGTTTATAAATCAATGACCTCCTTCCACTCTCTTTAGCTGCTATGTTGTTTACTGAACAAAGGTTTATGTTTATGTTTATTAGAGTCTTGATTTTTACAATTATATAATGTTCTTATTTGTCCTGTTTAGTGCTTTTAACTTTAAATTCCACTTGTATCTTTTTTTATTTGCATTTGCCTAATATTTTTGGCCAACCCCTTAAGTTAAATATGTATCAATTTATTTAAGTGTATTTTTAATCTCCTGCCTCTGTAATTTAACGAGAGAGATCAGTCCATTCAAATATAATATAAAGTATCACGTTTTATTTTGTTTTACAGCTTGCTTTATATTTACTATTTATTTTGTATTGCTGTTTGCTATTTTTCCTTTCTTCTAATACACATATTTCTTTACTATTTACTTAAAATAGCATATCAAATGTGGCCTCTATCAAAATGTTCTATTTCTTCCCCATTTTTTTCCAATGCCAGGAAGATAAAACATTTAGTACACTTTCACCTCCCCCTACCTTCGTCTCCTTATCCTTTAAAAAGGCCTTTATCTCTCCTTACCTCCCATCTTTCAGCCTACCTCTATATTTGGTGCAGGAACAATTGGATACCTATTTGAAAAAAATCGAAGCTTAACCCATACCATCAATTTATACAAAAGTTAAACTGAAATGGATGAGGCCAAGCATGGTGGATCACGCCTGTAATCCTAGCACTTTGGGAGGCCAAGGTGGGCAGATCATTTGAGCTCAGAAGTTCAAGACCAGCCTAGGCAACATGGTAAAACCCTGTGTCTACAAAAAAAAAAAAAAAAAACCAAAAAAAAAAACACAAAAATTAGCCAGGTATGGTGGTGTGACCTGTAGTCTTAGATACATAGGAGGCTGAGGTGAGAGGATCTCTTGAGCACAGGAGGCAGAGGTTGCTGTGAGCCGAGATCGCACCACTGCACTCCAGCCTGGGTGGCAGAGCCAGACACTGACTCAAAAAAAAAAAAAAAAGAAAAGAAAAGAAAAAATAGATTTAAAATTTTTTAAATTGAAATGGATGATAAACCTATATCTAAAATCAAATCTATAAAACTTCTAGAATATAATATAGGAAAGAGACCTTTACCATCTTGGGGTAAGTAAAGACTCTATTAGGTAGAACACATAAAGCCCAATGTATAAAGAATAAATTTTACTACATCAAAACAGAATATTAAGATAAACAAACAACCTTTTAAAAATGGGCAAAAAATTTTTGGGCAGTTTACTATAGAAGATAAACACATGAATTTAACATGCTGCTGTTGGGAAAATACAAATTAAAACCCGTATGTGGTATCACTTCACACATATCAGGCTGGCGATTTTTTTTAATGACAATGCCCAGTGCTGGCAAAAATGTTCAGCAACATATATTGCTGGTGGCAATGCAGAATAGCCACTTTCAAAAATCAGCTAGCAGTTTCTCATAATAGTAAGCACACAATTACCATACAATCCAGCAATCCTGCTTCTGTACATTCACCTGAGAGAATAAAAAACTTGTATTCACACACATATTTCTATGCAAATTTTTATGCCAGGCTTATTCATAATCTCCTAAAAGGGAAAACAACCCAGTGTCTTCTAAACAATGATTAAACTGTGGTACATGTCCATATATGCACATAATGCACTACTACTCAGCAATACAAAGTAACAAACTACTGACACATGAAACAACATGGACAAAGTTCCAAAGCATTTTTCTAAGTGCACAAATTCAGACTCCAAAGGGAATACATTACATATGATTCCATTAATGTGACTTTCTGGGAAAGGTAAAAGGATAGGGAAAGAAAACAGGTAAGTTTTTGCCAGGGGCTGGGTATGAGAGGGAGAGACTGTGATTGTACAACTGTGATGATTTATCAAAATTCATAGAACCATATATCGAAGGCTGTAAATTGTACTTTATGTAAATTACACTTCAATGAAAAGGACAAAAAAATCCAAAATTACTCCATTTTGCACTCTGTGGTTACCTCATGATCAACACAGTGATAAGGCACAAAGTCTGTTCCTTCCAAATAATCTAGTGAATAGAGTTCATAAAATCCTCAAGAATGGTGTATGGTTTTGTCAGAACCATAAGAGGTCAACTAGAAGTTGAAATTCCTACTCAGACTTGGGTGGGACCGATGCCAGTAATATATTCTTCAGGAATTTAACTGCTTCAGATGAACTATTTTCTTCTGGCTGGTAATACTAGCAGTTCTCAGTTTGCATGTCCAATCAGCACCTGTTTTCAGCAGCAATTTAACTTGGGGGCAGGGCTCAGTCAAGCCTGTCTCCGCAGAGTTGCTTTCTGAAAAGGTTTTTTTCTAATTCTATGTTTTCCTTGTGCCTGCAGTCAGACTCTTTGAGCTCTGAAGCTAGGCAGTGCAGCTTTTCTTCCACAGGTCTTTCTGATTTCCTTTGCCTACCTGACTCATGGCATCCTTCATTGTGGTTGGTTCTGGCTGTTCATGCAGGAGGAGCTCATTGTGACCTGACAGTGATAGGGAGGCACGGGATCTCCTATGCCTTGCTCAGTTTACTCCTGTCCTGTGTGCCCAATGCCAGAACTACTACTGAACTGTTAATACTATAGATTTCCCTCCTGTCCAATAATACTGTCCACTTAACAACCCCTCGCATCTTTTACAATCTGCACTTTCCCAACTTTTATTAGACAGTCCAAATTTTCCATTTGCCAGCTCAGATACCACAGCCTCAAGCCAAGATTTTAAGTCTAAGAAAAAGAAAATAAAAGAAAAGCAAACAAACTATTCTTTTCCCAAGACTTGTGGCCTTGGGAAAAAATATTCAGTAACTATCTGGGCTTATTGAAAACATCCCAGCTCCAAATGCTAATGTTGAAGAATTAATTTCTTCTGAATAATTAGTTGGTCAGTTTCCATGAATAATAATAGTGTGTTTAAAATGTAGCTTACCAATTCAGGAGGTTGAGGCAGGAGGATAGCTTGAGGCCAGGAGTTTGAGACCAGCTTGGGCAACATACCAGGACCCCATCTCTACAAATAGATAATAATAATAATAAAATAATAAAGATCTTGTCCCAGTGCAATCGATTCCTTGCCTCCTCAGTGTGCCAGCTTTATGAATGCTTTTACTGGTTCTTTTACATGGAGAACTCCAGCAGGAGGCCATGGGTTCTGGAGCCAGGATGCATTCTGAAAAACTGATAATATATTTAGTATCAGTCCTCCTGTCCATGCAGGCCACTGTTCTTGAACCACATTTGCTTGATCTCTCTATACATTCTTTCTTAATAGGCCTCCCATTCCTCATGAAAAAATAGACTTATTGCAGATCATTCTACCAGCAATTTTGCGGACATGCCAAAATTCCAGCTGTGAAAATACCTTAGGCTCATACTAGTACATTTGGATCTCATTCATTCAAATTACAGTTGCTGTTTTTTCTATGTAAATACTTATTTTGTCATGTAATAATTTTTCCTCCAGCATTCCCTTAATTTTTTTCTGTTTTTTATTTGTTTGAGACAGAGTCTGGTTCTATCACTCAGGCTGGAGTGCAGTGGTGGGATCTCCACTCATGGCAACCTCCACCTCCCCAACTCAATCGATCCTCCCACTTCAGCCTCCCAAGTAGCTGGGACTACAGTCACACACCACCACACCTGGCTAATTTTTGTATTTTGTTGTACAGATGGGGGTCTCATCATGTTGCCCAGGCTCGTCTCAAGCTCCTAGGCTCAAGCAATCCATCTGCCTTGGCCTCCCATAGTGCTGGCATTGTAGGTGTGAGTCATTGTGCTCAGCTGCCCTTAATTTTTATAATGAGGAAATGTTGGAAGAAAAATTATTTTCCTTTTTATTTTAGAATATTTTTCAATTTACAAAAAAGGTACAAAACTGATACAGAGTTCTCATATAAGCTTCACCCCTCACCCAGTTTCCCCTAATGTTAACACTTTATATTAGTGTGTCTGGAATTGGTGGGTTCTTGGTCTCCCTGACTTCAAGAATGAAGCTGCCGACCCTCGCGGTGAGTGTTACAGTTCTTAAAGATGGTGTGTCCGGGGTTTGTTCCTTCTGATATTCGGACGTGTCCGGAGTTTTTTCCTTCTGGTGGGTTCGTGGTCTCGCCGACTTCAGGAGTGAAGCCGCAGACCCTCGCAGTGAGCATTACAGCTCTAAAGGGCGGTGAGTCCGGAGTTGTTAGTTCCTCCTGGTGGGTTTGTGGTCTCGGTGGTTTCAGGAAAGAAGCTGCAGACCTTCATGGTGAGTGTTACAGCTCATAAAGACAGCACAGACCCAAAGAGAGACTAGCAGCAAGATTTCTTTCGAAGAACAAAAGAACAAAGCTCCTACAACATTGAAGGGAATGGGAGTGGGTTACCGCTGCTGGCTGGGGTGGCCTGCTTTTAATTCCCTTATCTGGCCCCACCCACATCCTGCTGATTGGTCCATTTTACTGAGAGCTGATTGGTCCGTTTTACAGAGAGCTGATTGGTCCGTTTTGATAGACTGCTGATTGGCACGTTTACAAACCTTTAGTTAGACACAGAGTGCTGATTGGTGCATTTACAATCCTTTAGCTAGACACAAAAGTTCTCCAAATCCCCAGCCGATTAGCTAGACACAGAGCGCTGATTGGTGCATTTACAAACCTTTAGCTAGACACAGAGTACTGATTGGTGCATTTAAAAACCTTTAGTTAGAAAAGTTCTCCAAGTCCCCACCTGTCCCAGAAGCCCAGCAGGCTTTACCTCTTACTGGCACTCGCCAGGGGACTTTGGAGTACCTAGCCCAGGCACTCTGGCAGCCCAGATGGAGCTCCTCCCAGACAACCTAGAGGAAAAAACGGGAAACGACAAAGAGACGGAGACCCGCCATGGTGGCCAATGAGCCGGCAAAGAGGTAACGGAAGTCCACGCACGGGACCCAGCCTCCGATCAAGCCCAACAGGCGCCAGCCAGCTGCACCCAGTGTGGGGCCGCTGAGCCCGCACCCACCCGGAACCCGCACTGGCCCACGAGCGCGCGTGAAGCCCGGGCTCCCGCCAGCACCTCTCCCTCCACACCTCCCCATGAGCAGAGGGAGTCAACTCCGGCCTCGGCCAGCCCCAGAGAGAGGCCCCCACAGCACAGCGGCGGGCTGAAGGGCTCCTCGAGTGCGGCCAGAGCAGACGCGGAGGCCGAGGAGGCTCCGAGAGCAAATGAGGGCTGCTAGCACGTTGTCACCTCTCATTAGCATGTTACACTTGTCACAACTAAGAAAGCAACATCTGTATGTTACTATTAACTAAACTGCAGACTTTTTTCAGATTTTGCTCATTTTTTCACTACCTTCCTTTTTCTCTTCCAGGATCTAATCCAGGATACCACATTGTGTTTTCTCAATATGTCTTTTTAGTCTCCTTTGGTCTATTGACATTTCTCAGTCTTCTCACTTTAATTTTTAAATGATTGGAATTTTTTTTTTTTTTTTTTTTTTGGAGACAGGGTCTTGCTCTGTTGCTCAGGTGGGAGTACAGTGGTACAATCTTGGCTCACTGGAACCTCTGCCTCCCGGTCTCAGGTGATCCTCCCACCTCAGCCTCCTGAGTAGCTGGGACTAAAGGCACATACCACTATGCCTGGCAATTTTTTTTTTTTTTTTTGGTACAGATGATGTCTCCCCATGTGGCCCAGGCTATGGTTAGGATATTTTTATGTCAGTTTGACAGGAAGGATCTGAGGCCTTCTCTGCCAAGGTACTACAATTTATGAAAAATGTTATTTCCCAATAATTCTAAAAAGGCATATTTGTCAACAGAGAGGAGCAAGAAAAATCTAAAATGTTGCCTCATAATATAATCATGGATTATGCTACTGAGGTTGGATTTTCCTTTACTTATTTAAAACAGGCAACTTTTTCATACAGGCTTGGAGCAAACATCTCTACACTTAAGCCATATCCTCTGCTCCATCAACTAGTTTGCCATTTTGAGTAATGGGATGAAGGGTGCAGCACTCACAGCAAGCTGCACGCCCAACACCATCATCCTCTTCTTCCAAAAGAAATGCAGTTCTGTTTAGGACAGCAAGGTGTCTGGCTACAATCCTCAGGCTTCCTTGTAGCTATGTGTGGTCAGGTAACATGGTCCTAGCCAATGAGATGTAAGCAGAAATCTACTGAATGTAGATTTCTCAATGCAGGGAGAGCAAGTATTTTCCTGATTATTATTTTTTAAAGGAGCAGCTGGCATGTGCCTTTTGCACTATGTTCTTAAACCCTTTTTCCTGCATAAAATGTAAACTCATGGTCTAGAGAAGGAGCAGTCAACTTCCCAGCATGGGAATTTCAAGGAGGATTAGTGGGAAGAAGAAGGCGCCACCAGACTACATCCTGACTGCCTGTCTCCAGACTTCTTGTTACATAAAAAGAAAAAATGAAATAAAATAAAATAAACCCTTTACTTGTTTAAGTCAATATTTTTCAGATTTAAGTGATATATAGTCAAATGTAACCAGATCAATAAACAGAGCCACACTTGTGACATGTACTGACCCAGTAAGTGCAGTAGACAGTGACAGTTAGTAACTACCTTAAATAATCTCTGAGAAAGATGTCAGGAGATTAGAGACAGACAATATTCCACATTTCAATATTTCAAAAGAAACATACAGACCTCCCAGCTTAATCAACTCCTGGAAAAATTCTAAACACTATTCTCTCTAAACAGAGTCACACTTCTGAAAGACATTGTTTACTGCCCTTCAAGTAAAAGTTCACTTAACTTTGGCAGCTCATTGAGCCCAAATTAATGCACAAGCCAAGGTCCATTGCAGCTTAGAAATATTTCTCTGCTTCAATATTAAGAGCTCTCTTAAAGCACTCCTTGATATGAGAACAAACTAGTCATGAGTGCTGCTCCTCAGAGGCAAAATTCTGTGTGGGTTTGTGGATGATGAGGGCAATACATGCAAAGGGCTAGGTCCACAATTCAGTTTTAACATCGTTGAAAAGACATTTAATGTGTGCAGACACTGGTTGAGTTATTTACATAGATTATCTCATTTGATGCCCACACCTCCAATGAGATGCATGCTTTTATTATCCCCATTTTATGGATAAGGAAACTGAAGCATAGAGAGATCAAGTAACTTGCCCAAGAAGACTGGTTAAAGAAGAGCCTCATTCCTAATTCATAAAAACCTTAGAAATCTATCCTTTGTTTGGATCTGATAACCAAAATGAGTGATTGTGCTGTAAGTCTCAAAACATCAAGGTTTATTGAGCCAGCTTGAGGGTGCACCAGGAAAAATGTGAGTCACAGAAGCATCTGTGGCTGTTTTTTTCCCAAAGAGGTGAACAGGAGGTTTAGTATTTACACATTTTCCTTAAAAATGAGGGGTGGTAGTGAGACAAATAATTATATATTTGTGAGACTTTAGTGGCCAGTAAATCCACACTTACATAAAACAAGGTGAACATTTGAAGAAAAAGGGAATGGAGAAAGCAAATTTCTTGGGGAGAGGTAAATAAATGATTAATCTCATTTTGTCTTTGTTCTGTACCTGGGACAATAATCTAGTAGTCTTTTGAAAGGGCTGGTTTCTGTTTAGCCCTTAGGGAATAAAACCTATGACTGTTAGCGAGGGAGGGAGTATAATGAGGCGTGTCCAATCTCTCATCCTGTCATGGCCATGAATTCAGCTTTCAAGGTTTCTCTGCAGTTCCCCTGGCCAAGAGGGGCTCTGTTCATTCAGATGAAGGCTTAGAATTTTACTTTTATTTCTCAGATCCATCTGTGCAGCTCAGGGAAACTACTAAGGCTCCCACCTCCTTAAAAATTGCCATTTTCTCATGCTACTGGTCACTGACGCCTTGGTTTAATGCTTTTTCCTTTTTTTTTTTTCCTTTCTTAAACTTTTTTTAGAGACGGAGTCTTATTTTGTTGCCCAAGCTGGGGTGCAGTGGCCTGATCGTAGCTCACTGTAGCCTCAAACTCCTGGCCAGAAGTGATCCTCCAACCTCAGCCTCCTAAGTAACTGAGACTATAGGCATGCACCACCATGCCAGGCTAATTTTCTTACTTTCTTGTAGAGTGGTGGGGGGTGCGGGGGGGAAGTCTCACTATGTTGTCCAGGCTTGGCTCAAACTCCTGGCCTCAAGCAATCTTCTCAACTTGGCCTCCCACTGGGATTACAGGAATGAAACTGGCACTTTGAGTTTACAGAGACAACATCCCCTCCACATTTCATGTGACATATGTGCATAACAAATGGCAACCAGCAAAACTTTAGTACTTGGAATTTCAACAATGTTGAGACTGATCTTTGCTTTAGTTCTTTGAATGGGTGGGCCTCAACATGACTCATTGTAGCCAAGTTGACTCCTGCTCCTCATAGTTGTTATCTATTAGTCTGGTTGTTTGGTTTTGTACCTCAGATTCCATATAGGTTAGGTGCTCTATCAGAAATGCATATGGCTGCAAGTTATTGAAAAGCCACTTTAGCAACACCTAATCAAACAGAGGTTTATTTTTCTCACATAAGTCTGGTGGTGGCTGGACACAGTGGCTCATGCCTGTAATCCCAGCACTTTGGGAGGCCAAGGCGAGTGGATCGCTTGAGCTCAGGAGTTCGAGACCAGCTTGGGCAACATGGTGAAACCCCGGCTCTACAGAAAAATACAAAATTAGTTGGGTGTGGTGACGAACACCTGTAGTCCCAGCTACTCAAGAGGCTGAGGTGGGAGGATAGCTTGCGATTCTCTTAACCGCAGCCTCAAGGTTTCCCTAACTTTAGGTGTCACATCCATAACCAAGGCAGGCATTACAAAAGAAGATAAAACATCAGCCAAATTTGTCCCCTTTTCTCAAAAAAGCAAAAGCTTTTCTAGAAACTTCCCTGTAAACTTATGTTTAGATCACATTTGCAAAAAAACAAAAATAGTCACGTGGCCACTATGGTTTCAGGGTTGGCTGGAAACTTGCATATTTAGGTTTTCCACTCTCTAGGTTAGAGGCAGGCAAGAGAAAATAAGGCTGGGCATGGAAGTCAAGTTAGCCAAACCAGTGACTGTGACAGATTGCATGCTATTTATTCTCAATGGATAAAGAGAAAATAATGTGATTATCTCATAATGAAATCAATACTAAAATGACCTTGAGGGTCAATACTTCTACTTGTACCGGCTTCTTGGTGATGTTTGGGCTATGAATATCAGTCCTGACACTCGACTCCAAGCCAAGAAAGAAATTCCAACGCAAATGTCTAATATTGAGCTCTGACATGTACAGAGCTTGGAAACTGGCACTCCTTTCAACAACAACAAAACATTGAACAAACAGAAAAGCAATGACTTATCTTAGACCAAGAGATTTAAGGCCCCAGGGCAACCTGCCAGCACCAAATTTGGAGCGATAGGTGAATACAGAGAATCAGAGCAGAACTTAGATTTCCTGAAGCAGCAGCCACTGGAGCCAATTAGGTAGGAAAACTTAAGTGGTGGTTTTGGTGAATTGCTTGAGGCTGGGTGTGGGCTAGTTTGAAAGTTGAAAATTCCTAGGGGACAAATCGGAGGCAAAGGCTACACTTTCATGGCTTTTGCCTTCAGGAACCCCACCAGTTTCTGACAGTATATATCAGAGAATTTCTGCTTCCTGTTTCCTGAAGGAGGAGCAGGAAGCAACCACTTTGAAATATATTCAGTATATTCTTTGTAACAAATGCTTGCCCTACGAGGGAAACTACCTTTCCAGAACCATTCCTGACCTAGGAAGGGATTATTAGCCAGTGCTAGTCCTTTTTAGCCTTCTTATCTCATCTAAAGGGAGAAAAAAAGCTAAGAAATAATTCTGAAGATTACAGCCCAGGAACTCAACTAAAAATCTGAAATTTAATCATAAAATTATAGAACATTTCCCTTCCCTAACACCATGCCACTGCATCAACAGTGCTCCAGTATAATAGCAATAGATTACAATGGGAGAGCTGAGAAACCCAGACCATTTAAGAAGAAGTTGATAGGGAAACGCAAAGACAGCAAAGGAGACAAAAACAAAGATACTGAACTAAAGCATCTGGCACCTACAGCTACAGCAAACATTAAACACCCCAACTCCTAACTGATTAACATAAAAAGTCAAACTAAAACCTAATTACCTCAGTTCCTATTACCCAATACATTATACCTGACTTTCAACAAAAAATTGCAAGGAATGCAGAAAGGCAAGAAAAAACACAGTCTGTAAAGATAAAGCGAGCAAAGGAACCAGACTTAAATATAACAGTGATTTTAGAATTATCAGAAAGTAAATTTAAAATAATTATAATTAATATGTTTAGAGCACTAATGGAAAAAGTAGACAACATGTAAGAACAAATGGGTAATGTAAGCAGAGAGAGAGAAAGAAAATCTCCAAGAAAGAATTGTAAAAATGATAGAAATTTTTAAAAAAACAACTGTTACGGAAACACAAATACCTTTGATGGGCTCACCAGTAGACTGGAAACAGCTGCGGGAAGAATCAGCGGAAAGAACCAATGAGATTGAAGATATGTTAATAGAAACTTCTGTTAATCAAGTTTATCCTAAAGTTGCCTCCTTACATATTTAAGTTCGGCCTAAAGGTTTTTCTGCACATCTTGAACTATAACAAGTGGAGGTATAAACCAACCATAGCCCGCACCTGTGCCAATGACTGAATTTTGACTAATCAAATGTAGCCAACTGTTTGAACCCTGTTTAAATAAAGCTAACACCAAGCTGTAACCAATCCAGTTGTTTCTGTACTTGACTTCTGATTTCTGTATGTCATTTCCTTTTTTTGTCTATAAATCTTCTTCCATCACATGGCTGCACTGGAGTCTCTGTGAATTTGCTGTGATTTTGGGAGCTGCCCGATTCACCAATCGTTCATTGCTCAATTAAACTCCTTTAAATTTAATTTGCATGAAGTTTTTCTTTTAACATTTCCCAAACTGAAATGCAAAAATTAGATATAAAAAAAGAAACAAAATATCCAGGAACTGTAGACAATTACTAAAGGTATAATATGCTTATATGAGAATACTAGAAGTAGGAGAGAAAGAAGCAGAAGAAATATATGAAATAATAAAGGCTGATAATTTTCCAAAATCAGTGACAGACACCAAACCACACATCCAGGAGGCTTAAAAGACACCAAGCAGGATAAAATTTAAAAAAAAAAAAGTCCACACCTAGTCATATTATGTTCAAATCACAGAAAACTAAAACAACCAGAAAACATGAAAGAAGCTACAGAAGAGGAGAAATTTACCTAAGGAGGGACAAAGATAAGAATTACATCAGAAATCTCATTGGCAACCATGCAAGAAAGAAGAAGGTAGCGTGAAATGTTTAAAGTGTTGAAAGGATAAAACTAGAATTCTGGATACAGTGAAATTATCCTTCAAAAGCAAAGAAGAAATGCTTTCTCAGACAAAGGCTGAATCTGTCACCAGTAGACCTGCCTTGAAATAAATGTTAAAAGAAATTTTTCGGACAGAAATGAAATGACATAGGTCAAAAACTGAAATCTACATAAAGAAAAGAGCTTTCAAGAAGGAATAAATGAGCATAAAATAAACTCTTTAATGTTCCTTAACCTTAATTGATCTAATAAATATAACTATTTTTTCAAAATAATTATGTTTTGGGTGATTATAGTATACGGATAAGTGAAGTGAATAATAGCAAAATTTTAAGGGACATAACGGAGGAATTGGGAATACTCTGTAATAAGGTACCTGTACTACCCATGAAGCACTATAGTGTTATTTGAAAGTGGACTTAATTAGATATAAATATATACTGCAAATTCTAGGGAAACTACTACATTTTTAAAAGTATAATCAATATCTAAGATCTCTTTTATTAGAGAATAATATAAAATGCTCAATTAAAACCAGAGAAGGCAGTAAAAGAGGAAAAGTTAAAAAAGAAACCAAGAACAAGTGAAATAAATGGAAAACAGTTAAAACATGGTATATATGAATCTAACTATATTATTATCATAATCAATTTAAATGTGAATGGTCTAAATACATAAATTAAAAAATGAATAATGTCAGAATGAATTATTTTAAAAGACCCAATTATGTATTGTCTGCAAGAAGCCCAATTTAAACATAAAGATATACCTAGATTAAAAGTAAAGGGATAGAAAAAGATATACCATGCTAACACTAATCAAAAGAAAGCTGAAGTAGCTATATTAATTTCAGACAAAGCAAACTTCAGGGCAAGGACATTATCAGGAATAAAGAGGGGCATTACATACCGATAAAGGTGTTAATTCTGCAAGAAAACATAAAATTCCTTATTGTATATCCATCTAGCAACAGTGTCAAAACATATGAGGCAAAAGCAGACAGAGCTGCAAAGAGAAACAGACAAATGCACTGTCATATTTGGAGACTTCAACACCTCTCTGTCAGTAATTTACAGATATAGCCAAAAACATCAGTAAGGATATAGTTGATGCTGAACATCCTTATCGATCAACTTGATCTAATCAACATCTATAGACTTTATTGTGTGTGTGTGTGTGTGTGTGTGTGTATGTGTGTGTCAGTCTCACTCTGTCACTCAGGCTTGGAGTGCAGTGGGCAATCTCTGCTCACTGCAACCTCTGCCTCCCAGCTTCAAGTGACTCTCATCATGCCTCAGCCTCCTGAGTAGCTGGGATTACAGGCATGCACCACCACACCCAGCTAATTTTTTGCATTTTTAGTAGAGTCGGCATTTCACTATGTTGGCCAGGCTGGTCTCGAACTTCTGGCCTCAAGTGATCCTCCCACCTTAGCCTTGCAAAGTACTGGGATTACAGGCATCAGCCACTGTGCCTGGCCTGATATTTATAGACTATTTGATCCAACAGAGACAGAATACACATTTCTTTCATGTTCACATGGAACATTAATCAAGATAGACCACATTCTGTTTCATAAAATTCACCTTAAAAATTAAAAAAACAGAAATCAAACAAGATATTTTCACAGATTACAATAAAATTAAACTAGATATTTTTAGAAACCTAGAAATATGCTAGGCAATGCCCTCAAATATTTGGAGATTAAACAACACACTTCTAAATAATATATGGATCAAAGAAGATGTTTCAAGAGATATTAAAAATATTTTGAACTAAATGAAAAAATAAACTTTTTAAAATTTATGGGATGCAGCAAAAGCAGTGATGAGAGGGAAATTTATATATCAGCAATGAACAATTGGAATTTGAAATTAAAAACATACCATTCAAACCAGCACTGAAAAACAAAATATTTAGGTATAAATCTAATAAAATATGTACAGAATCTAGTTCAACACCTTATGAAAGAAATGAAAAATCTAAATAAATTGAGAAATATCCCATGTTCATAAATAGCAAGACTAATGTTGTTAAACTGTCACTTCTTCCCTACTTGATCTATAGATTCAATGCTGTCTGAATCAAAATCCTAGCAAGTTATTTTGTGAATATTGACAAACTGACTGTAAAGTCTATATGGAAAGACAGAAGATCCAGAATAGGCAGTATAATATTGAGGAAGAACAAAGTTGGAAGACAGACACTATCTTACTTCAAAGCTTATTACAAAGTTACAGTAGTCAAGACAGTAGGGTATTGATGAAAGAAAAGAGAAATACTGTTGTTCCTCAGTATCATGGGGGGAACTGGTTGCAGGATGTCTGAGGATACCAAAACCTGTGGATTCTCAAGTTTCTTATATAATACGACGTAGTGTTTGCATATAACCTATGCACATCCTCCTCCTGTATACTTTAAATCATCTCTAGATTATATATAATACCTAACACAATGTAAATGCTATGTAACAGTTATACTTTATTGATTTTTTATTTGTATTATTTTTATTGTTATATTGTTATTTTTAGGGGATTTTCTTTTTGAGACTGAGTCTTGCACTGTCGTCAGGGCTGGAGTGCAGTGGTGCGGTCTTGGCTCAGTGCAACCTCTGCCTCCTGGGTTCAAGTGATTCTCCTGCCTCACCTTCCTGAGCAGCTTGGATTACAGGTGCCCGCCACCATGCTCAGCTAATTTTTTGTATTTTTAGTAGAGACGGGGCTTCACTATGTTGGCCAGGCCGGTCTCGAACTCCTGACCTGATAATCCCCCCACCTTGGCCTCCCAAAGTACCAAAATTACAGGCATGAGCCACCCCTCCTGGCCATTTTTAGGGGATTTTTAAAGAATATTTTTGATCTGTCATTGGTTGAATCTGTTGATGCAGAACCCATGGATACAGAGGGCCAACTGTAGATAAATGGAACAAAATAAAGATGCCAGAATTAGATCCATACAAATACAGTCAACTGATCATTGACAAAGGAGCAAATAATTCAATGGAGAAACAATGGTCTTTTCAACAAACGGTGCTGGAATAACTGGACATTCATATGCAAAAAACAATCTAGACACAGACCTTATATCTTTCACAAAAATTTACTCAAAATGGATCATAGACCTAAATGCAAAACACAAAACTGTAAAACTTCTGGAAGATAACATAGGAGAAAATCTAGGTGAACTTGTGTTTGGTGATGACTTTTTGGGTACAATGCTAAAAGCACGATCCCTGAAAAAAACTGAACAGTCGAAATTTTTTCATTACAAATGTCTGCTCAATGAAAGACATTGTTAAATGAATGAAAAGACAAGCCACTGTCTGGGAGAAAATATCTGCAAAATACATAATCTGATAAAGGGCTGATATCTAAAATATATAAAGAACACTGAAAAATCATCAATAAAAAAAACCCAATGGGTAACAGATCTGAGCAGACACCTTATCAAAGAAGATACATACGTGACAAACAAGCATAAGATGCCCAATGCCATATGTCATTAGGAAATTGCAAACTAAAACAATAAGATTCTACTATGCACCTATTAAAATACCCAAAATTCAAAATACTGGCAACACCAAATGTTGGCAAGGATGTGGAGTAACAGGAAGTCTCACTCATTGCTGGTGAAAATGCAAACTGTTACAGCCACTTTGGAAGATCATCTGGTAATTTTTGATAAAGCAAAACATAGTCTTACCATATGATCCAGCAATCATGCTCCTTGGTATTTACCTAAATGAGTTGAAAACTTATGTCCATACAAAAATCTGTACAAGAAAGTTTACAGGAGCCTTATTCATAATTTTAAAAGACTGAAAGCAACCAAGATGTCTTTCAATAAATAAATGGATAAACAAACCATGGTATATACATACAGTGGAATACTGTGCACAATAAAAGAAAATAAACTATCAAGCCATGAAAAGACACAGAGGAATGTTAAATGTATATTGCTAAGTAAAAAAAAAAAAGCAGTATGAAAAGACTACATACTATATGATTCCAACTCTATGACATTACGGAAAAGGCAAAATTCTGCAGAAAGTAAAAACATCAGTGATTGCCAAGGGTTGGTTGCAGGTAGACCAGATGAATAGGTGGAACACAAGGAATTTTTTAATGCAGTGTAATTGTTCTGCTGACACTGTAATGGTGGATATGTTATGCTTTTTTCAAAACCCACAGAGCTATGCAACACAAAGAGTGAATCTTAATGTAAACTATAGACTTTAGTTAGTAATAATGCATCAGTTGTAATAAATGTACAATGCGAATGCAAGATGTTAATAACAGGAGGAACTGTAGGGGAGGAGGGAGATTAGGAAGTACATAGAAACTCTCTCCACTATCTGCTTAATTTTTCCATAAATGTAAAACTGTTCTAAAAAATAAAGCCAATTAATTATTCTTTTTCTAATATCTCATTTGAATGAGAGGTCATGGTTAAAGGAAATTGTCAGAGAAAGTGTCAAGAAAGAAGTGTGACTTTAGCTGGGTCCTGAAGGGTACATAAGATTTGAGAGTCGGAAAGGGCAGAAGGCATTTCAGCTGGGTTTGAGCCATGGAAAAGACTCAGAGGGCTCAAATTGCGAAGGAGCAGGAAATAGCACAGAATAAATCAATGCAAAGACAACAGGCAGCAATTTAATGGAAACCAAGGGCCAAGGCAGGGCTAGAAACACTGAAGCATCATTCCAATATCAGATAAATATAGGCATGAGAGCTGACTCAACCTCGGCCGGGTCCTCAACACATATTCGTTCATTCATGTAATATTTAGTAAACATTCACTATGTTCCAGACACTGTGGTAGGCACTGGGGACAAGCAGTGAATAAAACAAATGGAAATCTTTGTTCTCACTGAGCTTACACTCTAGTGAGGGGAGAGAGACAGAACCTGTCTGCTATTTTCAAGAAACAACAAAGAAAACATTATGGCTGGAATGAGAAACAATGGCCTTTTCAATAAACAGTGCTGGAATAACTGGACATTCATATGCAAAAAATAATCTAGATACAGACCTTATATCTTTTGAAAAAAATTTACTCAAAATGGATCATAGACCTAAATGCAAAACACAAAACTGTAAAACTTCTGAAAGATAACATAGGAGAAAATCTAGGTGAACTAGATAGATTTCATGCACTGGAATGAAGTGAAGGGGGAAAGTAGAAGGTGAGATAGCGGAGATAACAGAAGTCAGAGTATATAGGGCACTGAAGCCAGAATAAATAATGACTCTGGCTTTTACTCTGAGAGATGTAGGGAGTCACTGGGGGATTGTGAGTGGCAGAGTGACTTGATTGACACCTCAACAGGGTCATTCTGTCTTCTGTGCTGAGAACTGTCAGAGAGGGTACAACAGTGGACAGTGACTGCAGGGATACCAGCGAAGAAGTTGCTGCCATAATGCAGGTAAGAGAATGGAAGCTTGGACTATGGTTTTAGCTGAGCAAATGATCAGAAACAGAGTCTGGATTCTACAATGATTTGCTGATGGATCTGATGTGTGAAAGAGGGTCAAAATGTCTCAGTTTTAGGCTTGAGCAACGAACTGGAAGGCAGGAGCTGCCTGTAACGAGAGACAGGAGAGAAAGAGAGAGAGAGAGAGAGGACTTTGGAAGAGCAGGCTCATGATCAGGCCTGAGCTCAGTGTCTGAATTCAGGTAAGCTATCTTGAAAGGGGAAATATCAAAAGCTAGAGATCAGAGTAAGGCTGAGACTCAGAGTCAAGTGGGGAAGACTAAGTTGCAGTATGTACTGGCAGTGAAGATAAGTATTTATTCATTCATTGAACATACCTTGAAATCAACCACTTTTAATGTGCCAGGGACACAAAGATAGAAAAGACATTTGCCCTGTCTGGAAGGTACTAATAATCCAATAAGGAAAACAGAAATATAAATAAATTATTCTAGTACACTAACCATCATAGTAGAGGTATTCAACATTTGTTGAGTCTCTGCTATATGCCAAGCAGTGTAATGAGGAAGCAGAGGGTATGCACAAAGTTCTACAAGAGCACAAAATAAGTTCTGGCAAAGGTTTGTAAAGACATTCACAAGGGTTTTCACCACAGTATGACTTCAGGGAGTTGGCAGTAACCTAGATGCCCGATCAGTAGGGATATGTATGAATAAAATTTCTGGCATACTCGGTAGCAAACTAGGTGTACACACAGCAATGTGGGTATAGCTCAAAAACAGACTGTTGAGTAAAACAGTGGGAAATAGAGATTTACAGTCCAATACCATCTCTGTAAATGCAAGAGGCATAAACAAAACATTATCTGTGTTAAATTATCAAGGATCTCTATCGAACATATTGCAGCTTGTGTCTAGAAGAATGAGAGTGGGGATCGAGAAAGATGAGGAAAAAATAATATAAACACTATAAAATAATGTAAACAAGGACCCTGTAGGGACTGATATGACAATGTGCTGAAAATTGAGGAGCAAAGTTAACTCTCTGTACCTGAGATAAAATAACTAGCTAATAGGAATCCAGCTGAAAACCTTAAGGTGCAGGGCCTCTATGGGGCCCAGGAAGGATGTGTAGAGACATGAACGGATGAAAGTGCATCACAGGTTCAGGGAACAACACAGGTTGAGTGTGGCTTGTAGTAAAAATGGTTGTGAAGAGTTGACATATTTTTAAGCCCTGGGTAAATTGAACAACAGCTTACACTTGGAGGGGTATAATCATTCTAATCAATGTGTCCCCTTTTACTATAATACATTGGAGTTGCAGCTAATGCTCTGCTCCCATTCAGCCTATGATGAGATTCTCTTTCAGCCCTATTGGGTTCTTGGCCTCATGTGACTACTCCAAAGACCCTAGTCCAAAAGGTCTTTCCTGTTTGCTATGGCCTTGAGGAATGTGGCCCTAGATCCACCGCTTTAAAGCTGGAGTTCCACCAGCAGCAACATCCTCTCATTCTGGGGCACCTGCCTGGGGCAGGTCATCCTGCCTCTGCCAACTCAGTGCTATTAGTTAACTCTCACCTGCCATATTCCAGCTGGAATCATCTCCCCTTCTCCACCCCAGACTAGGTCATGTTCCGCCATCATGGAAGCGCCTATTCTTCATACCCCTTATCACAGCTGCAACTACTCATTTACTTGTCTGACAATTTGATTTATGTCCACCTACTTTGCTAGGTACTAAGTTCAATGCTGGCAGTCGTTTCTTCTTTTTTTTTCTTTTCTGTTTTGCTCACCGATTTCTCGTTAGCACTTAGCACAGTGTCTGGCACACGATAGATGCTCCGTCAACTTCTCAGTTGGATACCAGCATCCCGAAGGGAACATGGATTAAGGCAGCTATAAGCACGGTGTAAAAACAGGAATAAGAAAAAGTTGAGGTTTGTTTCACAGTGGAATGTAAAGGGTTGCAAGGAGGTGCATCGGCCCCTGTGGACAGGACGCATGACTGCTACACACGTGTTCACCCCACCCTCTGGCACAGGGTGCACATACAGTAGGGGCAGAAATGAACCTCAAGTGCTTAACACAATTTTTAAAAAATATATAGTCAAGTGAAAGTATGAAAATGAGTTGAGGAAAGGCGAGTACGTGGGTCAAAGCTGGGTCTGAGGAAAGGCTCACATTTTGAGATCCCGACTCAATCCATGTCCCTTAAAGGGCACAGGGTGTCTCCACAGGGCCGCCCAAAATCTGGTGAGAGAGGGCGTAGACGCCTCACCTTCTGCCTCTACGGGTCACAAAAGCCTGGGTCACCCTGGTTGCCACTGTTCCTAGTTCAAAGTCTTCTTCTGTCTAATCCTTCACCCCTATTCTCGCCTTCCACTCCACCTCCCGCTCAGTCAGACTGCGCTACTTTGAACCGGACCAAACCAAACCAAACCAAACCAAACCAAACCAGACCAGACACCCCCTCCCGCGGAATCCCAGAGAGGCCGAACTGGGATAACCGGATGCATTTGATTTCCCACGCCACTGAGTGCACCTCTGCAGAAATGGGCGTTCTGGCCCTCGCGAGGCAGTGCGACCTGTCACCGCCCTTCAGCCTTCCCGCCCTCCACCAAGCCCGCGCACGCCCGGCCCGCGCGTCTGTCTTTCGACCCGGCACCCCGGCCGGTTCCCAGCAGCGCGCATGCGCGCGCTCCCAGGCCACTTGAAGAGAGAGGGCGGGGCCGAGGGGCTGAGCCCGCGGGGGGAGGGAACAGCGTTGATCACGTGACGTGGTTTCAGTGTTTACACCCGCAGCGGGCCGGGGGTTCGGCCTCAGTCAGGCGCTCAGCTCCGTTTCGGTTTCACTTCCGGTGGAGGGCCGCCTCTGAGCGGGCGGCGGGCCGACGGCGAGCGCGGGCGGCGGCGGTGACGGAGGCGCCGCTGCCAGGGGGCGTGCGGCAGCGCGGCGGCGGCGGCGGCGGCGGCGGCGGCGGAGGCGGCGGCGGCGGCGGCGGCGGCGGCGGCTGGGCCTCGAGCGCCCGCAGCCCACCTCTCGGGGGCGGGCTCCCGGCGCTAGCAGGGCTGAAGAGAAGATGGAGGAGCTGGTGGTGGAAGTGCGGGGCTCCAATGGCGCTTTCTACAAGGTACTTGGCTCTAGGGCAGGCCCCATCTTCGCCCTTCCTTCCCTCCCTTTTCTTCTTGGTGTCGGCGGGAGGCAGGCCCGGGGCCCTCTTCCCGAGCACCGCGCCTGGGTGCCAGGGCACGCTCGGCGGGATGTTGTTGGGAGGGAAGGACTGGACTTGGGGCCTGTTGGAAGCCCCTCTCCGACTCCGAGAGGCCCTAGCGCCTATCGAAATGAGAGACCAGCGAGGAGAGGGTTCTCTTTCGGCGCCGAGCCCCGCCGGGGTGAGCTGGGGATGGGCGAGGGCCGGCGGCAGGTACTAGAGCCGGGCGGGAAGGGCCGAAATCGGCGCTAAGTGACGGCGATGGCTTATTCCCCCTTTCCTAAACATCATCTCCCAGCGGGATCCGGGCCTGTCGTGTGGGTAGTTGTGGAGGAGCGGGGGGCGCTTCAGCCGGGCCGCCTCCTGCAGCGCCAAGAGGGCTTCAGGTCTCCTTTGGCTTCTCTTTTCCGGTCTAGCATTGGGACTTCGGAGAGCTCCACTGTTCTGGGCGAGGGCTGTGAAGAAAGAGTAGTAAGAAGCGGTAGTCGGCACCAAATCACAATGGCAACTGATTTTTAGTGGCTTCTCTTTGTGGATTTCGGAGGAGATTTTAGATCCAAAAGTTTCAGGAAGACCCTAACATGGCCCAGCAGTGCATTGAAGAAGTTGATCATCGTGAATATTCGCGTCCCCCTTTTTGTTAAACGGGGTAAATTCAGGAATGCACATGCTTCAGCGTCTAAAACCATTAGCAGCGCTGCTACTTAAAAATTGTGTGTGTGTGTTTAAGTTTCCAAAGACCTAAATATATGCCATGAAACTTCAGGTAATTAACTGAGAGTATATTATTACTAGGGCATTTTTTTTTTAACTGAGCGAAAATATTTTTGTGCCCCTAAGAACTTGACCACATTTCCTTTGAATTTGTGGTGTTGCAGTGGACTGAATTGTTGAGGCTTTATATAGGCATTCATGGGTTTACTGTGCTTTTTAAAGTTACACCATTGCAGATCAACTAACACCTTTCAGTTTTAAAAGGAAGATTTACAAATTTGATGTAGCAGTAGTGCGTTTGTTGGTATGTAGGTGCTGTATAAATTCATCTATAAATTCTCATTTCCTTTTGAATGTCTATAACCTCTTTCAATAATATCCCACCTTACTACAGTATTTTGGCAATAGAAGGTGCGTGTGGAAGGAAGGCTGGAAAATAGCTATTAGCAGTGTCCAACACAATTCTTAAATGTATTGTAGAATGGCTTGAATGTTTCAGACAGGACACGTTTGGCTATAGGAAAATAAACAATTGACTTTATTCTGTGTTTACCAATTTTATGAAGACATTTGGAGATCAGTATATTTCATAAATGAGTAAAGTATGTAAACTGTTCCATACTTTGAGCACAAAGATAAAGCCTTTTGCTGTAAAAGGAGGCAAAAGGTAACCCCGCGTTTATGTTCTTAACAGTCTCATGAATATGAAATTGTTTCAGTTGACTCTGCAGTCAAAATTTTAATTTCATTGATTTTATTGATCCATAATTTCTTCTGGTGAGTTTGCGTAGAATCGTTCACGGTCCTAGATTAGTGGTTTTGGTCACTAGATTTCTGGCACTAATAACTATAATACATATACATATATATGTGTGAGTAACGGCTAATGGTTAGGCAAGATTTTGATTGACCTGTGATATAAACTTAGATTGGATGCCACTAAAGTTTGCTTATCACAGAGGGCAAGTAGCACATTATGGCCTTGAAGTACTTATTGTTCTCTTCCAGCAACTTATGATTTGCTCCAGTGATTTTGCTTGCACACTGACTGGAATATAAGAAATGCCTTCTATTTTTGCTATTAATTCCCTCCTTTTTTGTTTTGTTTTGTAACGAAGTTGTTTAACTTGAAGGTGAATGAAGAATAGGTTGGTTGCCCCTTAGTTCCCTGAGGAGAAATGTTAATACTTGAACAAGTGTGTGTCAGACAAATTGCTGTTATGTTTATTTAATTAAGTTTGATTTCTAAGAAAATCTCAAATGGTCTGCACTGATGGAAGAACAGTTTCTGTAACAAAAAAGCTTGAAATTTTTATATGACTTATAATACTGCTGTGAGTTTTAAAAGTAAAGCAAAAGTAAACTGAGTTGCTTGTCCAGTGGGATGGACAGGAAAGATGTGAAATAAAAACCAATGAAAAATGAACTGCTGTGGAGAAGTGTTACATTTATGGAAAAAGAAATAGGAACCTTGTTCATCAAATTGATAGAAAAGCTTTTAAAACTAAACAAATCAAACAACTTGAGTATAATGGAATTCAGACTTTGATTTGCCTAACATAACCACCATATTTGCAAGGACAGCTCTCTATCTTCTGGTGTTTATTCTTAAAAACTTAAAAGTTAGATTTAGCGATCACCAGAGCCACTACTTTTATGCTTAGGTATTTGTTTGACTTAGAAAAAATTGGTCACGTGTACCACTTTATAGTGCCCTGCAGGTGTTAAGATATGAAGGCACTTTGACTTACACCTCATAAAATCTTTACAAAGTATTTTCTAAATGAATAATGATGAAATAAAGTCTTTATTCTAGGTGCATCTGCCCCACATAATTTGTTTTCTTTGGACTAGAAGTTTTGATGTGTTGAGAATGGTAATGAATTAACTCCATTTTAAATGTAGAATGCGTATCACTCCAATATGAATGCCCTAATGAATCCTAAGATTTGTAGGTTTTGTGTACTAGTATGAAAATTACTAAAGATGGAAAAATCACATGTTGGAGACATAAGATACAAACCTTTTTGTTTTCTGAAAATACAACCTCTGATTTCTGATTCCTTGTTGTAATATGGTGTAATTATACTAGATTGTAATTTTGTTGTTAGATTATACTTTTTTAAGTTCAGTGTTTGAGGACAGACTTTCATTTGGTTAGTAGTATTATGGCAGCTAGCAGCTAAATATGATAAAGTGTACAATCAAAAGGATATTTTTAATGAAGATATTAGTGGTCTAACATGTCATTTCAGATACATAGCTGAAATGTAGTAAAATCAGTTTTACTACAAATAAACTTGCATAAGGTTTATAAATTTATAAGTTTATAAATCAACTTGGGTAAAGTGTAAATAAACTTGCACTCGTGGTTTCTCTGAAGTCTCCTGAGCTAACTTTGCATAAAGGTGTTATTCTGTACTTCGAGGAAGTGAATTATTGGGGTCAACCACATTTTTTTTCCTTCCTACAGTCTGATTGCCCTTTTTAGTTTTTAGGATCTTTGTGGCTGCATCATTTTTCCCCTTTTGAACTGTGCATTTTCTAACCCCATACTTAAATATTCTCATAACCTCCAAATTATTAATTAGATGCAACATTCAGTGGTATATTACTGGAGTTTCTGATTTCTGCCCACTATAGGAATGTGCTTCCTGAGAAGATTGGGATCGTGATTATAATAATAGTTAACAGGGGATGAGTACTTTCTAGGTGCCAGGCACTGTTCTCTCTGATACTTTATTTGATGTATTGTTGTTATTCCCATTCTTTAAATGATGCACAGAGAGGTTAGGTAAGTGACTTACTACCAAGTGTCAGGGCCATTAAGGGTCAGGATTCTGAATTCCTGAAATGATGAAATTTAGCTTGAAGAAATTGGTTTGATTTCCTGCTTAGTTTTCAATTTCATGGTGGTCTTTGATTGTATTTTGTGCTATAACACTGCCTTAGCATCCTATAACTATAGTTACAGTGTTATATTACCATTTTTTATTGTTAATACAAAGCCATCATGAAATAATTCAGTTTATGTGCCAGCTTTTTTTGTTACTAATTCTTGAACCTTGGCGCTGTACTTCTTCATGTGGATGCCTGTTAAGGAAAGATAAAGTTAGAAATCTTTGACCCTGCTAGGAAATTTGTCTTTGTTATATTGGGAGCTCATAAAACTGAAGTATTCAAAAGTTAGAATACATACACACAAGAAAAATTAGTAACTAATTTAATAATGTTTTCTTTGCACATGTCTCTGTTGTCTTTTGGTCAGAGTGAAGCTAAATGTGTTTTTCACATAATTTGTAGCCTATATGAAGTCCTGGACATGTGGTATGGTTGGAAGGACTGTTGATGAGGTTTATTGTCTCTCTTTATTCTTTTATGTTGTTAGTGTCCCCATACAACGGGGCGGGGGGAGTGGGGACAAAATGATAACTTGCTTTATATATGAAGCCTTGGGTTTGAATCATACTGTTATCACATTTCCTATGTCCCTATCCTGTCTCCTGCAGGTTTTCTTTCTTGGTTTTCTTTTTTGGTTTTCTTTCTTCCTTTCTTCCTTTCTTTTCCTTTCTTTCCTTTCTTCCTTTTTTCTTTCCTTTTCTTTTTTCCTTTCTTTCCTTCATTTCTCTCCTTTGCTCCTTTAGTTTGTTTCTTTGTTTCTTTGGTTTGTTTCTTTGTTTCTTTGGTTTGTTTCTTTGTTTCTTTAGTTTGTTTCTTTGTTTCTTTGTTTCTTTCAACAGGTCTCACTGTCGCCCAGGTTGGAGTGCAGTGGTGGGATCTCAGCTCACTGCAACCTCCACCTCTCGGGTTCAAGCCAGTCTCATGCTTCAGCCTTCCGGGTAGCTGAGATTACAGGCATGTGCCACCATTCCTGGCTATTTTTTGCATTTTTAGTAGAGATGAGGTTTCGCCATGTTGGCCAGGCTGATCTCAAGTTATCTGCCTGCCTCAGCCCTCCAAAGTGCTGGAATTACAGGCATGAGACACCGGGTCCAGCTTCCAGCAGGTTTTCTTTAGGAGGGATATTTTACAATGCTGTAAGTTTTTCCTAACGAGAATTATCATAGCACTACATGTTCTGTCTTCAGTAAGTGATACAAGCTTACTGATGATGTTGTAGTTATGTTCATTGGTGGTCGGGTGTACATTGAAACTTTAACACATAATAGCCTCTCCTGTGAGCAGTGGTTCCTGTTGGTAAGATACTTTACTAAGGGAAGGAATGTGAGGTGTCGCTGGGGAGAGTTTACCCAAATAAGGATGGACTTTCTGTCTTTGTTTCATCAGTCCTGGTAATAGAATGTTTGAATAGATAGCTCTAGGCATTACATACTTTCATAAATATGATTATTGTAATTACCTCTTTGGCCCAGTTGCTAGTAAATTAGGGACCCCTTAATGATTTATTTCCTGTTTATTCACCCTGATGAAGAACTTGTATCTCTTTTAAACTGTACTTTATCGCCTTTCTCAAATTCCAAGATTCTCATCACATTTTTTTTCTTCCCAAACTCTAAATAACCTTTTAATATTAAGTATCTTTGTGGAAACATTGTTTTCTTTTTCTATCCCAATTTTTAAAGCTTTTTTAAAAAAAAGAGTGCTTTTGTTGGGATGTACATTTTCCAAATGCAAAAACATTTATGATTCTGTGTCTCTTATAAAATATGACACTCTCTACTTTTCTCTCATTTATTTAGTGCCACCTATGTGTGTAATTTCATTACCCACAGCAGTCTTAGGAGGCTGGTCGAGTTCCTTATTTGCAGATGAGGAATCTGAGGTCCAGAGATCACTTCTTGGTGAGAGTCTCACAGCTATTAAGTATTAGAGCCAAGATTTTGAACGTAGGTCTGATTCACAGCAAAACCGTTAACCACTAAGTACACTGACTCCAGTAAGAGCCCTAGTCCTCACCCAATACACTTTAATTCCCCTGTGCATTCATTCAAATTCATTGAATTTGCTGCCTTTGGAAACCTCTCAGGAACCTCCTCAACCTCTCTTCTCTACAGACATCAGCTTTGCCTGATAGGTAGGGATCATAGCAAAACACAGTTTTCCAAGGTGGTGATAGGTGGAGTGATAGTGCTCTGGAGATGGCCAAAGAAGGAAGGTATGAGTGTATCTGTGGGTGGGTGAGTGGTGGATAAGGGGAAGGACAGAGCCAAAAGCGACGGCTATTGGAAAAACTATGATGAGAAACAGGAAGATGGAACCTTGTTGGAATTAGTGAAAGACCTTAGAATTCACAGGAGGTATTTGTCCTTCACGCGAGTGTAGACCAAACGTAACCTATGAGTTTCTTTTATTCCACTTATTAAAGCAGCAACCAAAGGTATTATATACCTTCTGTATTCACTTAAAATGACTGATTTTGAAAAAGTCATGCAAACATCCATTTACAGATAAGCCTCATTAACTCAAAGGCAGTGGCCCTGTTGGGCTCTGATGATTACTCAAACCATTTCTGACACTCTGACACTACATCCGGAAATCATCCGGAAATGCATTCAGAGCCTGCAAAAGCTTTTTTTTTTTTTTTTTTTTTTTTTGAATAGCTACAGCACTTGCAGATCTTCCTCCTTTGAGAGAATATTTGATTTTAGGAAATAAGCAAATGTAGATAAGTATGATTCAACTGGGCAATAACTTTTAGGCAAAGAGAAAAAAACAAAATATAGCAATGTAGTAATAAGGCTGATATTATAGTGCTTTTATGATGAGTCTGAAAACAGTCTCCAACATTTGTAAATGTTTTAAATCGGGTCTGTCTACTACAGTAGCCCTTAAGCCATATGTAGCTATTGAGCACTTGACATGTTGCAAGAGTGAATTGGAGACTGATTTTAATTTTATTTAATTTTAATGTAAGTAGTCGCACATGACCCGTGGCTACTATGGTAGATGGCATAGTTTTAGACAAGGGCAGTAGTCTTGGGTAGATACTTGATTTACTTAGAACATTTCTTTACCTAGCTGTAACAAGGTTCTAATAGCTGATTAAAGGACAACATTTTTAGCATGTAATATACAGTAAGGAACTAATGTTAATTACTGCCAAGATGTATAAACATTATGAAACCTTAAACAAGGATGAACACAGAAGCAGTGGCCCTTCTTTGTAAATAAGGGGTCAGTTACTTCCTAATAGGTGTCTTAGTTTTAGTTAATAATCTAATAGCACCCCCAAAAAGCAAACTGTTAATTTGTTATTAGCCATCCTGTAAAGACAAGGGAGAAATCGGGGCCAGGAGAGTCCTCTTTCCCATTCTCCATAATTTTTACGACCTATAGAAATAAGAGCCTAAGAGTGACCAGTTCCTGCAACCTAACTCAAAATTAGGCCTCTCTGTTGAAGTAATAGTGAGGCAAACAATCCCTTGAAGCACTGGGGCATGCACCCTTATGAAATCTAATAATTCTAAAATATCATTGGCAGTATTAAGCTAGAGTTCTCAAAATATGCTGTAGAAAATATTGGTCATTTAAATATAGCTGAGTAAAAATAAGCAAGATCAAAATGATAAGAAAATGTTGATTTCTCCCCTTTTGAACCAGTAACTAACTATAAGGGTATATACCCATGCTTAACTTAAAAATAATTATTTAGCCACCTTGGGTATAGCACAACATATGGATGCCATTATAGTCCACCTTGATCTTACAAGGAAGCTTTCTTTTAGCGTAGCTTTACTTTTATTTAAGCATTATTGAAGAAGCTTGGTATCTCTGTTTAAGTTGCTTCTGTATCAGTGTTTTCCAGGGCCCTGTCTCAGCTTCCATAGTTTTTCTTAAGAGCAGCTAATTAATGCTTCACTCCATATGCTTTAATTTGATATTTTGGGAAGTTTCATTTTTTAAAATAATCTTTTTATATCATAGGCCTTTGAAGACATATTTGTTTACAAAGACATCTGCATTGAACCATTTGTTTTTAAAAACATGTATCGGGCATGTTCTATATACCAGAAACTATGCCATTTACTGAGGACACCGAAGTTAGAGAATGGTCTTAATCCGAACTAGTTATTGTCTCACTATCCAATATGGATATCAAACATTCAGCGTCATGAGGATTTACTACTGTGTTTTCTCCCAAGAGTTTTATAATTTTAGCTCTTATATTTAGGTCTTTGATGCATATTCATTGATTTTTTTTTGTATGCAGTATGAGGTAAAGGTTGAAACGTATTCTTTTTGCATGTGGGTGTCCACTTGTCCCAGCTTCATTTTTTGAAAACACTATACTTTCCCCATTGAATTGTCTTGGCTTCTTTGTTGACAAAGGATTTATTATTTCTGCCACAACCCAGCTGTTTCTCACTGTCTAAACCTTTATGCCTGCTGCCCCGTAGGCTTAGTGGAATGCCTCTCCATCCTCCACTCTCTTTTGTTTAGCTAGTACTTCCTTATCCTTTAAGGGGTCAGTAGGAACCTCACCTTCTTCAGTATGTTTTCCTTTGTCTTATCAACCTACCACCATCACCCACACACATACCTTTTCCCTAAGGCTGGGATAGGAACCTCTTAGGCAATGATCTATTTGATAAGTACTCACTGAGTTCATACTAGACACTCTGCAGTATATCCGTAAATGAAGTAAAACCTGACACCACCCTCAGAAAACTTACTGTTAGTGAGAAAATGGGCTATAATAATAGAGTGGGGTAAGTTTATTGTAGGGATAAGCATAGGATGCTATGAGAATGCAGAGGACAGGAATTTAACCTAGACTTCTCAGTTCTCCCGTTGAAGTTGACATCTGAACTGAAATCTGGAAGACCAGTAAGAGATAGCTATGTAAAAAGAGGGGAAGGACAATAGGAAAGAAGGAATGGAGAGAGGCCCAGAAACTACAGAGTATGGCACAAGTAGTTTAGCATTGTTGGGTCACAAATTCTAAGGATATGAAAGATAAAGTTGAAGAAGTGGTGGGGCTGGGGAGGACAGCTCCTGTAGAGCCTTTTACAGCGGGAGAAGGAGTTTGGCTATGGTCCTGCAGGCAGGGAGAAACCACTGAAGGGGAGAAACATACAGAATAAATTTGAGTAAGAAGCTTAAATCTCCCCAAGCCCTTTTAAAATAAATTAAGATATAAAGCCTTTGGGTTTCTTTATGCTTTGTCCTATTCTTCTAATTGTCCAAAACAAAACAAAAACCTTCCTTTTCTGTACCTATTAAAAGGTTAATTTTATAAAGTTACAGACAGCATGCTGATTAAAGAATTCTTGATAATTAGCTATTTTGTCTGTCTTTGTGTAGATTACTAACAATTGTGTCATCAGATTTAAAAGATCTAAACCTCTGGACTTTATATATTTTTTCTACAAGTACTGTGAGATTGAGAACTTAATTCAACTCTAGTAACTGGACTTTTTAGTGTTGTTTGCAGCATATGATTGTTAAAGAAAGTTTAGTATATTTGTGTGTGCGTATATATATATATATAGATAGATAGATAGATTTGAGGTTATATTTAATCATTGACTATTGGTATTCTAAGATTTTAAGGAGAGAAAGGTAGGTTACAATATATGGCTGATATATGGTTCTGGAACAATTTTCTTAGTTTTCAGTAATTCTACCTAAAATGTACGTCCAGCTTTGCACTCACTACCACATTGTAATTTCCAGTATACTTGTCTATTTTTCGAGATGTTGAAATCTGTGGAGAATTTTTTCTCATGTTTAGTGTTTTAGCTATGTTTATCTCTAGGGTATAGCACATACAAGGTGGCAATATAGATGTGCTTAATGAATAAAATGATCTTCAAAAACTGACCTTCATTTGAAGTTCTATTTTATTCATAAACACATAAAACGTTTGGTATCACTGTAAAATTTAACTAAAAACAAAAACTATCTTTAAGCTCACAAGTTAATTTAACGTTTTTTCTTACACAGGCATTTGTAAAGGATGTTCATGAAGATTCAATAACAGTTGCATTTGAAAACAAGTAAGTGTCTCGTTATATAATTTTAATGATGAGGTTCTTTAATATTTTATGCTAATTCTACTCTTCATTTTTTAAAAATTCAAGTCCAGTTTGAGTGCTTTTCAGGAATGGATCTTCATGTTACTGACTGAGAAGTTTCTGAACAACTCAGTATTAAACTAATGGAATGACTGTTTCTGCTAATGTCCTGGAGGTCCCTTATTGTATGGTATTGATCCTTACGTCTTAATTCCCTTGAATGTGAAGAAAGAAACCAGAGAGTCTTGTGTATTAGTAACTGGAAGTTCGCATAGGAGTATTTGTAAATTTTAAAAAGATAGTAATGAAAAGATTCATGGGTATTGCTAAAAAGTTGTATGTGAGTTCTTTAACATTAAATCTAAAACTGATGGTTTTAGTTGTCTAGTATATTTTATGGAAACAGTCATGTTTACCTATTATCTGATTTTTTTTAATGTTTCATATGTTCAGCAATAGCAGTAGCTGATCTTTTCTGTTCTCTTTTGCTAGATGAAGAAATAAAAACAGTCATAGGCCTAGGAATATTAACTGTATGAAAGCATCAATAGTATAGATGTTAACATTTTATTGGAGAACACAAGTCTCTTGACTAAATGTTTTGAATGCTAATAAAGGCTATTTTCAGGGTAGCTGTTGGTAAGATTGTAAAGTACATATAAACTCCTTAGTCAAAGTGTAGATGTGGCTATGATCTTAGGATTTTACTAAACTCTGATGGATGGTTAACAGTTATCATTTTTTTGGCTCTTATATACCAAGAAAATTAATAATATATCAAAAGCAGGCTGCAAATCTATAGAGACAGAAAGTAGATTAGTGATTGCTTGTGCTGGGGCTGGTGGGGAGAACATAGCTAAAGAGTACAGGATTTTTGTGTGTGTGGCAATGAAAATGTTGTAAAATTGACTGGTAATTATTGCACATAACTGTAAACCTTCTATAAACCATTGAATTGTACATTTAAATTGATGAATTATAATGATATGTGGATTATGTCTGCTAAAATGTAGTATGTGACCCAGGCATACTGAGCAATAAATACACACATCTTGCTTCTAAAGTTTAAAACCAGGCCTGTGTTTCAGTGTCTAGAAAATATATTTCATAATTGAACTTAGCAGATTCTTTTGGCTAGCAACAGGACAAAGTAGTATCCTTAGATGCCTGAAACACGTGTAGGGGGACAGAGATAAAAGGATTAAAAGCATCTAACCCTATTTCTGGCTCTGGACTAATAATCGCAGACCAAAATACAAGTTTGAATAGTAGAATACCTTTCCCTGAATACATAAAGCCAAAAGTTTTAGTATTTGTCTCTTCGCTGTTTCATATATCCATGGCTATGCAATAGACAACAGCATCACACCAACAGAGGAATCTTTGATAACTTGGAGGGTATTTTTTTCTTACAATTATACACTTTATCTACTTACTTACATCACTAGGTAAATGCTGTTTCCCATAAAGGGAGAGTTGTCTTTATTTGCTACTCTTTTAGTTTTTCCTGTAGTCTATAATCTAAAGTGTTAAGCAAACACTCATTTCCTCTATGCATTTAAGAATTTGTCTAGTTTATACATTGATTTATTAGATCACTTCTTTTTAATTTTCAATCAGATTTCTACCATAAACTTAAAATTATTTCATCTTTGGACCTTCCAATTATTTATCTCCTGTACCATATCTGCATGAAAGTTTCTCTTCAAGCTCTTTGTCATCCTGGGAGTTTGAAATAGATCATTGATTTTTCCTTGTGTTCATGGAGTATGTTTGCAATACAACACTGGGTTTGAGCACATCAATAGGATTTAATAGGTCTCCACCAAAGTAATCTCTTTGCCCTTCCTTGTGTGTTTCCTTTTTGGTTTTCTGTTAGAAACAAAACGAAAACAGTGTTTTGTAAAACACCAGATTGTATTTACCCTTTCTTTCCTTTCAATCAGGAAGAAGCTCCTGTTACTGATAGCAGATTGTTTTAGGTGCTTTGTTTTTAGGTGCTTCCTAAACCTTCCATAAAGCATAAAGGTGTTTTCATATTTCACATTTTTTAATAAGGAATTTGAATTTTTATCTGTATACACTTAAAATCATTATTTTTTCCTTGGAACCATTGAGTTATATATTATTATATGCTTTAAAATCAAATTTAGCAATGAATGTATAACATCTATTAGGTGTGTATAATAACTCAGAGGAGGGTTCAGTTAATTTAGGCCCTAATCAGATTTCCACAAATTCTGACTTAATATTTGCCCGCTTATATAACAGCTCTTCTTTAACAAAAACAAGTACTTTTCTCAATAGAATTTTACTAAGAAAGCTCTTTAGTAAAACATCGACATTATACATACAACATATCTCAGTATCTGCTGATGAAGAACACCAAAAAGAACCCAGATGTGACTGCTCCGGAAGTTGAATCCTCAGTATTTTTGCAAAGTTTGTCTTTCAGTATTTTATTTGTGTGTGTGTGTGTGTGTGTGTGTGTGTGTGTCTATATATATATATATTTTTTTTTTTTTAAAGACAGGATCTCACTCTGTCACCTAGGCTGGAGTGCAGTGGCATGATCATGGCTCACTGTAACCTTGAACTCCTGAGCTTGAGCTATCCTCCCACCTCAGCCTCCCGAGTAGCTGGGACTATAGGCACATACCACTGCACCTAATTTTTTTTTTTTTTTAATAATTTGTTGTAAAGATCAGGTCTTACCTTGTTGCCCAGGCTGCTCTTGAAGTCCTGGCCTGAAGCAGTGCTCCCACCTCAGCCTCCCAAAGCTCTGGGATTATAGGCTTGAGCCACCGCATCCTAATATTTTATATTTTTATGGATATAAAAAATAATTTGGTATCTTTCAGAGTTGTTTAATATCATTTTAAATTTAAAAACATAGGCAACTTAAACTCCTATAGGCTGTCTCCATCGGGTTTCTGTGGTTTAGGAGACCCCACCATCCCAGTGCATGCTGATAACGTCATACTGATCAGCATCCAGCTACCCACAGCAAGAATTGACCACCTCGTGGGATCTAAAATTTAAAGGGGGAAAAGTGAGTTGTGAATTGCTAATGTGCTGATAGCCCCATTTTGCTTGGGAATTAGAGGGCAGTTTTTGTGGTCCTTGGAATGTGGTTAAAATTCTTCTGCAAGTGGAAGCATATTTATATTACTAACAATTACTGGTACTAATATTCAAATATTGAAGGAAATTTCTGTTGTGGACTTATGTTTAAAGCTCTTAGAAGTTGAAATTATTGGAAAGAAGACTTGTTTTGAAAATCATAATGTTGCTGTATTGTGTTTAGAGAAATATTCCAAACGGGAGTAGGCTGCTGTGCTGCATGCAGACTTTGCTGAAATGTTACTATATTGCCGTTATGTCCCACTCAGCAAAAACTGATGATTTTAAAGCTTTTGCTTCTTGAAACTAGAAAAAGAGGGGTCAGCCTTAACCAAAAGTTGATGGCAGAGTGGTCATTATTTCAGTTAAACATGAAAAGCATGTTAAATAATTGTATGTTTGCTTATTTACAGCTGGCAGCCTGATAGGCAGATTCCATTTCATGATGTCAGATTCCCACCTCCTGTAGGTTATAATAAAGATATAAATGAAAGTGATGAAGTTGAGGTGAGTTTTCCCTGCCATAAAGTCATTTAGCACTGAAAGAGTGGGGTTAATTTATCTGTGTTTTTTTTTAATACTTTGTCTTTAACACTGTTTAAATTACTTTGAGAATTACAGCTGGAATGGACACGTGCTTTTGACTAACTCATCTTATTAATAATTCAAAATGATACATGATGCTTACATTTGGCTATTTGAGCAGTACTCAGAGCATGTATTTGAAAGTCACTGCCGCAAGTTCCTTTGCCCACTAGTAATTCTTTTCTCCTTCTCTCAATTTCTGAATCTTTGAATAGTATGTTGTTTGTTTACAACTGTGTCCCCATTGTAAGCAAAATGGATTATGAAAATTAATTTTACACAGGAAAGAAATCATGCTTTATTACAAAATAGTATACTAGAATTTCTTTAAGTAGCAGTGAATCTTCTTGGTATATTTTTAAAAACCTACAAGCTTTAGTTTATACATATTGGTAAAATCTCTTTTTCACAGGTTATACCGTGAACTACCTGCTTATCTCCCGTTGAGCTCTTTGACCAAAATGTGCTATGGAGATCTAACATGTGAACAGAAATGTTGTGTTTGTGATTTCTTTCTCCATTAGAAATTGGTTTTGTATTTAAGGCGCTTACAGTGCCTCATATAGTTTGTGTGGTATCTTCTCTCCTTTGTATCCTTTCACATACTCCATTTTGAGCTGCTTCTCTTCTTTTTCTACAATAATAAGCATAATGCCTTACTATTAGTTAATAATAGTTGCCGTTCCATGAATATTTGTAGTATGAAGGATGTCGCTAAGTAGACATTTGTGCAGGTGAGGCAGAGTGGTTCTAGGTCCTGTCCTTCAGTTCTTTATTTATTTATTTATTTATTTTTTGAGATGGAGTCTCACTCTTGTCATCCAGGAGTGCAATGGCGCGATCTTGGCTCCCTGCAACCTCCGCCTCCCGGGTTCTAGCGATTCTTCTGCCTCAGCCTCCTGAGTAGCTGGGATTACAGTCGCCCACCACCACGCCCAGATAATTTTTATATTTTTAGTAGAGACGGGGTTTCACCATGTTGGTCAGGCTAGTCTCGAACTCCTGACCTCAGGTGATCCACTCGCCTCGGCCTCCCAAAGTGCTGGGATTACAGATGTGAGCCACCATGCCCAGCTGGTCCTTGAATTCTTATTTGCTGCACTAGGTAGTAAAGGTGTAGCAAAAACAGGACAGAATCTTCTGCCTTTGATGAAATCACATTCCAGTAAGGATAGCTAATATGACAGATGTGAGTCTTAAAGAAAAAAAAAGGGAGAGGATGAAAGGTGATTTAGGGACAGGATTGCTGTTTCAGAGAGTAGTCAGGGAAGATCTCTCAATGTCCAGGCCTGTGTTTTTCTCTCTACAGTTTTAAAGTGGACATAGGATATAGTGTTATTTATTTTCCAAAAATGTAACCAATCTCTACTAGGTGTAAGCAGCTGGGCTTGGTTTTGCAAGGGATCTTAATAGGGAACAGAAACACTGTGTATGCTTAGCTGTCCACTTCCCCAGAAGACTGTAAGCTCTCTGAAGGCAAGACCCAGGTCTTTGGTCTGTATTAGGAGTACCCAGAATAGTGTTTGATGGAGGGATGAAAGGGACTTTTTCTCCCCAGCTTGGTCACTTGACAGATCGGGACCAATGAGATACCATTGCTAGGATGACCTCACTGTCTTACACACCGATTCGTTGAGGTAATTTCTCTGGCTAGAGTAGTTGAGAAAGATGGAAGCAAGAGGGAAAGGTATGTTAAGTTGTATTCAGTCACTGTATTGTGTGATCATTAACTTTGGTTGTAAAAGGGAGACAAGTTCGAGCTTTTACTCTACTTGTCAGCCCTAGACTTTGTACCTCTCTTGGCCTCATGTCTTTATCCCCCTTGTCTTTCTTATTTCTCTTTTCTGCTTCTGAGTATCCCTGTCTCTCTGTCCATATATACTCTGTTGTCTCTTTTCCTATTAACCTTGATTTGCTAGGGTCTTCATGAAAGGTTCCATGCTGTACATCTTAAGTGAACTTTGAAGTGGTCATCAAAGAGATCAGTTAGAAGAACTGATCTGCAGTGTGTGACAGACCAGGAAAGTGATATCCAGAGGATTGCCACCATGAAGTTGTCATTTTTAGTGGAGAGGAAGCAGGAGACCAGAAAGTGACCAAGGATCTGTCCATTTAGTTCCAGGAGATATGACTGCCAGAGTGGTATCCTTAGTGGGCTGAATGTTCAGTGGTCTTACTTTAGTGACCAAGCAACAAGACAGTAGGGCATGGTCAGTAACTTTCAGTCAATTTTTGCTTACTAGGATAAAGCAAAAATAAGCTTATACATTTTTAGATACATTTTTTGTAACTTGCTGAGTACCCAAGGAAAGTGTGCTTGTATTTATGGGCGTCTATTTTCAGAGCACTAATTATTGCTGAATTAGAACAGAAATATAGGAAAACTGATTTTTACAAGGAGCTTCAAAGCAATCTCAGGTAGTTTCTGATTATGTATCTCTGCCTACCTCGGGGTACATAGACAGGGTTACAATTTGGTTGAGGATATATGACATGTGGTTTTTAAAGACACCTAGGGGCATTTTAAGAAAATTTCCTCGATATCTGAAAATCTGTAGATTTCAAAATTATGTTAATCATGAAATATTCTGTGTTGTAATTTTTGTGTAGGTGTATTCCAGAGCAAATGAAAAAGAGCCTTGCTGTTGGTGGTTAGCTAAAGTGAGGATGATAAAGGGTGAGGTAGGAAAATGCCTATTTAAATTTTTTTCTTATATTGTTTCCTTTTTTTAAACCCAGGTTGTACATTCCCGTGTGGATTTCTATTTTGAAGTAATATCTAATTTTGAGTAATTTAATTAAAATGTTTTCACTATGTGTTCAGTATGTTTCTGTTGGTCATAAATTTTTTCACATAGATTATTTATTTTAAAATAACTGAATAGGGAGAACTTCTTATTCTTACTTTAAAAATTGTGATTAGAAGTGACTTTTATTTATTTCTCAGTTTTATGTGATAGAATATGCAGCATGTGATGCAACTTACAATGAAATTGTCACAATTGAACGTCTAAGATCTGTTAATCCCAACAAACCTGCCACAAAAGATACTTTCCATAAGATCAAGCTGGATGTGCCAGAAGACTTACGGCAAATGTAAGTTGATACACAAGAAATGCTGAGAACTTGGAAGTGATATGCAATTAGTTTAGAAGAATTTCTAGTAGTTTAAAATTTTTTAAACTACTAGAAATTGATTTTAAATTTGGTGGACTTTGGCAAAAATGGTTTGGTTTGCAAGAGCAATGGAGAAAAAACTTATTTAACTTTTCCTACTTATAGAATCAAGGCAGCCTTGCGCTTGTTTAAACTTACTTGGCTATACACGTGTCTGATGTACATAATGTACATTTGTTTTCTAAACTAACTTTGTTCATTCTAAGATTTAAAAACTGATCAAACAAATGTGATAATTCTGTCATAAGTCACAAACTATAAACGATTTCTCCGTTTTTTTCTCTTTTACCTAAAATGTTTTCAGATAAATGTGTAATAAGTAGAGCCAAAGAAGCTTTAAAAAGTCATCTCATCTTACAATCCTTGATCTGGAATAATGCTTAAAGACTATAGAAGAGACGCATTTTTATTTTTTACAGATTTTATTAAGTGAATACAGTACGTTTGATTTGGACATGTTGTTGAACATTAAATTGCAGTTCAGAATACATAGAAATCCTCCCTTTTCTAGAGATTGTGTATGTGTGTAAATTTTTGTGCCTTCTGGTTCATGTACGTTTCCTTCTCTCCCTCAAATCGTTTAGCAGTTTCTTACCCCATTCTCCGTGATGTGCTTATTTCATATTGCATGCCTGTATCAAAACATCTCATATGCCCCATAAATATATATACCTACTATGTACCCACAAAACTAAAAATTAAAAAAAAAGGAAAAAAAAAGGCCTGCAACAAGAGAAGAAGAAAGAAATCAGATACCCTGTAGGTAGCTATCTCCAAAAGTTTTCAATAGTTGACTTAAGAAAACTACTGACTTGTATGTAACTGAAATCAGGAAACCTGTAGTGTAGAGTGGTTCCCCTGAATATGTCTCTTTTGGTAATCTAAGCTGTATTTCAGAAATGTACAGAAAAGGAGCTAAGCTTCTAAATGGATATAGCATATTTTGCATAAATCAAATTTAATATGAATCCATGATTCTTGTATGTGTAAATCTGCCTGCATTTATTTATGTCAGTAGTTGGTAATTATTCATCTTAATTTTTTTTTTTAAATTTCTAGGTGTGCCAAAGAGGCGGCACATAAGGATTTTAAAAAGGCAGTTGGTGCCTTTTCTGTAACTTATGATCCAGAAAATTATCAGCTTGTCATTTTGGTGAGCATTTTTGAGTTGTTTATTTTTAGTTTAATTCATCTGGGGCAATTGCCTTGATAATAATGTTGTTAATTTAAATCATTTAGTCCATCAATGAAGTCACCTCAAAGCGAGCACATATGCTGATTGACATGCACTTTCGGAGTCTGCGCACTAAGTTGTCTCTGATAATGAGAAATGAAGAAGCTAGTAAGCAGCTGGAGGTATGTCACTTTCCCTAGCACTGCTTGTAAGGGTACCTAGGAACGATTAACTGTATCATTCCACAACTTGAATATGGGGAGCTTGTCATTTATTTACTGCTTCTTAACAATTCCTTAGGTTCTATAGTTGGAAAATTGTACAAAGCATAATCATACTAAAGTTTCCATGCCTGAGGTTTCAAAATTAAACAGCAGCTTATGTATATTAAGGGACTTCTGGTACTTTCACTTTTACTAGAAGTTTATCAAAGTTGCTAATAAAATGCGGCAATGCTTCTTCCATATAACATGTTGTCATTAAAAATACTAGAGAATATTTAAATATCTAATCATATTCCTCTCATTATGTATGTTTATCTTTGTTTAAAAGGGTATAGAACTTCTTCATTCTAATTGGTTGTCATTCTTTAAAACTCCTGTCTTCAGATTCCCGCCAGAGGCTATTTCCCTAACTTACTATTTTGTCTCTTAAGGTGCATTTTATCTACTTTTATTAATCCTCCAATAATTTTCATCACCATATATTTGTTTTCATTGATAACTATCAAGTACGTCCATCCATTACTATAGAAACTAAGTGGATCTTAGATGAATGTGCCAGCTCTACTATATTCCTGTCAAATTCCAGAGTTCGTCATCATTATTCATTAGAAGGAAAACACCACACATTTGAAATAGTAAAGAAAAAAAGGAGTTCCAAACTGCATTTTAGGAGAAAAGGTAGTCAAGACTGTGTTCTTATAAAAACCCTGTGAAATTTGCCACCTGTCAACTTGATGTATGATGCTGAACTCTTAGCAGAAGGGGAAAAGTTTAATCTCCTTTTGCCACTTTGTTTTTTCTTAAGGCCATGGAGGTCTGTTTAATTGGTCTTTGCTCTCATTCTTTCTTGATGTCCCTGTGTTCATGATTTTGTGGTTCCTTCAGTGATTCTCTCATAACTTTTAGCCCAGAGCTGCCTCCTTACTTTGATTGTGAGTATTATGAAAATATACTCATATGCCTCTTAAACATCGAATTATTCTTAAATGATCTATCATACTTTTGGCTAACCATTTATCAGTGAATTATCAATGAAAAAGAACGAACCAGATTAATGAACCAGGACTCAAAAAACATGACTTCTTGAAAAGTCCTAGAATTATTTTATAGATTTTATTACTCTAGTCTAAAAAAAATGGGTATTGCACTTTTAAATTATTTATGCTAGTTGTATTCATTCATTCAAATTATCAGGTCTGTTGAACAATGAGAAACTAGTATGCATGCCTATCTTTCTTCACTACTAATATTAAAGAGATTTACATGTTCCTATAAGAAATTCCCATTTTTCAACATGAGCCACTAATACGTTTGGTTTTCATTAATGGCATGCTAGAACTGAACACTAAATTTTGATAATGGTATTTAAAGACAGTGGTTATCCACAAGTTTGGGATGTCAGTGTAACTTAGTTTCGTCATCACTGGATATTTACAAGTGCTCATCATAATTGTGGATCCAGATCACAAGGTCTTACGGACTCTGGTCTCATGTTAGCTTTCAGATGCTTACTAAGTTTTTAATTTTTGACATTTTTTGATTATTCAGTTTAACTACTGTACCAACAATTTTTGATTCCTTAGGTTTTGAGGGAGGTGTCATTTTAATGTCATTTCAACAGAGGAATGTTTAGACCACAGTACCTAATGATGTTATAAAAAATGGCACTGTTTCCAGAAAATATATACTGATACCTTTTAATAAAAATGAAGCGAATAAAATTTTCTATAAAGATGATATTTAAACATTTTTTTACCTAAATAAGTAACATTGAGTTTGTCAGACCGAGTGAGCTGGTTTTTACTGGGGAACATTTGACCTGCTTCTTAGTTATTATATTGCTGATGTCATTGGTTAACTAAGGCAGCCTTGTGATAAGTTTTCAGCAGTTACCTTGGAAAATGTCAACAAGTTCTTTCCTATTAACAAAAACATATAAAATGTCATAGACCTTTAGTAACCTAAAAAGTACTTAGGCTGTGAGAGGTATTTTCTAAAACCTGTTAGTTTTAACCTAAAACTATTAATAATTTATGGACCCCTCATATACAGGGTCAAGATAATTTACATGGCTGGCCTAAATACAGTTGTCGTAATAGTTGATAAAGTGTATTCATCAGACGTCCATTTCTCTTCAGAGTTCAAGGCAGCTTGCCTCGAGATTTCATGAACAGTTTATCGTAAGAGAAGATCTGATGGGTCTAGCTATTGGTACTCATGGTGCTAATATTCAGCAAGCTAGAAAAGTACCTGGGGTCACTGCTATTGATCTAGATGAAGATACCTGCACATTTCATATTTATGGAGAGGTAAATATTTTACTGCATAGTTTTTTTTTCCCCAAACAAGTATTTCAGCTGGCTAATCTTTTGTCTTAAAATGTTTCCCCTTTTATTAGGATCAGGATGCAGTGAAAAAAGCTAGAAGCTTTCTCGAATTTGCTGAAGATGTAATACAAGTTCCAAGGAACTTAGTAGGTAAGTCAGAAGTATCTGTTGACATATAGTACAACAACTAAGTTTAGGTAAACAGTTTATTTATAGTGATAGAATTCCATTTTTTCTTACTGGAGGGTATCATTTAATTGAAACATAGTCTTTGAAATATGATCTGTTCTTTTTTTTTATTATTTAAGTTTTAGGGTACATGTGCACAATGTGCAGGTTAGTTACATATGTATACACGTGACATGCTGGTGCGCTGCACCCACTAACTTGTCATCTAGCATTAGGTATATCTCCCAACGCTATCCCTCCCCCCTCCCCCCACCCCACAACAGTCCCCAGAGTGTGATGTTCCCCTTCCTGTGTCCATGTGTTCTCATTGTTCAATCGATCTGTTCTTACAGCATACAAAAAAATATTTGTTAAGTATGATGCTCAAAGGTTACATTTTCAGAAGGTATTCAAAAGAGATTGCTTTTCTAGTTCAAACCTACTAATACCTGAAAGGATAAATCTTGCCCAGCCCTCCTGACTGTATACCTTTTATATCTTAAAATTAAATAATTTTTCAAAATGAATGATATTTGGGGACTTTATGATTTGAAATAGATTTGTATTTGATCTTTCTTATGGGACTATAAAATGATAGCATTCATTTTAATTATCTCAGGGTTGAAGATCTGAACATAGGTTACTTAAATCTAAAAAGTTCCAAAGCTAGAAGAAACTTCAGATGTCTCTGGGACTTTCTGCAAAGTCAATAGTAATTCTTCATTTTGACTTGAGTAGTGTTTTATCACCATCACCATCGTGAGTATCAGCAAATATTTAGGAGCTCTTCACCAATACTCCTAAATGCTGCAGATATCTTTAGTAGAACATATCAAAACCAGGTGCAGTTTTATCAAGAAAGCTACATATGTTTTTAATTTGTAAATAAAATTGGGACATACTGCCTATATGTTTTTTATCTTTTAAACTTGAGATCATGGCCATTTTATATAAAGTAATACATGTTCTTTGGAAACTTTAAAGAAGAAAGCAAGGACTTCTCATACATTCTGTTTACGTAGTTTCAATGCTAATTTAGCCTGCTTTTTTGTCAGCATAGACTCATAAACATCTTCCTTGTCATTAACAAACACTAGAAATGATAAATGTATCTCCCAAAGAAAATTAGCTTGAAGATAAAGTGCAAATAGTAGGAAAATAATGCAGAAGTGTTAGCTCAACTGTGTACTACAGACAACTGGAGAAATGTGTTTGTAATGTTACTAAGGTAACTTGCATACCAATTGTATGTGTACAGAATGTATGCATAGCGCAAGATAAAGTGCTAATCTCAAGACAGTTGGGTGATGAATAATATTTATTTTCTTCTTTACAGCTTGTCAAGCAATTGCATACCTTTTGTAGTTAGAAAGGTTATTGTAAATTTAGGAATTCTTATGGAAAAAGAGCTGGTAGTTGTTTTGTTTTTTTTTTTTAATAGCAAATGAGTAGAGAATTATGTGTCAGATTCATTAAAGTTGGTTTTGAAGATGGCATGATGGTAGTGGGGAAAGTGCTTGGGCATTGGAGTTGGATCTGGATTTCAGTCCTACTTTATTCTTTGGTGGCAATGTGAGCGTGGGTCACTGTCTTAGCCCCCCTGAGAATTATTTTTCTTACCTATCAAATGTGATAATAGGATCCACCTCATAGAGTTGATGTGATAATTAAATTGGAAGATATAGTAGGGGACAATTCTGGACACAGTAGGGGACTCTGTTCTTCACCTTATTCAAAACAACTCCATTTCAGTAGAACAGAATCACAGTAAATTGCTCTTTGGGATTTGGAAATAAGTGTAATGTAGAATTGGATTATTTGCTATTAAATATTAAAAGTAGATTCTACCTGTGGTTACCTGGAAAGAAGAGGATCTCAGAAATAACCAGAAAGACTGCTAAAAGTAAATCAGCCTTGTTTTTGTTTTGTTGTTTCTAGTTAGTAAAATGAGATAATTCTGTTTTAGAGATGGTCCACTGCAACACTGGGAACGTTGGAACTTTTCAGAAAGCATTTTTGTGTAAGATTCTGCAAGGCAGATCTTTAGAGAGGTGTCATAATCAGTTTTGCATGTGTTTTGTTTGAGTCAACCAACGTTATTTGTGATCTCTATTTTTCACAAACTCTCTTTGGTATGTGCACTAATTTATCTTTTCATTAAAATTGGATTCTTCACTCACTAAGAATGAATTGGTATGACTATTCAGTCAGCTATAGTTAACACACAGTACTTAGGATAATTAAGATATTATCTTAATAAAAACATCCCCAAATCTCATTTTTCATTTTGTTAACTCACTTAGATCTTTATTAAAGTCAACATTAATTCATGAAAATGTAAGTGTTGCAGTTTAAAATCAAACTGTGTGAAGACTCCAAGTAGCTTCTCTCACCTCACCTTTCCCCTTTTCGTTATAGAAGAACAGAAATAATTGACAGAAGGACCTAGACCAAGAATCCTGATTTAATGGTGTCAGATCTGTTCTATGACCAGTCAAAGAGTTTCTAGGGGTGAATGAGGCAGCCACACACAGCAAGAATGTCAAAGCTATGCTCTGATTACAAGAGCCACAAGAATTTTTTGTGAGAAGGCTTTTCACTGAGTTCTTATCTAGCATTGGCTCAAAGCAAATTTTTGCTTCCATCTTTTCCCCCAACTTTGCCTTGAGCTTTGCCTTTAAAGGCGAAAAGGAAAAAATGGAAGATGAGATGGTGAGGGCAAGCACATGGTGGATGTGGCCAATGTAAGGGTACTTAGGTACCTTGGGTGAGCCCTCAGAATCAGATGTAGTTCACATGTACATTTCCAGAATTAGTAATTCTTAAGTTTGTAATGTCTTGCTTTACCACTCGTGTCATGATGCAAATGAAAGCAGTCATTTTCCAGTAATGTATATGATTGTAAAATAAATAAGGAAATGATCAAGTACCTATTTTTTACTGGTACTTGAAATCCCAAGTTTTAATAGATGTTACTGAAAAATACTTAAATTGGTTTAAAGCTTTTTCATTGTGGTTTTGAGTTATCTTAAAGTGGGTTTTCTTAATCTTTTACTCTGTGACTAATCCCTTCACTTTTTAATACATTGCTAAAGTTTGTAAGTAATGCACAGGAGTGATACTCTGTTAACACATTGACCTTGAAGAATTTGTATTCCTTTTGGATGTATGTATAGCTGCTTAAGCCACTTTCAGACTTAGATTATCTTTTATAAATGTGCCTTCCATACAGAATTCTGAAAATATTTACCATGGACAAAGAAGCAGATTTAAATCAGGTACAGACAAGAATTGAAAGTGTTGAATAAGTGAATATATTTCCCATTCTCTCTACTTTTTTCTTAATTCTTATAGAACTTTGCAGAAAGAATGATACATACCACAGTACCAGCAAGTTTAAAGCGTACCCTTTTGTGCAAAAATAAGAGGTTATCTTTGAACTGCCTTAAAAATCCAAAATTACCCTATCAGTTTGCAAGTATTAATCAACTCTGGTACCTGACCAAAGGAGTTTAAACAATGATGTCCTAATTAAACAGAAAACCAGATTAACCATCTTGTTGAAAAGAGTCTCTACTTTGGTTTTGAAATCTTACAATTCAATACATACACATACACATAAAAATATCTATCTATATGAATGTAATAGTTTACAGTAGGGCTGTGCTTACTGCTTTGAGGTATGTGTTTTTAAAACCAAACTTGATTTATTTATTTCTTAGGCAAAGTAATAGGAAAAAATGGAAAGCTGATTCAGGAGATTGTGGACAAGTCAGGAGTTGTGAGGGTGAGGATTGAGGCTGAAAATGAGAAAAATGTTCCACAAGAAGAGGTATGTTACAGTGCGAATATTTTGTGGCACATATAATAAAAGTAAAAGTTTTTTATGTGATATGTTGAGGACCTCTAATATGTGCATAAAGTGAATGCAAATATTCTGATTATCAAGCATGCCTGCTGTAATTAATGTTATAATTGTAGATAATGGCCCTTCTCTGTCCTCTAATGCAGTGAGTTTGGATTAGTCACTTTATTGAATTCTTTTTTCCTGATCTTTAAAATGGGTAGTTATAAATTTTTAAATATGAGACATACATCACTGGGTCGAGTGTTAATGGCAATTTAATAAAATAATATATATGTAAATGCTTCGTAAAGCACTTTGTAAATGTTAATGTTGCTGACAAAAGCAAAATTGGAACACAGGTTTTCTGGCTTTCATCTTTTCACTTTTTTAGTGTGGGGATTGTGTAGTATGTGTGTTTATTCTGTGTGCTTTAAATTTATTTCTGTGCTTAATATCTCTTCCCCATCCTCCTTACCTTTAAATTCTGTAACCCTTTTATCTTCATAAATATATGCTTTTTGTAGCAGCTTTTAAAGTATTTGCATGGGGTAGAGAGGTGAGGATGCACCTTTCTGTGCAATAGTACTCTTAAGATACTGTCTCATCAAAGAGCCGTAATTTTCACATATTGTCTAGCTTTCTTTTTGAAAGATTCTTTTAGCTAAAGTTAAATCTTTTTTTTCTGCGTACAATTTGTATTCGGTAATTTTATAAACCAAAACTGTTTATAATAACTTACATTTTTTAAAAATATGATGATTGATAACACTAATAGAGCTAAATAAAGTCTTAAATTGGTCCTTTTTTTCTCTTTTGTGTTTTCTGTTTTTTACCAAGGAAATTATGCCACCAAATTCCCTTCCTTCCAATAATTCAAGGGTTGGACCTAATGCCCCAGAAGAAAAAAAACATTTAGATATAAAGGAAAACAGCACCCATTTTTCTCAACCTAACAGTACAAAAGTCCAGAGGGTAAGAATTACTTGTCACTTTGAATTACAATACAAGTAATTTGTCTCAGATGTCACAATTGGTATTTTGGATGTTTTCTCTGGTTAGACTTGTAGGCTACTTATGTTCTATTTTTTTTCCAAATGTAATTGCCAGCTTATGAGATACTACAAATTAGTGTGATACATACTTTTCAATTTATTCACAGTAACAACTCTTATGCCATAAACACAAAATAATGGGGTTGCATTTAGTGGTCACATTTTTCTTTTGACAGTGGACTCTCTTTTTTCCATGCCTTCTCTCTTTAAATTTTGCAGGTATCGTAGCTCAAAATACACCTTCTGTTAGTTGCATTAGTTACTACTTGAACCATATTTTAGAAACTAATTTTCTCTGTTTGAACTAATCTGTTTAGAAATGGGTTTAAAAGTCCTGCAGTGAAAGTCCTGCGTTCAGGCTTCTGTGTATCGTTTGTTATAGTTAATGACATCCCTTGCATTCCTTATACTGCTTTAGGTGTTAGTGGCTTCATCAGTTGTAGCAGGGGAATCCCAGAAACCTGAACTCAAGGCTTGGCAGGTAGGAAAACATTCCTTGAGAAATACACTTTCAGTTTATATTTTAATGTTTATTCCCCTTGTTAACAAAGATTACAAATGATCCTCAGGATTAGGGACTGGAGGGAGGAGTGTTTGTGGGTATGTGGATCCATTGCCCTGGAGTTAAAGCTTAAACACCTTCATGCCGCTTGTAAGGCTTTTCCTAATTACTTGTCTAGTTATCATCTTTAAATTATCTTCTCCCTTGCACTCTAGAGAACCTTAAGCCATACTGAAGTACTTTGAGTTCTCTGAACATTCTCGTGCTTATTTTGCTTCTAGACATATGTACAGGTTTACTCTGCCTGGAATGCTTTTTCTCCTCCACATGTCACCTCATTTTGACCTTATTCCTTACAAAGCTTTCCTTGTGTACTTGCCGAAGATCCCCACCCCCTTGACTGGTTCAAGAGCCTTCCCCTTCTGTTTTGCAATGTGCTCACCCCTAGCATAGCACTTAAACATAGATGTTTATTTGTTGATCTCCTCAACCACATTGTAAGTTCTTTGAGGGCAGGGAGAGCTGGTGAGAACTGTTTATGGAAAAAAATGTTGTGGACTCATGGATTAAAAGCAAAGGTGCCATTTTACAAAGAGGACTATAACGGCAAGTGGATTGGATATGTCTCATTGCCGGGCAGCCCATTATTCCAGAACACAGAGTAACTTTTTTCTGGGGTCCGTACTAAAGGCCATCATTCCATTCTTGCCTTTCTTCATTTTAATTTACTATTCAGGTCTACTCGTGAAGTGCTTAAATTAGAGTGGCCCTTGGGGTACTCCAGCAGTTTAGACATGTTGCAAGAAAAGATATTCGTAAATAATTTGCTCCGAAGTCAATCTAACTAAATCTGTTACATAGGATTTTAAAGCTATTTTGGTGATATTTGACCCAGAGGGAAGGGTGTAGCATTCATTCCATCACATGGTATTTTGGGAAATAATACAGTTAAAGGCTTTTGTAACAAATAAAGCTTGTTGGAGAAAAACCCAACATGCAGAAATGAATTGCCAGTTATTAATTTGCACAATTGTTTCTAGGTTTCCCTATAACTTGTGACAAGAAGTAGTTGTTTTTTTTTTCCCTCTTAATATATATATATATGGGCTAGGAGTACAGACATTTAGCATATGCCTTTTAAAAATCTGTTCTTATGTTAAGTAGTGTCCATAGAGAGAAGTTCAAACTTTCCTTGTGATTCAGCCTTTTAAAATTTTCAGAGTACATTATTGAAATGTGTATGGGCTTGATAAAACTTAATGCTTGTCAATGTACCTATTTTTTTGTCTCACAGATTATTCAGTGCATTTTTATCCTGATGTTTTTGTTTGTATTTTGTGTGTACTCTATTTACTTGGTTAGCAGAAATGATTTACTTTTTACTTTTGTACCCTTGGTATTTCATTTTGATTTTTTTTTTAAGAATTTGATCGGCCAGGCGCGATGGCTCATGCCTGTAGTCCCGACACTTTGGGAGGCCAAGGCAGGCAGATCGCCTGAGCCCAGGAATTCGAGACCAGCCTGGGCAATGTGGCGAAACCCCGTCTCTACAGAAAGTACAAAAATTTAGCTGGGTATGATGGCATGCACGTGTTGTCCCAGCTATCCAGGAGGCTGAGGTGGGAGGAACACCTAGGGCCTGGGGAGGTCGAGGCTACAGCGAGCCATTATCATGCCACTGCACTCCAGCCTGGATAACAGAATAAAAAGACCCTGTCTCAAAAAAAAAAAAAAAAAAAGAGGCGGAGGCGGGCGGATCACGAGGTCAGGAGATCGAGACCATCCCAGCTAAAACAGTGAAACCCTGTCTCTACTAAAAAAACAAAACATTAGCCGGGCGTAGTGGCGGGTGCCTGTAGTCCCAGCTACTTGGGAGGCTGAGGCAGGAGAATGGCGTGAACCCGGGAGGTGGAGCTTGCAGTGAGCCGAGATCCCGCCACTGCACTCCAGCCTGGGCGACAGAGCGAGACTCCGTCTCAAAAAAAAAAAAAAAAAAACAAAAAAGAAAAAAAAAAAAGAAAAAATTTTGATCAGGATAAAGCCTTTCATAAATGAATTAGAGCATCTTATACTACTCATTTTGTTTATACATCTCATGGTAAAGCTTGTATAATTTTGAATTATACATTTTGTGATTTTGCTGATACTGAATACTAGTCTTTATAATAATCTGATACGTTTAAAAGGTTGCTATTGATCTATTCGTATTCACAGTAGATGTGTAAAGTAGTATATCAACTACTTTTGTTTTCATATATTGATTTATATTTACAGCAAACATTTGTATACCTGCTGTTCACCAGATCCTGTGCTAGGGAATTAGTCGTTATTTGCATTTTTCAGATTAATCTATCATTACTTTTATAGGATCATTGTTGCAATTTCTTTTTCAGGGTATGGTACCATTTGTTTTTGTGGGAACAAAGGACAGCATCGCTAATGCCACTGTTCTTTTGGATTATCACCTGAACTATTTAAAGGTGAGAACAGAAAGAACTTTAACTTCTAATCCTTTTGTACTAAAATATACAAACTTTATAGTAGATCTTTCAGCAGTTAGGACTCATTCTAGCCTGTGCAAAACACTGTATGACTTGTCAAAGGTAATAGAGAAAATACGTTGTTTGGCTTATAATTTTTTTAAAAATGGAAGTCTTTATAAATTTAAGTACCAATATACCAGTTTTCAATAAAATTTTATACTTCCCTTTATTCTTCTCTTAAACCCTTACACTCAGTTTAGGCAATCCTGTACATAGCCTGTTAATCCATTTGATCCTTTCTAGCATTTTGGTTTTTTCCAGACAAAAATCTGTGTCTATAACTCTTGCCTTTATTGTTCCTTTTATGTCATTTATCAAGGAAATCTAAGCATTTCATGAAGTTCTTTGTTTAAATGTTTACCCTATTTTTCTCTTTACTGTTATTCAAAATACAAACTATTTGTGTCTTCTCATAAATGTTCAGTTTAGTTAGTGTGATGCGGTTATGCCTCCTTAAAATTTCAAACTGGAAGATAGGAACGAGGAGGCTACAAGGTGTAGTGGAGCAAGCACTGGATGGGCAATGCAGCAATTTACTTATAAGACTTCAGCAAATGAACTAGCTGTGTGACTTTAGGCAAGTCACTTCCCTACACTAGATGCTTCTTGAAATTCCTTTTGGCCAAAATGTTCTATACTTTAATGAAATGGAAACTGATCTACTTCATTTTCATAATGTTTTATTTGTATCCATACATATCAAAATTATAATGTAGCTGGTATTAAATGTTTTTAAAAAGCATTTCAACTCTATTTATGGCATTAAGAATTTTTTTGCTGATTTCTTGAAAGAAATAAAAAGTACATGATTTCTGCTTGTGTGTAAATAAGAATGAAAGGAAGAAAAAGTGTAATACTGGGCATGCCATTCATTCTTATGGTGGCCAGTTAATTAAAAGTGGAAAGGTTTCATCCAGCAAGGTTTACATGGGTAGGATACCTCTTTGATTTTTTTTTAAGTATGTTTATGTGTAATCTCTCTGTGTGTGTGTCTCTCTCGTAATTAGCTTAAATCATCATGAAGGCCTGGAGAGTTAGGATTGCATTGTATCAAATCCCTTGTTCTTTTGACTAATGTTCTTTCTTAGATCCTTTGATTTATTCTCAAGAATATCTTCTTTGGTTATCAGCAGCTGCCCTGTTGCCATTCTTTCCATCACCAGAACTTCCCTCGTTTGGGCCTGGCATCTCTCACCAAAAGGTGACTGCTTTGCCCCAGTGGGATAACCTGGACTACTCTTCTGTTTTGCAAGATATTCCTATTCCATGAGCTATTACTATACCTTTGGAGGAAGTCACTCACTCAGCTGCAGTCTCTCCTTTGCTCAAATTCTATGTAAAACAGATTCTGGTGTAACTATGTAAATTGCTAATGATGGCAGAGCACAGATGAAACGGACCAAATCCTTACCTGACCTTTCTTTTCCAGAAGCTGCCACAACCAAGATTTTAGAAACTTAGCTTTACAGGAGCTTCTCCAATGACTGTTCATGTAGACAGTCTCTATGATAACCTCTGCTTCACTGAGACGCCTACTACTACTATAGTTATGAATCTGATTCCCCGTAGCCAGTAAATGAGATGTTTATGAGTGGATTGGAAGGACAGTGGTTAGAAATGAGGTTTCATCTGGTTTTAACAGAACCCAACATACTGGAAGTGCTTTTTGTAAGGGTCTGTCATTGGACCCCAGGTGTATATTTCTATCAACTAAATGTATACTGTTTCTCGTACTTGTTGTAGCAGAGTTGTAGTCTTTAGGAAGTTTTCAAGGCATGATGTAAGACCTAGCTGTCTGGTCAGCTATTAAATAGTTTTGTTTTCCCCTCATGAGGAATAGTCAGCATTTTCAGTTGATGAAAAAATCATTGTTCCTTAACCATAGTATATGTTCTTTTAAAACAAAAGATGGCCCAAACTCAATGCTTTGTAAATTAAGATATTAACTGGCAAATCTATTTTAATCAAGATTATTTACAATGTGTGATTTTTAAGGTTAGCTGGTTATACCTTGAATGTCATTTATCTATATTCATACATTTTAGCATGTTTTATTTAATATCCTATCATGAAGAAGTCCCCAAAATAGCATATCTGTGCCTTAGCAGTAGAATAATTGGATAATAGTGCCAAATTAGACAACTTTAAATTTTATTCAGTATAATTTTACTGCTGAGTGTTTTTGTTATATCTCTAATTCTTGACATCAATAATCTGTTATCTGTAGTAATTTTCTTTTTAAGGAGATCATTCAATTTCCTGATAATTCTGTGTAACAGTGTTTACTGTAAATTTAGAACTGAAATTGAAATATTCCAGTATATTTTTATCTGATGAAAAGGAGAAAGGTTTTATTAAGTAAAATGTCAAATTATTTTTACTGTTATCTTGTATATTTTAAATAGGAAGTAGACCAGTTGCGTTTGGAGAGATTACAAATTGATGAGCAGTTGCGACAGATTGGAGCTAGTTCTAGACCACCACCAAATCGTACAGATAAGGAAAAAAGCTATGTGACTGATGATGGTCAAGGAATGGGTCGAGGTAGTAGACCTTACAGAAATAGGGGGCACGGCAGACGCGGTCCTGGATATACTTCAGGTACAAACTAAGCATTTTACTCAGTAACTTTATCTGTTCCTAGACTTATAGCTGCTAATCTCTAATATTCATTAGAACCCCATTATAACAATTTGCCGCTACATGGTTTCCAATTCACAGTGGGTTAAATTGTGTTACAGGAGACATAGAGTAAAAACCTGATGATAAACACGTAGAGTTCACAGGGCCGGTGCAAGTTCTGTTCATGCTCTGATTGGGGGTAAATCTGCAAAGCCCTTGTGTGTTGATGATTTTCTTAAGGCCTCTCCTGATTTTATAACTGTATAGTCAAAACTTTTTTCATTTGTGTACTGTGGCTCATTTTTATTTTGTCAGGTATGTGCTGGTCATACTTGCTGGATGGACTGTGTAAATCAGGGGTCTGCCTCTTGTGGCTCATAAGGTGATTTTGAGTGACATGGCCAAAGTCAGCCCTAGGCACAGTCAAGAAGTAGGCGAAGTTTCTCTTTGCCTTCCCAGCTTTTCTGTCCGTGCTTCTTTCTTCTCTCCCAGTACCTTTCAGTGAACCTGATCCCCACCTGCCAGTGCCTACTGTCTTTCTTGCTCAACAGTGTATCTCCTTTGTAACTTGCTAATGATGGTATAAGGTATAATCCATTTCACGCATATTTGCATTTCAAAAAGGAACTCTTTAAGATGGAAAAGCCTTCAAGATCCACAGGAATGAAGCTATAATGGTGAAGCTATAATTGGTCATTAGCTCCAACAGAGGAAGAGAGAGGTAGTAGAGCTGATATTCTGGAGTTGGGGAGAGTTACCTACTCCTAAGGCCAACCTTGAACCTAACCCCTAACCCCTCTCCCAACAGTCTGTTCTTTTTACTCATGAATTTCTGCCTCACCGTGGAGCTCTTTTTCTCCGCTCCTGTCCTCTAAGTCGTTAACCCCTTCAGGCATAATGAATTTATTATAGTAATTCTTTATTAATGATCAATTATTGTAATGGGAGTGGGAGGGCAGGTTGTGGACCAAACATCAGGCAAGCATGTATCTGCCTTCAGCTAGATCCAATCCATGACCCACAAGAGACCCTTCCCTGAAGCAGTTGCCATGGTGGCCTCCTTTGCCACCCTCTCAGAAATGACCAAAATATATACATTCCCCTCTGTCCTGGGCCAAATCTTGCTAAAAGGAGCTCTCTTTTTAGAGGTTTTGTTTATCAGGGTATCACACTTAACTGTCGTGGATAATCTTTTCCTCCAGAGAGTATAGATGTTTAAAGGAACACAGCTATTTAATGATATGGCACATCAAGGTTTGAACTTAGGTGGCTAATAACATACCTTTTTAAAAATGAGAATGAAACATGTTTATAACCAAAATTAACCTCAAATATTGCAAAGCCCTTCATTTTGAGTTTAAAATTTTGTTTTATGAAATGGAAAGTGATAATACTCTTTGTGGGCTTATAAATTGGGAAGAGTTTTGGATTACCCCTGAAACGTCTCTGGAAGCTTCTGTTAACCCTCTTTTTTTTTTTTTTAAAGTCAGACAATGGTATATAACTTTTAACTCTCGATAGGAACTAATTCTGAAGCATCAAATGCTTCTGAAACAGAATCTGACCACAGAGACGAACTCAGTGATTGGTCATTAGCTCCAACAGAGGAAGAGAGGGAGAGCTTCCTGCGCAGAGGAGACGGACGGCGGCGTGGAGGGGGAGGAAGAGGACAAGGAGGAAGAGGACGTGGAGGAGGCTTCAAAGGTATGGAGATCTTCATTAAGAAATCAAAGTGAATTGTAACAGCTGTCTTGAAGTTCCATGAGAAATCCTATTGATGCAATGAACTGTTACCAAGATCCCATCTCTCCCGTTTTGTGCTGATACCATAGGAAAGGATCAGCCTTCCACTTGTGTAGAAAGAAAGAATATTAGGCAGCCTTCCTTATGGTTCATACAGATATATGAATAAATGCTGATAACTAATTCAGCATCTTGGTGGGTCTAAACAGCATCCCTTCATTAACTCACATTGACCTGTAGATGCAGAATTATAATAACTGTGAAATATTTTCTGTTACTTAGCAGCAGGCTAGATTATTAGCCATTGTGTAACTGGAATCACTGGGGTATTGATTACATTTCAGATTCTGTGGTTGGTTTAAATAGAGGGTGTGGGAATAAAGAACTTCCAGTAAGCATTTCAGAATCAGTAACTGTTGAACCTTTTGAAAATATTCTCATAGGAAACGACGATCACTCCCGAACAGATAATCGTCCACGTAATCCAAGAGAGGCTAAAGGAAGAACAACAGATGGATCCCTTCAGGTAAAACCTGTCTGCCTCTTTTCATCTTAATTGTTTGAATATGGTAGTTTGAGATTTATGAGTTTATTTTACTTTATTAAAAACATGTTCAAAGATTACAAATCCAGTTTATGTGAAATATTTTACCTTCAACATTACAATTGTAGTCAATCTTAGTTCTTTGTGACAAGTATACAAATAAGAGGATTTCTCTAGAGAATATGCAGTCTGAGTATTTGTGAAGACCTTGACAGCCACACTATGATTTTATTATTTATTATTTATTTTTATTTTTTTGAGACGGGAGTTTCGCTTTTGTTGCCCAGGCTGGAGTGCAATGGCGCAATCTCGGCTCAGAGCAACCTCTGCCTCCCGGGTTCAAGTGATTCTCCTGCCTCAGCCTCCTGAGTAGCTGGAATTACAGGCATCCACTACCATGCCCAGCTAATTTTTGTATTTTTAGTAGAGACGGGGTTTCACCATGTTGGTCAGGCTGGTCTTGAACTCCCAACCTCAGGTGATCTGCCCACCTTGGCCTCCCAGTGTGCTGGGATTACAGGCGTGAGCACTGTGCCCAGCCACACTATGATTTTAATACCACATTGGTAGACCTGCAATCCCCCAGAGAAGGAACATCCTGGGATGTACTTAGAGACCTCAGTAAACCTTATGTGTCTTTGCTCCCCCAAATTAACAGGGATAGGGTATTCTCTTTGAATAGAAAATAAGGAAAAGAAGGTGTCTGTCTTACAACTAATAATCATGATAGACAGAGCTGATGATATTCAGCTAGTCTCCATGCTTGGTCAGTCATCTGCTTATTTACAGCCAGGACCTAGTCCGAGGATCTCTTCTCAATTGGCTGTCACCAGTGCTAAACCAATTGTTAAATAATTTTAAAATTATCTCCTGAGCACATCCAGGCACCTTTGCTAAGTGCTTTGTGTATGTTTTATCTCATTTAATCTTACAGCAACCCACTGAGGTAGTTTTATTATTCCACTTTATAGGTGAGTGCACTGTAGCTTCAGTCCTTTGCCCACAGTCACATAGCTAGCATATGTCCAAATGATAGTCAAACCTTAGTGTCTGATTCTCTGAATCTATGTTGTCGTCTACTTTTTCTGTAACTTTTAATTATTAAGTAGTTAGGGTTCCTTCCTGACTATGGATTCATTTGGGACCATCACCCAAGATTAGTGAGAGATACTTTTTAAGACAAAGTTTATGATGGAATATTTCTTGGAATTCATAGCAGCTCAAAGTAAGTGTTAACTATTGGTGGGTTCTTAAGGACCAGCATGTCCAAGGGATAGATAGATTGGTAAATTACTGTATGTACCTGTCTTTTACAAAGCTATAAGATATTTAAGTACCCGTTTTGTAATTTTCCACTTAAACTGATATGTTTGATGAACTTGGCAGTCTAACTGCATTGGTTAAAAGGATGCACATTTATATTTCTAAATGAAATGGAATACTGAATTTAAAAGGTGATGTTTTCTCTATTAAGTATGAAAATAGATACAAATCTGGCCAGGCGCGGTGCTCACGCCTGTAGTCCCAGCGCTTTGGGAGGCCAAGGTGGTCAGATCACCTGAGGTCAGGAGTTCGAGACCAGCCTGGCTAACATGGTGAAACCCCATTTCTACTAAAAATACAAAAAATTAGCCAGACGTGTTGGCGGGCACCTGTAATCTCAGCTACTCGGGAGGCTGAGGCAGGAGAATCGCTTGAACCCAGGTGGCAGAGGTTGCAGTGAGCCAAGATCTTGCCATTGCACTCCAGCCTGAGCAACAAGAGCAAAACACCATCTCAAAAAAAAAAAAAAAGGGCCAGGCACGGTGGCGCACGCCTGTAATCCCAGCACTTTGGGAGGCCAAGGCGGGTGGATCACAAGGTCAGGAGATCGAGACCATCCTGGCTAACATGGTGAAACCCCATCTCTACTAAAAATACAAAAAATTAGCCGGGCATGGTGGCGGGCACCTATAGTCCCAGCTACTCAGGAGGCTGAGGCAGGAGGATGGCGTGAACCTGGGAGGCGGAGCTTGCAGTGAGCCAAGATCGCGCCACTGCACTCCAGCCTGGGCGACAGAGCGAGACTGTCTGGGAAAAAAAAAAAAAAAGATACAAATCAAAGTACTGAATCCTTGGTAACGAGACATTTAAAACACATGCACATACCCACTACTTAAACATACTTTGAAATTACAACCATTTGGGGATGTTTTTAGCATTTGTGCTTGAAGTAGATCAATATTTGTAGTTGTTTTAGTTCCATTTGTCACTGTTAACTTTCATTTGTACCTCTGGAATTAGCAGTGCTGTATTCAGCATTGGCACTTAAAATATTTTATAGCTCTTAGAACACTATTTTTTAAATTACATTGATCTTTATACTCTCCTAGGATTCCAGTCCTTCCACAAATTATTATATGCAGTTTTCTTTATACTGTTCCATTCTTCAGACAGAGTTCAGGTTGTAGGATCATCTGAATTTTCTTAGTGAAATACAAGCCAGTAGAAACCAAAGCTCGTGTTTTTCTACTGTATGACTATGGGAGCTCTCAGTATAGAGAAACTTGATCATACCTGTGATAGATATAAAGATGTAAATTAAAGTCTAGTTAGTGAGTTATTTGAGGGTAAAGCCAGAATAGGAAAACATTTTGTTTCTCTTTTCCTGGGCTTCACAATCTTTGGAGAATAACTAATTTTATTTTAACTCTAGTGTTAGAGGCATGTATGTCTTCTGGTAATCAGTAATAGTAATTCATTTTACCTGTTTGTTTCTCACTGTTTTATTCTACTTAGAAGAAGACATGATAGGATTGTGAGTTTTTCTCTAACTTTGGATGCAGTGAGATGACCAGTGTGTTCCAGTTAAAGAAGAAGAGTGTTTTAAAATCATAAACCAAATAAAGAATCCTACCTTACATTAATTTCTTGCACTTCTTCTGTTCTCATCTCCATTTCTCTTTTTAACATGTGGAATTTACACTTCAGGTTTAAATTTCTTGTCAGGCCAATTACAGATTACAGTAGGATATGGTCTGTGTATATAACAACTATAACTTGTTTTAGATCAGAGTTGACTGCAATAATGAAAGGAGTGTCCACACTAAAACATTACAGAATACCTCCAGTGAAGGTAGTCGGCTGCGCACGGGTAAAGATCGTAACCAGAAGAAAGAGAAGCCAGACAGCGTGGATGGTCAGCAACCACTCGTGAATGGAGTACCCTAAACTGCATAATTCTGAAGTTATATTTCCTATACCATTTCCGTAATTCTTATTCCATATTAGAAAACTTTGTTAGGCCAAAGACAAATAGTAGGCAAGATGGCACAGGGCATGAAATGAACACAAATTATGCTAAGAATTTTTTATTTTTTGGTATTGGCCATAAGCAACAATTTTCAGATTTGCACAAAAAGATACCTTAAAATTTGAAACATTGCTTTTAAAACTACTTAGCACTTCAGGGCAGATTTTAGTTTTATTTTCTAAAGTACTGAGCAGTGATATTCTTTGTTAATTTGGACCATTTTCCTGCATTGGGTGATCATTCACCAGTACATTCTCAGTTTTTCTTAATATATAGCATTTATGGTAATCATATTAGACTTCTGTTTTCAATCTCGTATAGAAGTCTTCATGAAATGCTATGTCATTTCATGTCCTGTGTCAGTTTATGTTTTGGTCCACTTTTCCAGTATTTTAGTGGACCCTGAAATGTGTGTGATGTGACATTTGTCATTTTCATTAGCAAAAAAAGTTGTATGATCTGTGCCTTTTTTATATCTTGGCAGGTAGGAATATTATATTTGGATGCAGAGTTCAGGGAAGATAAGTTGGAAACACTAAATGTTAAAGATGTAGCAAACCCTGTCAAACATTAGTACTTTATAGAAGAATGCATGCTTTCCATATTTTTTTCCTTACATAAACATCAGGTTAGGCAGTATAAAGAATAGGACTTGTTTTTGTTTTTGTTTTGTTGCACTGAAGTTTGATAAATAGTGTTATTGAGAGAGATGTGTAATTTTTCTGTATAGACAGGAGAAGAAAGAACTATCTTCATCTGAGAGAGGCTAAAATGTTTTCAGCTAGGAACAAATCTTCCTGGTCGAAAGTTAGTAGGATATGCCTGCTCTTTGGCCTGATGACCAATTTTAACTTAGAGCTTTTTTTTTTTAATTTTGTCTGCCCCAAGTTTTGTGAAATTTTTCATATTTTAATTTCAAGCTTATTTTGGAGAGATAGGAAGGTCATTTCCATGTATGCATAATAATCCTGCAAAGTACAGGTACTTTGTCTAAGAAACATTGGAAGCAGGTTAAATGTTTTGTAAACTTTGAAATATATGGTCTAATGTTTAAGCAGAATTGGAAAAGACTAAGATCGGTTAACAAATAACAACTTTTTTTTCTTTTTTTCTTTTGTTTTTTGAAGTGTTGGGGTTTGGTTTTGTTTTTTGAGTCTTTTTTTTTTAAGTGAAATTTATTGAGGAAAAATATGTGAAGGACCTTCACTCTAAGATGTTATATTTTTCTTAAAAAGTAACTCCTAGTAGGGGTACCACTGAATCTGTACAGAGCCGTAAAAACTGAAGTTCTGCCTCTGATGTATTTTGTGAGTTTGTTTCTTTGAATTTTCATTTTACAGTTACTTTTCCTTGCATACAAACAAGCATATAAAATGGCAACAAACTGCACATGATTTCACAAATATTAAAAAGTCTTTTAAAAAGTATTGCCAAACATTAATGTTGATTTCTAGTTATTTATTCTGGGAATGTATAGTATTTGAAAACAGAAATTGGTACCTTGCACACATCATCTGTAAGCTGTTTGGTTTTAAAATACTGTAGATAATTAACCAAGGTAGAATGACCTTGTAATGTAACTGCTCTTGGGCAATATTCTCTGTACATATTAGCGACAACAGATTGGATTTTATGTTGACATTTGTTTGGTTATAGTGCAATATATTTTGTATGCAAGCAGTTTCAATAAAGTTTGATCTTCCTCTGCTAAATTGATGTTGATGCAATCCTTACAAATGATTGCTTTTAAAATTTTAAGCTAGGAAAAGAAATCTATAGAAAGTGTTCTGTTACAAAATGTAACTGTTACCATTGGAAATTTCACGTCATAGGAAGTTAGCCTTTATCTACCAACTTTCAAGAACTTGTTTAATAAAGCGAAAAACTCAACCAAATGGTACAAAACCACAGTGTACCATTAAAATATGCACTAAGTCTCTTTTTTACAAAGGCTGTATTCAGCAAGGCGCTAACTTGCTTAAATGTGAATTACTAACTTCTAAAACTGTACTTTGATTCACATGTTTTCAAATGGAGTTGGAGTTCATTCATATTACAATATTTGTGTGCTAAACGTGTATGTTTTTCAGTTCAAAGTCATGATGTTTTTAAAATCTTATTAAAGTTTCAAAAATCTGAAGATTGTTTATCTAGATGTAAATTTTTATTAAAAAGTTGCACTTATGAAAAAGCAAAAAATTAGTCTGACAGATGTTTGCTCCTGGTTTTAAATTTCTACATTTGACAAAAACTAATGATATGTGGGGGGAAAGTTGTGCAAAGTAAATGTATGTTGCAAATAATCTTTTATGAGCCCTTAAAAGGCAAAAACGAAGACACTTGAAAATAATTCTCCATATTCCCAGACATAAAATTTCAACACATTTATTACATAGGGTGCCACTAAACCATATTAAACATATACTCCTATTTGTGCACACATGAACATACCCTGCCCTTTGGAAAAAAGTATGTCTATGAAGTAAAAAAAAAAAATTGATTTAAACGTCTCAGTAATAAAATAAATGAGAGGTTTGTAGGTAGAATGTGCCTGGGAATTGACTACTGTAATCACTTCAAGGAACTCTGGCACAGCCTACCCGCCTAAAAGGTACAAATGGAGAGGTGACAGTGTCAGTGTTCTACCCAGGGTTAGAATCCAAAATGATGCTAGACAGCCTCCTCTGCATTGATGAGTTTTTTTCCCCAGAAAAATAACTATTTTCTGCTTTTCTTGTTTTTCATTCTGATGCTTTTGTGGTTCTTTGCTACCCATTCTGTCTAACTGGGCATCATTAGTGGTGGGTAGGCTGAAACCATACTCAAGTAACTTGTTTGGATTTTCCTTGTTTCACAGTAGTTTTCAGCACTACACATGAACAGCCTGTTGGAGGCAGCCAGCTTAACACTCAACTTGGCTCTCTCAGAGCCATCTCTCTCATCTGATGATGGTCTTAGAATTCCTGGTGGCTCGGAATATACGTCTTTTAGAGGCAGCAAAATGATTCTGACCCTTTTGAGCCAGTTTCAGTTTCATGGCCATAAACAGCCTTGTGAACCTCTATGCCTCTGATAACCAGTTATTCTGAAATAGTCATTACCATGTGCTAGTCTTGATTGTTCATAAGGCTTAATGTACCAGAATTTAAATCTTGAGCATCTTGTTTTCTCTGTTTATCTGAGGTCATTTAAAAAGTTTTATTTCAATTTCTCTCTATGTACCATAATGAAACTGGGAAAATCCATTTTATTTTAATTTTTTTTAGTATACTAAGGGGTTTTCTGTTAGTGAGAGAGGCTTGCTCTGTGTTAAACTCACAGGGAAGAATTATCCTTCCCCTGGAATACAGACCCAGGGTGCAGCTAGCAGTGCTCTGGCCTTTGCATGAGAGAATAATATCCATGTGTCTCTTCCTGACCTTTTGCTGACAAGTTTCCCTCATTAAAACCACTTTCTTCTGTGTGGCTTTGTGCAGTTTGCCATAACCCATTACCTCAAAAATGGTGCCCAACATGAGGTAAAATCCGCTTATTTCACCTCTGGCTTTTTGGAAACTGCAAAAGGGATCAACTAAGCTATACTAGGGATGGACAGCATCCCTGCTGGGGCTGGTGATGGGAAACCCAGCCAAGCTAACATCTGCAAAGCATGCTAGTGTGGTGCTTATTGGTGTTCATGTGCCACAGAGGTCCTGGGAAGTTTGTGTAAGGGAGATTGAGACAATTAAATCCTTTGGCACTCCAAGTCTGGCAGCCTCTGTGAGACCTAAGGAAAAAGAAGTTGGGAGAAAACCCTCAGCACCTAAGTGCCATTAGAATAGTTGATGCAGTCTAAACGTTTTTTTGTTTGTTTTGGTTTTTTTTTTTTTTTGAGACAGGGTCTCTGTCACCCAGGCTGGAGTGCAGTGGCATGATCTCAGCTCACTGTGGCCTCCGCCTCCCAGGTTCAAGCGATTCCTGTGCCTCAGCCTCCCTAGTAGCTGGGACTACAGGCACCTGTCACCATGCCCAACTAATTTTTGTATTTTTTTGTAGAGATGCAGTTTCGCCATGTTGGCCAGGCTGGTCTTAAACTCCTAACCTCAGGTGATCTGTCTGCCTTGGCCTCCCAAAGTGCTGGGATTACAGGCCTGAGCCACTGCACACAGCCACAACTTTTAGATTTGAGACTTGTCATTGTGCAGTGTGCCACCCAGGGGCCTTTGGTAGGAATTGAGGTATATCCTGTGGGATTTCAAAGACACTAACAGGGAATTGGACTCCCAGCAATGGTCACAAGAGTAACCTGAGGCTTTAATTGTTTATATGATGACGAGGCTACACCTACAAAGTAGTGAAGCTGAATGGCAAGCACTTTGGGTTTATCACGGGATTCTCTTCTGCCAGATGAATTTGCTAGGCTGACCAATGGGGAGGGAGCAAATGGACCTGCCTTGTTCTTGAATTGGATGTTCAGGGCAATCAGATTCACATAACCACCAAGAGGAGACTTCCTGAGAAACTGAGTGCCAAGTGAACCATTCTACTGAGGTTAAAGCTGTTTTGAGACAACTTGGCATTTTTGCATACTTGCATGAAAATCCTAGGCATCTAGGATAAGTAGTAACCAAATGACCTTAATTCAGAGAATGCTGGAAAAGTTGATGGTTTCTTATACGGAGACATCCCTAACTTTGCTCCTTCTGCCAGAGTGTAAAGGATGAAATAATCCTTTGGAGCTGATATATGCCCCACCCAAAGTGGGGGTAATGAGATAAGGGGCCCTGGAAAGAATATGTCTCAGCAAAAATGAAAAGTCAAGGGAAGAGCATCAACTCTAGACTTTTCCTAGGCTTGCACAGGCAGTACATCATGACTCTTGGTCTGCAACAAAGTGATGACTAGCTAAGGAGATAGATAGGAAAGGTAGAATCACTCTAAGGAGCTTGCAGAGAGAAGGATGCAGGAAACAACACTGATATTAGAGTAGGCATTAAGAACCCCCCTATGGAGAGCTGATGCAAGGAGGTTCTGGATGGGAGGGTTCCCTTTGGAGATGGAGGCAGTTAGCTTTCCCCACTGCTTGGCCAGCAAAGCTCCAATGCCTCCTGCGTCCTTGTAGAAGGGTTTAGAGGAAGCTAAGCAGTTGGCCACATCTTAACACTGCTGAAACAAGACTCTCAGACACTCCCTACCCCCAGAGGCCTCTGTGCCACCTGAGAGATTGATTTTCTAGGCCGATTGCTGGGGAGCTCTTCAAGTCCATTTAAACCAAAAGCAAGCTTGGCCCAGGGCCAGTTCCTCTGCCCTCTTCAAGGAGATGCTAACTTCATGTCCTAATCCATGTAGCCTGGAACATAGATAGGGGAAGGACTTAACAGACCTAGACTTAATAAAACACAGGAGCCCAAGAAGCTGTTATTCTTGGACCTGATCAAGTCCACAGTAAATTTCCCTGGCTGGAGTTGGGTTTGGTTTTACTTAGAACCAGGAGACTCAGCATAATTACTGCAGATGCTGTTGGCTGCTTTCATAAGACCATGCTCACTCACCATCCCTTTGTCAGACTCCACAGTTGATATGGACATGCTGAGTCCCCTCAGCCCAGCAAAGCAGAACATCTGAATGGATGCAAACATGGCAATGTCTCTTAGTGAATACTATAAATCAGTCTTATTGAGTTTGCAGAACCCCCTGCACTTCCAAAGCCTGTCGGAATTGTGCAGTTGAAGCTGGCACATACCAAAGATGAGAAAGAAAACATTCCCCTCATACAAGATTTACTGCCATTGCCAGGAGGGAATGGTAGGCTACACTACCTTCCAATTCCACAACCCTGTTAGGCCAGTGAGCAAATCCAGTGTCTTTGGCCCCAGATTACAGATCATTATGGATCATTGTGATTTTAACAGTGGCCACCATGGCACTCACAGTGCCTGATACACCAACAGATGACTGAACTGATTGCAGCCATTACTGGCAACGTGGTATGTCCTAGAGCTACGCTGTCCAGTTCTTAAGCCACTAAGCCATATACGGCTGTTGAGTACTTGAAATGTGCTGGTCTGAATTAAGACGTGCTGAATGTGTAGAATACACGAGATTTTGAAGACTTGGTTTGAAAAGATGAATGAAAAATGTCTCCTTTTTATATTTAGCTGTTGAAATATAAATATTTTAAATCTCTTGGGTTAACTAAAATATGCCATGAAAATTCATTATACCTATCTCTTTTTTACCCTTTTTAATAATGACCACTAGATAAGTTAAAATTGCATATGTGGCTCACATTATATTTCAATTGGACAGAATTACTCTAGATACTACTAATGTTCTCCAAATTTCTCCAGAAACAGAAGAAATATTTTGCTTTCACCTGACAGAACATTAATTTCTGGTTTGTTGTGGGAATTTCACACTCCTCCAGCAAATAAGTGCAATTTATCAGTAATGGGTTGGGCAAGCCCATTCCATTATATTGATGACATTTTGGTAGTGCCCCTCACAGAGGAAACTGTCCTCACTGTAATGCATGCTCTCTAATCTAAGCACAAGTGTCCACAGGTGGCCTGGCCCTTGAATGAGGATAGATGCCAGAGCCAGGCCACCCAAGTACATATCTTGGGGGCTGTATTAGCAACAGCCTGAGGAGACATTCCATAGCATAATAAGGAAAGTCTATTGGCCTTACAGACACTACCAAAAAAAAAAAAAAAGAAAAAGAAAAAGCCTATGATCTGTTCGGCCTCTTTGGGTATTAGAGGCAGCACATCTCACATTTCAAAATGTCATTCAAGCATCTGTACCTAGTCACCAGACTGGTAGCCAAATTTAAGTGGAGACCCCTACAGCAAGAAGCCTCAGAAGCAATACAATAAAATATAACCTGATTCCCATGGAGTTTTATGTATCTATGACAGGTCTTACATCTGATACACCTGGCAACAAGACTCTGCCAATACTGGGGTGGGAAATCTCTCCACTGCTGAATGGTACGTGCCTTTTAAACGACAATTATTTGTCCATTATAAATCTCTGGCAGGGACTGTTGTCTCACTAAAGGGAAGTGATTGTCAGATCTAACATCCCCACTCTACAATGGGTTCACTGAACCAAATTTCATAAGATTAGTGTATCAGTGAGTGTATCCACCAGTGAGGAAAACAGAAATCACACCACTAATTTTAACAGAGAGTTTGATGTACGGATTGGTTAAACAGATATTAAAGGGCTGAAAATGCAGAACAAGAACATTAAGGTAATAGAGGTAGGATCTGCAGGAAGCATCTACCATCCTGAGGCCTGGTGGAATGAAGGGATGAAGCTAGTATGATGAGAACCCAAAGCTCAAAGGAGGGGCCCATGGAATTAAAACTCCAGACCTTTAGGAAAGGGAAACTGCTTAGTTAGTACTGGTATCTTGGAGGCAGAACCTCATGGGGCTTGGACTTAGACCACTGAGGAGAGGGTGCCAGCCAACTGACTGATGCTGGTGTCTGAGGAGGCATGACGATGCTGGCTCAGAGAGTGTGGAAGGAAAAATCTGGCAACTGGATTCAAGTGCTGCTACTGGAACAAACTGTTTCTACCAGAGTGAAGAACTAACATCTTCAAGTCTCCTTCTAGAGCCCCTTGTTGTCAGAACCTAACAGGAAGCAGCTGGTGAAGGAGAAATGTGATGTGCAGAGTCTCAGCCCCAGCATCACAGAGCAGATTATAGAAGGATAGTTTGGAACTGAGAGACAATAATTTAATAATTGGCAGTGTGTGACAAGCCACAGAAATGTGAAATGGAAATAGTACATCCAATTGAGAGTCAAGCCCACTGCAAGGATAAGTGGTTGCCTATGCAGTAGGTACGGAGAAAGTTTCACTCCTGCTTTGCCTGAGCAACTGGCTCAATGATGGCATCAATTTCAATGGAAACTAAGCCATTGGTTATAATGATGATAAGTGTTGATGTCCCATGGCACTGGCTGCTCTGCACAATTAATAGAAGTACTTCAAGTGGTGCTTTTGAGCAATAAAACATTCTGCTTCTTGAATGAAAATGTCTTTACACAGACATGGGCTGCGCTACCGGCCTTGCTCTTAGGTCAGGATGTTGGACCACCCAGGATGAGACCATTAAAGTCATACGTATGTGCTGCTCCTTATGGAAAGAGATGCACCTCATCCACAGGCTCAATTAATAAGTCACATATTTATTTGTCTCTTAAAAAAGGCCACATCCTGAGAAAAGCAAAACATTTGGAATGAGAAAGTCAACTGAGCCTCTGAGCCATCCTATTTATGGTGACCTACTAGATCCAGATTTAGACCCACCACAGAAACAAAACCATCATGAAGGGCTGTCATACAGAAGTCAGAACTAACTCATACTGGCAGATTTACTTTATAGGTCCCCCTGCCCCTATGTAGGTCCGTATAGTGGGTCCTGACTGCTTTAGACACACTCTAGATATGGGGTTGCACTCCACCTGCCCCAGTCAGATAGCACACATAGATTAAAGTGTGTGACTGACTTTACTACCTTTGTCATGTGTTGACATGTTCTCACATGATACAATATGACAACTCATTTATGGCCAGTGTCAAACAACAATGGGCCAATGAGTCTGTCAGCATGGAATTCACTGGCACTCCTATGCTTCTTTCCACTCTCATTCAGCAGGTGAAATAAAGTGCTCGAATGGCCAGCTTAAGGAACAATCACACTGGCCACTTTAAGAACAAATTCTGTAAGGCTGACTAGCACAATTCTCATTAGCTGTATACACTGCCATGTTCCATGTGTTAGTTCAGGTCCTCTGAGAAGCAGATGTCAAGACAGAATTAAATGTGCAAGATATTTTGGGGTGAGAGTCCATGACAGATTAAAGGGGAGGGAGCCAGAGAACATCAAGAGAGAGTTTAGACCATGATACAGATCTGACATTGATGAAGGATAGGGAAGAAAGAAGGACTGAGTAAGGAGATCCTCAACTATAGTGCAGTTTCAAGTACGTTTCAACCAGGTTGATGAGGAGTGCTTGATCTGAAGTCATCTGTTAAAAAAAGTTCTACTTGCAAGAATGGTTCTGTATTTGCATTAGTACCCCCACTGTGCTCAATTAGTGGCTAATTATTGGCTGAAAGTAGCCTGAAGGAAGCACAACCTTGGTGCATACACAGTGGTGGATCCAGAAGGGTAGCATCTGGGGCTGTCAGTCAATTATGCTCTCCACAATAGGAGATTGAAGTGGTACACTTTGGTGGCCACCACATTATGTAATAATAATTTCCCTCTTTTTTGTTTGGTTTTAGAAATGAGGTCTCACTCTGTTGCTCAGGCTGGTCTTGAACTCCTGAGCTTAAGTGATTCTCCACCTTGGCCTCCCAAAGTGCTAGAATTACAGGCATAAGCCACCACACCCGGCCAAATTCCTTTTTTGGTCCCACATTAACCATGATGAATAGCTGGGAGGATTGTACTGCATGGATCACAGAAATGTGGATGAACATAAATTTAGAGGCTCTTTTCTTTTTTCTTTTTTCATTGAAATGGCATCTGGTGACCTTTCCCCTGCCCCCCACATCCCCAGACAACTCTGAATCTGGGGTTGCCACATGCCTCCTTTGCAATTTGAGAACACTGCTGTGGTTCTCATGCTCATATCATTAGTCACCTCTGTGCTGTAAAAATCTTCCTGGATCTCAAGAGGTTGTCTTTGATAAAGGGATTGTTATCCCCATGGTCTCTGCAGAGATTTTCATTCTAGGAAATAAAAGAAAGTCTGGTTCTTTCCTGAGGGTAGCTGACAGACCCTGACTGGTTGGGCTCGGGCGAATTCAACCCTGAGAAGCATGTAGAGGATCAAGGGGCAAAAAACCTCTCTGTTTTCCTATTCCAGATAGGGACAGACTATACCCATCTGAGGCAGTGACCTCTAGTGCCAATTATCACAAAGCTATATATGTCACTCCCAACTGGATTTGGCTATGGGGGATCATATTAGCATCCCACTATCAAATGATGCCTCAAGTATTGCTCCTATAGGCAAGGGGCCTCAGCCACCATTTTCCTGGGCCTTCTGCACTCATGTGTCTATCCCCTGTGATGTCCATACCAAACGAATGCAGAGTATCATCTTGGACCCAACTCAAAGTAGCATTTGTGTACCCCTCGCCCGCTTTCAGGATTAGTTTTTCTGTGCAGTTAAGATAGCTTCCTTTGCCTCCCCTGCCTTTCCCTTCAAAGAGTCGTCCACTTCCTGAGGGTAGTCATACAACTCTTCAAAAAACAAAGAACCAGTGGGCACAGACTATATCCTCAGCTTCTGGCACCATCAGTAGGCTCTCCTTGGGAGCATTATGGACACAGTTTATTGTTATTTTACATGGGTTTTTCTCTCATCAGGAGGTGTTTGTAAGGCTCACTAGGGGAGATTACCGATGAGACAGCTGGGGATCTCACTATCAAAGATGTTGACTCCCTAACTCAGATTGTGTTAGACAACTGCATAACTTTGGATTATTTACTAACTACGCAATGTGCATTGTGGTCAACCCGATTCTGGATGAATACTTCAATACAAGTAGAGCTATCACTCAGCAACTGGTGGAGTTAGCCATATGGCTCCAAAACACTCCCAATCAAAGCCTTGGATCTTTTTCTCATAGTTTGGCCTGGGCTCCATGATTAGAGGTCTCAGGGAACTCTACAGATTTTTATTTTAAACTTTGTACTTTTAGGACCTTCCTTATTTTACAAAATTTCCTTGGCATAGTCACATACTCCAGAAACCCCACTGAAAAATCCAATTTATGTTTAGTCCCAGTGGGCAGGCACATCTCCCAGAAGAACAGGAGCCCATGTATTTCGTCTTACTAACACTTTGGCTTGCACGTTACCCCCAATTAAACCTATTCTTATGCCCATTCTACATAACACAATAGTGTATTCTTCCACTCACCTTTCAAAGACAGACTAAATGGGCAAAACTAGAGGCAGAAAGATCAGGCTGTTGAAATTATGAGCCAATGCTAAGGTAGTGAGAATGGAAAAGAATCATGGGATTCTTATGACATTTAGGAGATGGGATCAGTGAGACTTGCTGATTATTATGTGGGGAGAAAGGGGAAGGGAAGAAGCTAGGGTTATGATTTACAATTTCTTTTGGAGAAATAGATTTATTCATTCAACTGATGTTTATTCACTGTATACCATGAGTCAGGCAGCATGTTTGATGATGAGGATACAGAAGAAAAATACACTGGGAGACAAAAATTAACATAAAATAAAAGAACAATTACAGAGACAAATAGATATAATGTGCCTCCTCATATGATGCACTGAGAAGGATACAACCTCACTTCTGTAGTGTTCCTGCTAAAAAATGAATAAGCTGAAATTAATCATATGAAAACATCAGACAAGTCCAAATAGATGAACGTTTTACAAAATAAACTGCTTGCACTCTTCATAATTATTGAAGTCATAAAAGACAAAGAAATACTGGGAAAGTATTTCAGACCAAAGGATACTAAAAAGACATGGTAATTAAATGTAACATGATCCTGGATTGGACTTTGAACCAGAAAATGTTGTCTTTTGTCATAAATGACATTATTGGAATGATTGGCTAAATATGAATAAAGTCTGCAGATTACACAATGCGACAAAGCTGACTTACTAATTTCAAAGATTGTACTGTGGTTATGTAAGAGAATGTTCTTGTTTTTAGGAAATACACACTAAAGTGTTTAGAAGGAAAAGGCTGAGCTATTGGCTGAAAGAAGGCGTAAGCAGTAGCAGAGCAACAAAGCATGCTTAGGCTCTGGAGTTAAACTACCTGGGTTCTAACCCCAGCACAGCAATTTGCTACCTATGAAACTTTGGGCAAGTTATTTAAGCATTCTACAAATGAAATTTTCTCATGAGTAAAACGGACGATGCTTATAATAGCCCCTACTCCATAGAGGTGATATGAGGGTGAAATTAGTGAGCATATGTGAAGCACTTAGGCTCATGCCTGGCATGTATGTGTCATCAATGCTGGCTGTACTTAAGCTATATTTCACTCTGTGTCCTGTGAATACAGAAGGAAATGTGACACAGCCTCCTTCTTCAAGGAGACACAGTGTAGTAGGAAAAATAACAAGGTTAACAGATAATAATAAAACCATGTGATGAGTACCCTGATCTGGACTTGAGCTGAGAGCAGCTGAGCTAGAGCAGTAAATTCTGTGGGGGGATGTCAGGAGGGGTTTCACGGAGGGCTTAGGATTTAAATTGGATCGAGAGATGTGAACAGAAGTTTGCCCAAAATATGCATCTCTCACTTCTGCCAGGCCAAGGGCATCATACAAAACTCTGTATAAGCACAGAGTTCCAGAAGGTTATTGCGTACTATAGTGTATGCATAGGATATGCAGTAATGTAGCATAGGATATGTAATAGAAGGGCCAGACTCACCTTCCAGGTGTGTGGAGAGCATTGACTGCCAGTCTGTTGACACAGGTTCAGATCCCAGCTTAAATATCAATGGTTGCTTTGAGCAACTCATGAAACCTCTCTGAACCTGTTTCCTTTCCAAAATGGAGATACTAGTGTTTACCTCAGAGTTCCTGTGAGGATTAATGTAAAGTGCTTAGCACAATGCTCAGTACATGGCCTGTGTTCAATAACGGATAGCAATTAGTAATAATACTGGTATTAGACATTTCTAGGGCTCCCCAAATTTCCTGGTTCTCCTTTTCTTCCAGGTACATGCTTCCCTGAACAGGGCCTGAGTGAACATGGCCCTGTACCTTCCTTTGGATAACAAAGTGGAAGTGGAAAGGATACATGTCCTTTCTGACTGGAGCCATTGAAGAGGCAGTATGGTTTGATTCTCTACATACTCTTCCCCTGATACAACAATTTGGAAGTTCAAGTTGGGATGGCAGCATCATAAGATGGTGATATCTCTGTCAGCAAAGGTCTTGGGGATGATCAGCAGTGTCCCTGCCAACCTGTGTTGGGCATGTATCATGCGCAAGCAACAAACCTTTGCTGCTTTAAGGCACTGAGATTTTAGAGTTTCATCAGCTTTAGCCACACTTGGAAACCCCGAAGAATCAGGGACTATTCTAAACACGTTGATGTCCCATGCCAATCTCCAGATAAGGGAAAATGGGCACTCTTCACCTCTCCCACCTTGTCGATGGGATGACAAAATTGGGTGCAAGGTTTGGCAACAACTTAGCTTAACAGAGGAATCCCAACTCAGTATAAACAAAGAAAAACCACCAGGCAGATGTATGGCCACTTAAAGACATACGGACTCAGAAAAGCTCCCAAACAGTTCATAGAGGAGGCAGTAAATATTGAGCATATCTTTCTCTCTTCATTTAAACTAACTGAATTATTTTTTCATATTCAAGCACTATAGGATTAATGATATTGTAACCAAACCTTATTGGAAAGTATAAGATGGGGATTGAACCTGGTCGGAGGATGATATTTAAGTTGAGGCCTGAAGGAGGAAGAGGAGCTAGCTATGTGAAAAGAAGAAAGCATGTACAAAGGCAGGAGACAGCATCAGGAGTCTGGGGAAGTTTGGTATGGTCATAACATATGAATGAGGGAGAGGGGGCAAGAGCTGAGGCTAGGGTGGTAAGCAAGGTACAGAGAAGGTGAGTGCTCATAAACCAGGGAAAGGAATTTGGATTGTTGGGGCAATCACCAGCCGTTGATGGATATTAAGCAAGAGAGTGACATAATCAGGTTTACAATTTTACAAGCACACAAGAGTTACAGTGTGGTGAATGGATTGGAATGAGCAAGACCACAGGAGGAGAGAGTGCAGAGCCCTGAATTAATTAGAGACATAGTGTATCAAGTGTATCAGTCAGGGTTCCCTACAGAAACAAACCCAGTACTTGTGTGTGTGTGTGTGTGTGTATATAGATATAGATATATATATATATATATACACACATACACATATATATATACACTATATGATATATAATATATCATATATAAAGCATATAATATATAAAGTATATCATATATAAAATATATATTATATACATATTAGATTAGAGATGTATTTAAGGAATCAGCTTATGCGATTGTGGGAGCTGGCAAGTTCAAAATTCATAGGGTAAGCTGGCATGCTGGAAACTTAGATAGGAGTTGTTGCTGGAGTCTTCAGGCAGAATTTCTTTTTCTTCAAGGAGACCCAAGATTTTCAACTAATTGGATAAGGTCAACCCAAATTATCAACAGTAATATCCTTAAATTGAAGTCAATTTAAACCAGACCCATTCATTAAACCATATACAAAAATTGACACAAGATGGATTAAAGACTTAATGTAAAACCCCAAACTGTAAACACCCTGGATGACAATGTAGGAAATACCATTCTGGACATAGGAACTGGCAAAAATCTCATGACCAAGATGCCAAAAGCAATCACAACAAAAGCAAAAATTGACAAATGGGATCTAATTAAAATAAAGACCTTCTGCAGAGCAAAAGAAACTATCCACAGAATAAACAGACAATCAACAGAATGGGAAAATTTTTTTGCAAACCACGTATCTCACAAAAGTCTAATGTCCAGCATCTATAGTTTACTTATATAACAAACCTGCACATGTACCCCAAACTGAAAAGTTAAAAAGAGTCAGTTGAGGCCGGGTGCGGTGGCTCACGCCTGTAATCCCAGCACTTTGGGAGGCCGAGGCGGGTGGATCATGAGGTCAGGAGATCGAGACCATCCTGGCTAACAAGGTGAAACCCCGTCTCTACTAAAAAAAAAAAAAATACAAAAAATTAGCCGGGCGCGGTGGCGGGCGCCTGTAGTCCCAGCTACTCGGGAGGCTGAGGCAGGAGAATGGCGTGAACCCGGGAAGCGGAGCTTGCAGTGAGCCGAGATTGCGCCACTGCAGTCCGCAGTCCGGCCTGGGCGACAGAGCGAGACTCCGTCTCAAAAAAAAAAAAAAAAAAAAAAGAGTCAGTTGATGGTAGATTTAACTTCATCTACAAAATACCTTCAAGTAACACCTAGTCTAATGTTTGAATAACTTGGCACTATAGCCCAGCCAAGGTGACATATAAAACTAACCATTGCAGGTAGTTTAGGAGGTAGAATAGAGAGGTTTTGCTGATTGAATGAATGGAGATTGAGGAATGTGGAAGAATCAAAGGTAACTCCGATTTTTGACTTGAGCAACTGGATAAAAGATAACACTGCCGATTAGGTTAGAGAAAGGTGAAGAAAGTGCAGGTTAGTGGTGGATAACCATTCAATTTTGGATATGAGTAGTTTTAAGTGTTTTCAAGTTATCCAAGCAAAGATACTTAAGTGGGGGTCAGAAGAGAGATAAATGTAAGATGTAGTTTTGTAAGTCATCAGGATATCATGGCAAGTTAGCAGTGGGAGTGCATGGGATCACTTGGCAAGATAGTGTACAGTGAGGAAGGAAAGAGAAGAAGACCTAAAAGAAAGCCCTGAGTAAACCCAACACTTAGATGCCAAGTAGAAGAGGAATATTCATTAAAGCAAATGAAAAACGCAGCCAGATATGTAAGAAAGCCAGGAGACAAACAACTGAAAACACCAAAGAGAGAGCGACTGCTTCTTGGAGGGAGCAGATTTATTGCCATCATTTTTCTTGTAGACTTCAGGGAGCCAGCAAAGGCATTCAAGTAGGAAGAATCATTTAACTGCAATGAGCAGGGTAGTATTCGAACTATGAGACCCTATTGGTTGGGAGGTTATTTAGGGACCATTTTCTAGCCAAGGGAAGAAATAATAAGGGTCTGATCCAGGACTGTTGATATAGGAATAGAAAGGAGGAATGGGCTTGAGAAGTATTTTGAAGCAAAATCAACAGACGTCTAATTGGATATGAGCAATAAAAAGTCCAAAATGACCCAGAAGTCTTAAGTGGAAGAGACCAGATGAAGGGTAGGAAGTCAGAAGGAGATATTAGCTTGAGAGGAAAATATTTGAAGGTCAAGTTTGGACATACTTTAGGCATGGCAAAATATTTATCTGTGTTTCCCAGATGTACCATATCTATCATACCCTTTCATTTTTCTAAGTCTGTCTTCAGCCTCCTCCATGAAAAACACCTTTCCCTTCTTGTTCGCCTGGACATTATCTACTCAATCTTCAAAGCCCAAATTAAATGTCACTTCTCAGTAGTTTTCACTGACGATTCCAGGCTGAATTAATTGCATCCTCCATAGTGTTCCTGCATCACTGTGTTCAAAACTTTGTTTTTAAGAGCATTCATCACATTGGACTACAATTGTATTTTACATACCTGTTTCCCACACTAGACTGGAGGTCCTAGAGCCAAGGGCCTCTGACTTAGTCCGTCTGGTTCTTCTAGAAGTAAGAACATTGAGCTTGCTTAGTTGATCTCCATCTTGGAGCTCAGGAAAGGGGCAAGGCTAGATATATGAATATTATAGTGTCACTGATATAGAGGCGATCTCTAAACAAATGGAAATAAATATATCACGCCTGGTTGTGGAGTGACTAAAGAATACAAATATTAGATGGCAGCAGGACCAAATGTCAGGGAACGCTTACATTTATCCAACAGGATGAGGATCAGGAGAATGTGAGAATTGAGCTTTGTCTGTCAATTAAAATATATTTATTGGGGAAATACTATGACCTATTTAATATTTAGGCACTGAAAACACAGCAACAAATGAGGCAGACTAGTTCTCTTCTCTTGTAGAACTTACAGACCAGAAAGGACACATAGATTCCCTGAGAAAAAGAGGGAAGTTAGTTGTTTCAAATGCTGCAAAGTGTTTGAGAAGGATAAATACTTTAGTGGCTTTCAAATTTGAAAAGTGGAAGCCAAAATAACCATGTAGCCAATTTCATTCTAAGAATAAAGGCCAAGGGTGTTGTGAAGGAAAGGAAGTTGCAGATTCAGGTGCAAAAGTATAGAAGTAAGAAATATAGACTTTTTAAAATTTAGTAGGCCCTTGAGATGCAAAAATTGGAGCAGGTGGTATAATCAGATAATGTGGGCTCCAAGAGAGAGGAAATTGACCACAAGCATTGAAACCATGGTTTGGGGTAGCAAAGAGGTCTAAGAAATTTACTGACCTCTTCTTTTCCCCTGGAAGTAGAAGGAGAAGCAGTATCCATTGAAGGGAGTTTCCAGCACAGTGGTTAACCCAGGGAGGATTAATCAGTTGGAAGCTAATTCAAGGGGTAGGAAAGCAGAGGAAAAGAAAAAAATGTGAAGATTTAGAGCAGCTTCTTTATATTAGGATGGAGATTTTAAAGGGCACAGTGGAAGAAGCTGATAGAGTGTGTAAGAGGTGGAGTGTGCTTGAGTGGTAGTAGTTCAGGGCATGAACTGGGTGCATGTGAGGCTATTAAAGATGGTAGTGGCTTGCCCAACATCCACCCAAACCTCTTCAGGTATGTCTTCCTATACCGCAGAAGCTAGAAAGCTAAAAAGCCACATTTTCCAGATTCCTATGCAGACAGGATTTTGGATGTGATTTTGGTACAGCCAATCAGTTGTAATTACATCATGTGTGATTTCCAAACTGAGCCAAATGGGAAGGAAGTGGCATGCAAGACATTCATTTTGCTGGTGAGGGTCGGGAGCCAATAGTTCTGGCAGCAGGTTCCTAATCCCCAGATCTCAGCAAACTACGGTTTTCCTAGAACCAACTGTTCCAGAAATGACTTACTGATCCCCAGGCAAAGTACATGAACAGATACTTCCCAAAAGAAGGCATATAAGTGGCCAAGAAACATATGAAAAACTGCTCAACATCACTAATCATCAGAGAAATGCAAGTCAAACCCACTGTGAGATACCATGTCACACCAGTCAGAACTGCTCTAATTTAAAATGTCAAAAATTAACAGATGCTGGCGGGGCTGTGGAGAAAAGGGAATACTTATACACTGTTGGTGGGCATGTAAAGTAGTTCAGCCACTGTGGAAAGTAGTTTGGAGATTTCTCAGAGAACTAAAAGTAAAACTACCATTAGACCCAGCAATCCCATTACTGGGTATATAACCAAAGGAATATAAATAATTCTACCAAAAACACACATGTACTCATATGTTCATCACAGCACTATTCGCAATAGCAAAGACATGCAATCAATCTAGGCGCCCATCAATATTGGATTGGATAAAGAAAATCATGGAATACTATGCAGCCACAAAAAGGAATGAATTCATGTCCTTTGCAGCAACATGGATGCCACTGAAGGCCATTATCCTAGGCAAATTAACACAGGAACAGAAAACCAAATACTGCATGTTCTCAGTTATAAGTGGGAGCTAAACATTGGGTACACATGGACATAAAGATGTGAACAATAAACACTGGGGACTACTGGCGGTGGGTAGAGGGAAAGGGGAAAGGGCTGAAAAACTACCTATTGGATACTATACTGACTACATGGGTGACTGGATCTCTCGTAACCCTAATCTCAGCATCATGCAATATACCCATGTAACAAATCTGCACTTGTATCCCCTGAATCTAAATTAAAAGTTAAAATTATAACAAAAAAATAATAAAAATAAAGATATTTGATTTAAAAATATATAATCTGGTAAAGAAACTGAAATGACACAAAAGAATGGAAAGATATGCTATGCTTATGAATCACAATATTATTAAAATTACAGTACCCTCCCAAAGCAACTTACAGATTCAATGCAATCCTTATCAAAATACCAATGATATTCTCCATAGAAATAGGAAAAAAATTCCTAAAAATTATGTGGAAACACAAAAGACTCAAATAGCTAAAGCAATCCTGAGTAAAAAGAACAAAGCTGAAGGCATTACATTATTGGACTTCAAAATTTACTACAAAGTTATAATAACCAAGACAGCATGGTACTAGCATAAAAACAGACACATAGACCAATGGAGCATAATAGAGAACCCAGATATAGAGGGGAATCCACCATTGCTGAGGCTTGAGTAGGTAAACAAAGCTCAGGAAGCTCGAACTGGGTGGAGCCCACCGCAGCTCAACGAGGCCCACCTGCCTCTGTAGACTCCACCTCTGGGGGCAGGGCATAGCTGAACAAAAGGCAGCAGAAACCTCTGCAGACTTAAACGTCCCTGTCTGACAGCTCTGAAGAGAGTAGTGGTTCTCCCAGCACGGTGTTTGAGCTCTGAGAACGGACAGACTGCCCCTCAAGTGGGTACCTGACCCCTGTATAGCCTAACTGGGAGACACCTCCCAGTAGGGGCCGACTGACATCTCATACAGCTGGGTACCCCTCTGAGACAAAGCTTCCAGAGGAAGGATCAGGCAGCAATATTTGCTGTTCTGCAATATTTGCTGTTCTGCAGCCTCCACTGGTGATACCCAGGCAAACAGGTCTGGAGTGGACCTCCAGCAAACTCCAACAGACCTGCAGCTGAGGGACCTGACTGTTAGAAGGAAAACTAACAAACAGAAAGGAATAGCATCAACATCAACAAAAAGGACATCCACACCAAAACCCCATCTGTAGGTCACCATTATAAAAGACCAAAGGTAGATAAAACCACAAAGATGGGGAGAAACCAGAGCAGAAAAGATGAAAATTCCAAAAACCAGAGTGCCCCTTCTCCTCCAAAGGATCACAGCTCCTCACCAGCAATGGAACAAAGCAGGACGGAGAATGACTTTGACGAGTTGACAGAAGCAGGCTTCAGAAAGTTGGTAATAACAAACTTCTCCAAGCTAAAGGAGGATGTTCGAACCCATCACAAGGAAGCTAAAAACTTTGAAAAAAGATTAGACAAATGGCTAACTAGAATAAACAGTGTAGAGAAGACCTTAAATGACCCGATGGAGCGGAAAACCATGGCATGAGAACTACGTGACGCATGCACAAGCTTCAGTAACCGATTTGATCAAGTGGAAGAAAGGGTATCAGTGTCTGAAGATCAAATGAATGAAATGAAGCAAGAAGAGAAGTTTAGAGAAAAAAGAGTAAAAAGAAACAAACAAAGCCTCCAAGATATATGGGACTATGTGAAAAGACCAAATCTACATTTGATTGATGTACCTGAAAGTGATGGGGAGAACGGAACCAAGTTGGAAAACACTCTTCAGGATATTATCCAGGAGAACTTCCCCAACCTAGCAAGGCAGGCCAACAATCAAATTCAGGAAACACAGAGAACACCACAAAGATACTCCTCGAGAAGAGCAACCCCAAGACACATAATTGTCAGATTCACCAAAACTGAAATGAAGGAAAAAATGCTAAGGGCAGCCAGAGAGAAAGGTCAGGTTAGCCACAAAAGGGAGCCCATCAGACTAACAGCGGATGTCTCAGCAGAAACCCTACAAGCCAGAAGAGAGTGGGGGCCAATATTCAATATTCATAAAGAAAAGAATTTTCAACCCAGATTTCATATCCAGCCAAATTAACTTCATAAGTGAAGGAGAAATAAAATCCTTTACAGACAAGCAAATGCTGAGAGATTTTGTCACCACCAGGCCTGCCTTACAAGAGCTCCTGAAGGAAGCACTAAACATGGAAAGGAACAATCAGTACCAGCCACTGCAAAAACCTGCCAAATTGTAAAGACCATCGATGCTAGGTAGAAACAGCATCAATTAACGGGCAAAATAACCAGCTAACATCATAATGACAGGTTCAAATTCACACATAACAATATTAACCTTAAAAGTAAATGGGTTAAATGCCCCAATTAAAAGACACAGACTGGCAAATTGGATAAAGAGTCAAGACCCATCAGTGTGCTGTATTCAGGAGACCCATCTCACGTGCAGAGACACACATAGGCTCAAAATAAAGGGATGGAGGAATATCTACCAAACAAATGGAAAGAAAAAAAAAAAGCAGGGGTTGCAATCCTAGTCTCTGATAAAACAGACTTTAAACCAACAATGAACAAAAGAGACCAAGAAGCCCGTTACATAATGGTAAGGGATCAATTCAACAAGAAGAGCTAACTATCCTAAATATATATGCACCCAATAAAGGAGCACCCAGATTCATAAAGCAAGTCCTTAGAGACCTACAAAGAGACTTAGACTCCCACACAATAATAATGGGAGACTTTAACACCCCACTGTCAACATTAGACAGATCAACGAGACAGAAAGTTAACAAGGATATCCAGGACTTGAACTCGGCTCTGCACCAAGCGGACCTAATAGACATCTACAGAACTCTCCACCCCAAATCAACAGAATATACGTTCTTCTCAGCACCACATCACACTTATTCCAAAATTGACTACATAGTTGGAAGTAAAGCACTCCTCAGCACATGTAAAAGAACAGAAATCATAACAAACTGTCTCTCAGACCACAGTGCAATCAAATTAGAACTCAGGATTAAGAAATTCACTCAAAACCGTACAACTACATGGAAACTGAACAACCTGCTCCCGAGTGAATACTGGGTAAATAACGAAATGAAGACAGAAATATGTTCTTTGAAACCAATGAGAACAAAGACACAACTTACCAGAATCTCTGGGACACATTTAAAGTAGTGTGTAGAGGGAAATTTACAGCACTAAATGCCCACAGGAGAAAGCAGGAAATATCTAAAATCGACACCCTAACATCACAATTAAAATAACTAGAGAAGCAAGAGCAAACAAATTCAAAAGCTAGCAGAAGGAAAGAAATAACCAGGATCAGAGCAGAACTGAAGGAGATAGAGACACAAAAAACCCTTTAAAAAATCAATCCACGAGCTGTTTTTTTGAAAAGATCAACAAAATTGATAGACCGCTAGCAAGGCTAATAAAGAAGAAAAGAGAGAAGAATCAAATAGATGCAATAAAAAATGATAAAGGGGATATCACCACCAATCCCACAGAAATACAAACTACCATCAGAGAATACTATAAACACCTCTACGCAAATAAACTAGAAAATCTAGAAGAAATGGATAAATTCCTGGACACATACACCGCCCCCCCCAAGACTAAACCAGGAAGAAGTTGAATTGTTGAATAGACCAATAACAGGCTCTGAAATTGAGGCAATAATTAATAGCCTACCAACCAAAAAAGTCCAGGATCAGATGGTTTCACAGCAGAATTCTACCAGAGGTACAAAGAGGAGCTTGTACCATTCCTTCTGAAACTTCCAATCAATAGAAAAAGAGGGAATCCTCCCTAACTCATTTTATGAGGCCAGCATCATCCTGATACCAAAGCCTGGCAGAGACACAACAGAAAAAAGAAGAATTTTAGACCAATATCCCTGATGAACATCGATGCAAAAATCCTCAATAAAATACTGGCAAACCGAATCCAGCAGCACATCAAAAAGCTTATCCACCATGATCAAGTTGGCTTCATCCCTGGGATGCAAGGCTGGTTCAACACACTAAAATCAATAAACGTAATCCATCACATAAGGAGAACCAAAGACAAAAACCACGTGATTATCTCAATAGATGCAGAAAAGGCCTTCGATAAAATTCAACAGCCCTTCATGCTAAAAATTCTTAATAAACTAGCTATTGATGGAACGTATCTCAAAATAATAAGAGTATTTATGACAAACTCTCAGCCAGTATCATACTGAATGGGCAAAAACTGGAAGCATTCCCTTTGAAAACTGGCACAAGACAGGGATGCCCTCTCTCACCACTCCTATTCAACATAGTGTTGGAAGTTCTGGCCAGGGCAATCAGGCAGGAGAAGGAAATAAAGGGTATTTAATTAGGAAAAGAGGAAGTCAAATTGTCCCTGTTTGCAGATGACATGATTATATATTTAGAAAACCCCATCATCTCAGCCCAAAATCTCCTTAAACTGATAAGCAACTTCAGCAAGCTCTCAGGGTACAAAGTCTATGTGCAAAAATCACAAGCATTCTTATACACCAATAACAGACAAACAGAGAGCCAAATCATGAGTGAACTCGCATTCACAATTGCTACAAAGAGAATAAAATACCTAGGAATCCAACTTACAAGGGACGTGAAGGACCTCTTCAAGGAGAACTACAAACCACTGGTCAATGAAATGAAAGAGGAGGCAAATGGAAGAACATTCCATGCTCATGGAAAGGAGGAATCAGTATAGTGAAAATGGCCATACTGCCCAAGGTAATTTATAGATTCAATGCCATCCCCATCAAGCTACCAATGACTTTCTTCACAGAATTGGAAAAAAACTACTTTAAAGTTCATATGGAACCAAAAAACAGCCCGCATTGCCAAGACAATCCTAAGCCCAAAAGGACAAAGCTGGAGGCATCACGCTTCCTGACTTCAAACTATACTATAAGGCTACAGCAACCCAAACAGCATGGTACTGGTACCCAATCAGAGATATAGACTGATGGGACAGAACAGAGGCCTCAGAAATAACACCCACATCTACAACCATCTGATCTTTGATGAACCTGACAAAAATAAGCAATGAGGAAAGGATTCCCTACTTAATAAATGCTGCTGGGAAAACTGGCTAGCCATATGTAGGAAGCTGAAACTGGACCCCTTCCTTACACCTTATACAAAATTAATTCAAGATGTATTGAAGACTTCAATGTTAGACCTAAAACCATAAAAACCCTAGAAGAAAACTTAGGCAATACCATTCAGGACATAACGCATGGGCAAGGACTTCATGACTAAAACACCAAAAGCAATGGCAACAAAAGCCAAAATAGACAAATGGGATCTAATTAAACTAAAGAGCTTCTGCCCAGCAAAAGAAACTACCATCAGAGTGAACAGGCAACCTACAGAATGGGAGAAAATTTTTGCAATCTACCCATCTGACAAAGGGCTAATATCCAGAATCTACAAAGAATTTAAACAAATTTACAAGAAAAAATCAAACAACCCCATCAAAAAGTGGGCAAAGGATATGAACAGACACTTTTCAAAAGAAGACATTTATGCAGCCGACAGACACAAGAAAAAATGCTCATCATCACTGCTCATCAGAAAAATGCAAATCAAAACCACAATGAGATACCATCTCACACCAGTTAGAATGGTGATCATTAAAAAGTCAGGAAACAACAGGAGCTGGAGAGGATGTGGAGAAACAGGAACGCTTTTACACTGTTGGTGGGAGTGTAAACTAGTTCAACCATTGTGGAAGACAGTGTGGTGATTCCTCAAGGATCTAGAACTAGAAACACCATTTGACCCCCCGATCCCATTACTGGGTATATACCCAAAGGATTATAAATCATGCTACTATAAAGACACATGCACACATATGTTTATTGCAGCACTATTCACAATAGCAAAGACTTGGAACCAACCCAAATGTCCATCAGTGATAGACTGGATAAAGAAAATGTGGAACATATACACCATGGAATACTATGCAGCCATAAAAAAAGGATGAGTTCATGTCCTTTGCAGGGACATGGATGAAGCTGGAAACCATCATTCAGAACAAACTATCACAAGGACAGAAAACCAAACACCACATGTTCTCACTCATAGGTGGGATCTGAACAATGAAAACACTTGGACACAGCGTGGGGAACATCATACACTGGGGCCTGTCATGGAGTGGGCGGTTGGGTGAGGGATAGCATTAGGAGAAATACCTAATGTAAATGACGAGTTAATGGGTACAGCAAACCAACACAGCACATATATACATATGTAACAAACGTGCACATTGTGCATATGTACCCTAGAACTTAAAGTACAATAAAAAAAAATAGAGAACCCAGATATAAATCCATTCATTTATAGCCCACTCATCTTCAACAAAAGCATGAAGAACATCCAGTGGGGAAAGGACAGTCTTTTCAATAAGTGGTGCTGTACAGGCTGGATAACTATATGCAGAAGAATGAATCTATACCCCTATCTCTCACCCTACACAAAAATAAAATCAAAGTGGATAAAAGACTTGAATCTAAGACCTCGAACGATGAAACTACTAGAAGGAAACACTGGGGAAATGTCCCATGACATTGGTGTGGGCAAATATTTTTTTGTGTAAGACCTCAAAAGCACAGGCAACAAAGTAAATGTAGATAAATCGGATCACATCTGATTAAAAAGCTTCTGCACAGTAAAGAAAACCTATCAACAAATTGAAGAGACAATCCACAGATGGAAGAAAATATGTGCAAACTATCCATCTAACAAGGGATTGAAAACCAGAATACATAAGGAGTTCAAAATACTCAATAGCAAAAAAGACCCATAATCTGATTTAAAAATGGGCAAAAGAGCCGGGCGCGCTGGCTCATGCCTGTAATCCCAGCACTTTGGGAGGCCGAGGCGGGCGGATCACCTGAGGTCGGGAGTTCGAGACCAGACTGACCAACATTGAGAAACCCCGTCTCTACTAAAAATACAAAATTAGCAAGGGTGGTGGCACATGCCTATAATCCCAGCTATTTGGGAGGCTGAGGCAGGAGAATCGTTTGAACCTGGGAGGCAGAGGTTGCGGTGTGCCAAGATTGTGCCATTGCACTCCAGCCAGGGAAACAAGAGTGAAACTCCGTCTCAAAAAAAAAAAAAAAAAAAGGCAAAAGATCTATATAGACATTTCTCAAAATAATACATACAAATGGTCAACAGGTATATGAAAAAAAGGTTCGACATTACCAATGATTAGAGAAATGCAAATCGTTAGAGAAATGCAAATCAAAACCACAGTGAGATATCGTCTCACCACATTTAAAATGGCCTGTGTCAAAAAGACAGGCCCTAGCAGATGTTGATGAGGATGAGAAGAAAGGTGAATCCTCACACACTGTTGGTAGGAATGTAAATTAGTATAGCCACTAACAGTATGGAGGTTCCTCAAAAAAACTAAACATAGAATACCATGTGATCCAGCCATTCTACTACTTGGTATGTATCCAACAATAAAAAGGAAATCAATATATTGAAAGGATACCTGCACTCCCATGTTTATTGCAGCAGTATTCACAATAGCCAAAATATGGAATCAACCTAATTTCCCAACAAAGGATGAATGGATAAAGAAAATGTGGCATATATACAGGAAGGAATATTATTCAGCCCTAAAATAGGATGAAATCTGGTCATTTGCAGCAACATGAGTGGAATTGGAAGTCATTATGTTAAGTGAAATAAACCAAGTAAAAAGCGACACATATCACATGTTCTTACTCGTGGAAATTATATAAGTGAATCTCATGGAGGTAGACTAGAACAATGGTTACCAGAAGTCAGGAAGGTTGAGGGGAGAGGGAGATGAAAGGAAAAAAAAAAGAATATAAATATATTTATTACCACTAAACTGTACACTTAAAGATGTAAAGGTGACAAATTTTGTATGTATATTTTACCTCAGCAAAAAGGCATAAGAGTAAACAAAGAAGCAAACAATATTAAGTCTTAAGAAAGCAACTGGTTAATATTTAATTATATTATAATTTTTAACAAAAAGGAGAACAAACATCTGCATATTGTTCTATTGCGCTAATGAATAATAGCAATGGAATTACAGTATAATAACATTTGCACTATACCTCACAGTTGTCACACAGTTTCACCATAAATTTTAAACACAAATAAAAACTTCAAGTGGTATCATAGAATGACAGAACTGAAGAAACTGAGGTTTTTTTGTCTTCATATTTACAATAACTGTGCTATTGTTCAAACAGAGGAATGTTGAGCATCACAAGTGTTAGAAACATGAAGTAACTGTACCTGAAGGAAGCTTGAATGGATTTTAAACTGTGATGAACTTTTTCTCAAAACAGAAATGTATAGTTAGGTCCAGGAAGCCTGGGGATTGCGTGTATAACTGGAGGTTTTCCAAATTAACTTCCATTTAGAATACAATGTTGATGAAAAGAGATGTAATTTAAATGTGCTGATTTGAAGTATGCTTATCTATTATTGCAACTCAACAGTAGTCTCAGCAATTTGTTTAGAATATAGCTCAACAAATGATTTTGTTTTCAGAGAAGAGCGTGTTCCCACTGACATGATTTAGAATTGTTGACATGGTGATAATAACAAAGCAGACCAAATTATAATTGGTTTTCTTCTTCTTCCTTCTCTAGAGGCAGTGCACTTCCTCATTGCCTGCAACCAAGGAAATGCTCCCATTGCCCTGGCCTTGATATGTCACTGGTTTCCTACTGTGTTGTTCTAGAAATTTTTTCCTGGAAGCCCAGATAAGCCTCCTCCTCCAGTCCTTCCTATAATTCTGTAATCAACAAATTCCCTATATGAAAATCCCTCTTTGCTTAAACTATCTAGTTATGTATTCTAACTATTCTAGTTATCTGCAACTAAACCCTGACTGATACAGATAGTAGGCAAGGAACAGGGGATTTTGCTTAGAGCAATAGCTGTTAAAAACATTCATTCCTTTATCCATCCATTCACTCAACAAATACTTACATGGATCTCTCTGAATATATATAGCTATGCCTATGTGTTATTCAAATTTGGGGTATTTTCTCCTGAGAGCATTTAATTTTGACTAGGCGATCAAGTCATGCACAAGAGAGATGGATTGGACAACTATATTAGTTAGAAAGCGTTTGGCTGTCAGAAACAGAAACACTAACTCAAAATGGTTAAAACTATTAGGAAATATATTATCTTACAAACTGGAAGTTCCACAATGGGTCAAGTTTTGGGGTAGCTCAATGATATCATTAGGTATTCAGGTTCTTCCTGTCCCTCTCTTCTGCCATACTCCATATTGACTTCATCCTTATACCTGCAGCAAGATGGCTTCAGCTCAACCAGAAACAACAATGATCAGAGAAAGAGAACAGAATGATTCTCTCTTAGGAGTAAGTAGATTGCTGTGTCATTACGGCCCCACTCACAGGTGATCTGTAGGACAACGGGGAAGGGAACCTGTTGGGCAGAACTTTGAGTCATGTATTTGGTTGTCCCCTTCGTCTGGAACTTGTCTTATTTGCCAGGAAGAAGAAAAAGGCTGTAGCAAGGATCTATGCTGAATCATGGCAGAGACTAATGTTGCGGCTGGATGGTCAGGGTCTTGGAAGAAGCAAGTTTGGAGTATTGCAAGTTTGGAGCAAGTTTGGAGCAAGGAAATTTGAGAAAGAAGTATGTGAATTGATCTAGAATGTATGTCTTGCATATGAATATTTATCAAAAGGTTCTCTTTGTAGGAGAGCTGCTAAATAGTCAGATGGGCTTAATGCCCATTCAGTGGATATCAATCAGACTCTCTCTACCACTCCGGTGCTTGATGGATGAGCTCATATACAAAGTGGCCTTGGGGACAGAGATGAAAATATGCATGGACTCAATAATATGAATTTCTTCTCACCAAAACATACTACTTCTTGGATGCCCAATTTACCAGCAGCAGCCATTAGCCCTGGGTCCCTGATATGGTATAATATCCTATGGGTACCAACGAGCCATCTTGGGACAGTTTGATTGGTTTGGACCCCTTTTATTATAGACTGGACAGTGACTTGTTTCTTAACTTGAATAGATTGTAACTCCAAATTGGATTTGTTTTCCTGTTTACCATACCTCGGCTAGCCCTACCATCTGTAGATTTATTGAATACCTTACACAGCACTATTGTATCTCACACAACATTGCTTCTATCAAAGGAACTCACATTACCCTGATCTAAGTACAGCAATGAAATGAAGCCTGTTGGCTTCACTGGTTTTACCACATGCCAACTCACCTAGAAGAAATCAGCCTAATAAAACAATGAAGTCACCTCTTATAGGTCTACTTATGACATGGCCTAGCAAAAAACACCCTGTCAGTTTGGGGTACCATCTTGCAGGAATGTGCTGTACATGCTGAACAAGGACTAGTGATCAACATATGGTGTTGTTTCCTCCATAACCAGAACACATGGGGCTGAGAACCAAGGGATGATGGCAAGATTGACATCTCATGATCCACCTACAAAAAATTGGGTGTTTGGCTTCCTATTCTCACAACTTTGGTTTCTGCTATTTTAGAATTAGAAGCTTATTATTATTCAATATTTCTTTCAGGGAACACAACAATGATTCCCCTCAATTAGAAGCTGGGACTGCCACCTCATGCTGGTAGGCAAACCAGAAAAAAAAAAAAGATAATTACTACCTTGGCTAAGGCAACTGATCCTGATTATCATTAAATGTTATACATTATAGGAATGAACTAGTTTGCTTTTATTACTCTACTGAGACATCATTTATGTTATTTCCACTATAACAATGAACATTGTTGTACATGTCCCCTTGTACACATGGGTGAAAGGGTAGATACCTGAAAGTGGAATTCCTAGGTCACAGAATATGTGAATATTTAACTTTACAATGTGTTGTCAAAAACTCACCAAAGTGGGCCAGGCGCAGTGGCTCATGCCTGTAATCCCAGCACTTCGGGAGGCCGAGACGGGCAGATTACCTGAGGTCAGGAGTTCGAGATCAGTCTGGCCAACATATAGTGAAACCCCTTCTCTACTAAAAAATACAAAGTTAGCCTGGCGTAGTGGCACACACCTGTAGTCCCAGTTACTTGGGATGCTGAGGCAGGAGAATTGCTTGTACCCGGGAGGCGGAGCTTTCAGTGAGCTGAGATCGTGCACTGCACTCCAGCCTGGGCAACAGAGCGAGACTCTGTCTCTCAAAAAAAAAAAATCACCAAAGTGGTTGTACCCATTTGTAACCCCACCTACAATGACCAAAGTCCTATTTGTATATATTCGTGTGGATATTTATTTAGTTTTGCTAATCTGATCAGTGTGAAAAATCTCATTATTGATTTAACTTATATTCCCATGATTACTTGAGCTCAGGCATCTTTTCATGTCTGTGGTGATATTTGAAAAAAAAATAGTGTCAATTATGTTTTCCACAAGAACAGTAGTTACATTCTGAGCAGTGGTATGCACCATCTCATGAAACAATTCTTGTATTCATGCCCATGCAACACATTTTTATCTCTAATTAGGTCTGGGTTGTTTAGTATCAAATTTAGCTCCCTTGAGGGTATAGGACAAAAGAGGAAAGCCAGTGCAGGATTTTAAATTTACATCTGATAATCTGTAAAATGGACACTTCATATGGCTTGTGTGTGTGTGTGTGGGGGGGGGGCCTCAATCTCTAATTAGTGTTGTGTAAACCAGGAAGTGCTGAGATGTAATCTTAGGGATTTTGTCCCTTGAGTTCCTGTTAGTAATTTGGGTTTCTAATGGTATAACGTGGATTGCATTGTAGTAGAACTGCCATGCCTCACGGGTTTGCAGCAACCTCAAATGCTACAGTCAAGTATGAGTCATAGCATGCCAGAGCTGGATGGTATCTTCACAATCGGGCTATCCACAGCCCATAATTGGTGAAGGGGGGAAACTAAGGCGAATAGAGCTCAACCTGTGAGGTGGCAAAGAGCTGAGTTCCCAATTGCGTGCTCCAGCTTGATCTGAGACCTCAGGGTGGCTGTGCGGTGTCTGGTCATATGATAATTTTCCACCTGTGCTATGACATGAACAAGGCTGCTGTTGGGAGACAATTTTCCATGGATTTGTTGAGTTTCTGTATGTCTCAGGAGAGCTTTTGTCCTTTGTCTCTGACTCAGTAGTCTTGCATCTTCTGCCAGCATCTATAAAACTGCAACTAGTTACCTTGTTACTTGAAAGAAGAGTAAAATCTCAGATACTTCACAGCTCCTCACAGTTGAAAGCAGTAGTTTCAGAAGCTATTAATAAATGTTTTGTGTGATAAGAATCCTCTCATCAAATTCGTTTTGGAAAAGCTGAAGCCAAAAAAAGAATTTAAAAAAATATAGAAGGAAAGTGGGTTCTTTTCCTGTTAGACTCTTTGATAAACTAAACAGCATTATAAATGGCTCTTGGGCATGGGGCAGGGATGGGTGGAGTGTGCTACGTTTCAAGAATTATTGGAATAGGAAGCCTTGCTTCTCCCTTCCTCTGTGGGATGCTTAGGAACACTGGAAATAAGAATAGAATAAAAGTAGTAGAAACGGAAAGTACGTATAATATAATTATGAATAAGGATGGAAATGCAGTTGGGGTGGTTTTCATATCCTTTGTAAACTAGAATGTGGTAAGCTAACAGTTATGGAAGCAGTACCTACACAGTCCTTTTGCTGGTGTGCCCAAACCAAGGAAGATAATGGGATTTTGCCCAAGGGTCAGATTTTAGAGCCAAAAGGGGGTCTAGAAACAATGTCCAACCCTTCCATTTTACACATGAGGCACCAAGGCCTAGTGGGAGGAAGGCATTTACTTAGAGCCACCCAGTTCATGGGTGGTAATTTTAGCAGTAAAACGTAAATGATTTTAGTCACTTTTCAGTGTTCGTCACACATTATTTGTTCTCATGTTATCGTATTGTTTTATTTATTTGTAACTCAGTTTTAAGGTTTCATAAGGCAAATAGCATTTTGTCTAACACGTAAAGCTTCTACTAAAGTGTAACAATCTATTGAATATCTACGATATTCACTAGTCACTCTTCAAATCCAATACTGCCCAAAACGACTTTTTGCCATGATGAAAATGCTCCAGCCAGACACGGTGACTCACACCTGTAATCCCAGCACTTTGGGAGGCCGAGGTGGGCACATCACCAGAGGTCAGGGGTTCGAGACCAGCCTGGCCAACATGGTGAAACCTTATCTCTACTAAAAATACAAAAACTGGCCAGGCGTGGTGGTGTGCGCCTGTAATCCCAGCTATTCCAGAAGCTGAGGCAGGAGAATGGCGTGAACCTGGGAGGCGGAGCTTGCAGTGAGCCGAGATCGCGCCACTGCACTCCAGCCTGGGAGACAGCAAGACACCGTCTCAAAAAAAAAAAAAAAAAAAAAAAAAAGAAACAAAGAAAAAAAAAATCCATATTGCCAGTGTCCAGGATGGCAGCCATAAGCCACATGCGACTATTGAGCACTTGTTAATGTGGCTACTGTGATTGAGGAACTGTTTTCTTAATTTCATTTAATTTTAAGTAATTGAAATTTGCATTTAAATAGCCACATTTGGCTAGCAGCTGCTGTCGTGAGTGCTGTAATGACGAACTGTAGTGACCATACACTACAGTGTGCACTCTGGGAATGAGGAGGAATTAACGGCTAAGGTTGGAGTCAGAATCCGAGTTATTCCTTTTTGTTGATCTATGGCAAGCAGTCATGCCACTGGTGCAGGCCTGAAGCCCCGTTCACTTGTTCCACAAGCATTTAGCAAGCACCTATATGCCAGGCTTTGAGTGGGAGTGTGGGGGTGCACCAACCACTGGCCACGTGGTTATAAGGGTCTGGGCCTGTGGAATGAAGCAGAAGACGTCATCGTGAAGGAATCAGTTTCAGGTCTCGCGAGAGTTGGCACATGCCACGCGAGGGCCACTGCCCTATTGGCTTCTGAGTCACGGACTGCCCCGGAAGCTTCTGGGCCACGGACTGCCCCGGAAGCTTCTGGGCCACGGACTGCCCCGGAAGCTTCTGGGCCACGGACTGCCCCGGAAGCTTCTGGGCCACGGACTGCCGGACCGTTGGGCTGTGAGGCAGCGTCTCAGCGAGGCGGCACCCGGAGCCATGTCTTCACATAGGAGGAAAGCGAAGGGGAGGAATAGGAGAAGTCACCGTGCCATGCGTGTGGCTCACTTAGAGCTGGCAACTTATGAGTTGGCGGCAACTGAGTCGAATCCCGAGAGCAGCCATCCTGGATACGAGGCCGCCATGGCTGACAGGCCTCAGCCAGGATGGCGGGAATCTCTAAAGATGCGGGTCAGCAAACCCTTTGGGATGCTCATGCTCTCCATTTGGATCCTGCTGTTCGTGTGCTACTACCTGTCCTACTACCTGTGCTCCGGTGAGTGCTGGCTCAGGCCAGGCAGGGAAATGCTGGGGGAGGGGGAGGGGGAGGGAGAGGGGGGCGGGGTGTGGCAACACACCGGCACCAACCATAGGCCTTCCTGCCCCTTCCTGTCCTCTCTCCTCCCAAAGGCCTTTATGGCCCTATCCTCAGCAGTCCTTACAAAGTCCTGCCCTCTCTCGCCTGGCCGCAGGAAGTCTTTCCTGCCTAAACTCACTTATAAAAGACTTTCCCTCCCCAACTTCCCCTAACAAAAGCCTTCCCTTCCTCACTTCCCGCCACAAAATAGACTAACCTCCCTTGTCGCCCCTTTTTAAAAATTGAGGACAAGGCACGGTGGCTCACATCTGTAATCCCAGCACTTTAGGAGGCTGAAGCAGGTGGATCACTTGAGGTCAGGAGTCCAAACCAGCCTGGCCAACATGGTGAAACCCTCATCCCTACTAAAAATACAAAAATTAGCCGGGCATGGTGGTGCACGCCTGTAATCCCAGTTAATCGGGAGGCTGAGGCAGGAGAATCGCTTGAATTCGGGAGGTGGAGGTTGCAGTGAGCTGGCATGGTGCCACTGCACTCCAGCCTGGTGAGAGAGCGAGACTCCGTCTAAAAAGAAAAAAAAAAAAGGACTGGGCGCAGTGCTCACGCCTGTAATCCCAATACTTTGGGAGGCCGAGGCGGGCGGATTGCCTGAGCTTAGGAGTTCAAGACTAGCCTGGGCAACAAGGTGAAACCCCGTCTCTACTAAAATACAAAAAAATTAGCTGGGCGTGGTGGCATTCACCTGTAGTCCCAGCTACTTGGGAGGCTGAGGCAGGAGAATTGCTTGAACCCGGGAGGCGGAGGTTGCAGTGAGCTGAGATCGCACCACTGCACTCCAGCCTGGGCGACAGAGCGAGACTCCGTCTCAAAAAAAAAAAAAAAAAAAAAAAGGCCGGGCGCGGTGGGTCATGCCTGTAATCCCAGCACTTTGGGAGGCGGAGGCGGGTGGATCACGAGGTCAGGAGATCGAGACCATCCTGGTTAACACGGTGAAACCCCGTCTGTACTAAAAATACAAAAAAATTAGCCAGGTGTGGTGGCAGGCGCCTGTATTCCCAGCTACTTGGGAGGCTGAGGCCGGAGAACGGCATGGACCCGGAAGGCGGAGCTTGCAGTGAGCCAAGATCGCGCCACTACACTCCAGCTTGGGCGACAGAGCGAGGCTCCATCTCAAAAAAATGAAAAAAAAATTGAAGTGAAATTCATATAACATAAATTAACTATTTTATAGTGAACAATTAAAGGGATTTCGTTCCTGTAAATGTTGTGCAACCATCACCCCATGTAGTTCCAAAATATTTTAACCACCCCAAATTAAAACCCATACCCATGAACCAGTTACTCCCAATTCCCCAGTCCATAAGGGTACTTAATTCCTTTTTATGGCTAACTAGTATTCCATTGTAGGGATATACTATATTTTTATCTAGTTTTTGAAATTTACCGAATTTGGGTTGTTTCCACTTTGGGCCTATTATGAACAATACTGCTATGAGCATTTGTGTACAAGTTGTTGTGTAGACATGTTTTGAATTCTCTAGGAGTAGAATTGCTGGGTCATATGGGAACTCCATTGATCTTTTTGAGGAAGTCCCACACTGTTTTACAAAGTGGTTGAACCGTTTTACATCTCCACTAACAATGTTTGAAGGTTTCAATTTCACCAATATATGTTATCTGTCCCCCTTGTTATACATTATAGCCATTATAGTAGGAGTGAAATAGTATCTCTTTATGGTTTTGATTTATATTTTCCTAATGCCTAATGACGTTGAGCATGTTTTATATGCTTGTTGGCCATTCGTACATCTTTGGAGAAATGTCTTTTCAATTATTTGACCATTTTTAATTGGATCGTTTGTGGTTTTGCTGTTGAGCTTTAAGAATTCTTTATATATTCTGGATACTGGATCCTTATCAGATACCTGATTTGCAAATGTTTCCTCCCATTCTGTGGGTAGTCTTTTCACTTTCTTGATAATGTCCTTTGATGTAAAAATGTTTTTAATTTTGAGAAAGTTCAATTTATCTATTTTGTCTTTGGTTGCTTGTGTTTTGGAGTCATATCTAAGAATCCGTTGCCAGATCCAAGGTCATGACGATTACTCCCATGTTTGCTTCTAAGAGTTTTACGGTTTTAACTCTCATATTCAGATTGTTGATCCATTTGGAGTTGATTTTGGCATATGGTGTATGTTAAGGGTCCAACTTCATTCTTTGGCGTGTGGATAGCCCCTCGTTCCAGCACCACTTGTTGAAGAGACGATTTTTTCCTCTTGGCAGCCTTCTGAAAAATCAGTTGATTATAGATTTATAGGTTTAGTTCTGGACTCTGAATTTTATTCTGGTCTACGTGTCTATCTCTATGCTGGTACCACATTCTTTTGATTACTGCAGCTTTATAGCAAGTTTAGAAATTGGAATGTGTGAGTCCATCATTTTCGTTCTTCTTTATCCATACTGTTTTGCGTATTCATGGCCACTAACGACTCTATATAAATTTGAGAGTCAGCTTTTCCGTTTCTGCCCCAAGCCCATTGGAATGTTGATAGAGTTGGCATTGAATCTGTAGATCACTTTGGAAGTGCTGCCATCTTAACAATATTAGGGATTCCAATCTGTGACCACCCCATGTCTTTCCATTTATTAATGTCTTCTTTAATTTATTTCAGTAATGTTTTGTAGTTTTCAGTTTACAGGTCTTTAACTTCCTTGGTTAAATTTATTTTTAGATATTTTATTCTTTTGTATGCTATTGCAAATGGAATGGTTTCCTTTTTCTTTTCATATTGTTCTTTGCTGGTGTATAGAAGCACAGCTCATTTTTACCTGTTGGTCTCGTACCCTGTAAAATTGTGAAATTAATTTATTAGCTCTAGTAAGATTTTGTGGGCTTTTTGGATATTCTAGACATAGAATCATGTTATCTGTAAATAGAGAGAGTTTTACTTTTTACTTTCCGATTTTCATGCCATTTATTTATCCTTATTGCTTAATTGCTCTTGCTAGAACTTCCAGTACAATATTGAATAGCAGTGATGAAAGCAGGCATCCATGTTTTAGAGGAAGCTTTTGGTTTTTCAACATTGATTATAATGTTAGCTGTTCATCAGCTCTTCATCATGTTAAGTAAGATTCATTCTGTTCCTAGTTTGCTGAGTGATTTTATTACGACAGGGTTTTAGATTTTGTCAGATGCTTTTTTTGCATCAATTGAGATATGAAATTGTTTCCCTTTGTGTATTATGTTGACTGATTTTCTTATGTTCAACTGTCTTTAGATTAGTGGGATGAACCCCACTTTATAGTCATTGTGTATAATCCTTATAATACGCTGTTGCATTTGGTTTGCTGGTATTTTGTAGGAGAATTTTCTATCTATATTCATAAGCGATATTGGTCTGCAGTTTTCTTGTGGTGTCTTTGCCTGCCCTTGGGATCATGTTACTACTGAACTCCTAGAATGAGTTAAGAAGTATTGTTGCTGGAAGATTTTGAGAACGATTGATGTTAATTCTTCTTTAAATATTTGGTAGAAATTACCAGTGAAGCCATCCGTTCCTAGATTTTTTTTGTTGAAACATTTTATTTTTGATTTTATTTTTACTTTAAAAAAAGTTATGGGATACATGTGCAGAACGTGCAGGTTTGTTACACAGGTATACATGTGCCATGGTGGTTTGCTGCACCTATCAACCTGTCAACTAGGTTTTAAGTGGTATTTGTCTGAATGCTCTCCCTCCCCTTTCCCCCAACCCCTCGACAGGCCCTGGTGTGTGATGCTCCCCTCCCTGTGTCCATGTCTTCTCATTGTTCAACTCCCACTTATGTGTGAGAACATGCGGTGTTTAGTTTTCTGTCCCTGTGTTAGTTTGCTGAGGATGATGGTTCCCAACTTCATCCATGTCCCTGCAAAGGACATGAACTCATTCTTTTTTATGGCTGCATAGTATTCCATGGTGTGTATGTGCCACATTTTATTTATCCAGTCTATCATTGATGGGCATTTGGGTTGGTTCCAAGTCTTTGTTATTGTAAATAGTGCTGCAATAAACATACATGTGCATGTGTCTTTATAGTAGAATGACTTATAATCCTTTGGGTATATACCCAGTAATGGGATTGCTGGGTCAAATGGTATTTCTGGTTCTAGATCCTTGAGGAATTGCCACACTGTCTTCCACAATGGTTGAACTAATTAACACTCCCACCAACAGTGTAAAAGTGTTTCTATTTCTTCACATCCTCACCAGCATCTGTTGTTTCCATACATTTTAATGATTGCCATTCTAACTGGCTTGAGATGGTATCTCATTGTGGTTTTTATTTGCATTTCTCTAATGACCAGTGATGATGAGCTTCTTTTCATATGTTTGGGGGCCTCATAAATGGCTTCTTTACAGAAGTGTCTGTTCCTATCCTACACCCACTTTTTAATGGGGTTGTTTATTTATTTCTTGTAAATTTGTTTAAGCTCCTTGTAGATTCTGGTTATTAGACCTTTGTCAGATGGATAGATTGCAAAAATTTTCTCCCATTCTATAGGTTGCCTGTTCACTCTGATGATAGTTTCTTTTGCTGAGCAGAAGCTCTTTAGTTTAATTAGATCCCATTTGTCAATTTTGGCTTTTGTTGCCATTGCTTTTGGTGTTTTAGTCATGAAGCCTTTGCCCATGCCTCTGTCCTGAATGGTATTGCCTAGATTTTCTTCTAGGGTTTTTATGGTTTTAGGTCTTATGTTTAAGTCTTTAATCCATCTTGAGTTTACTTTTGCATAAGGTGTAAGGAAGGGGTCCAGTTTCTGCTTCCTGCATATGGCTAGCCAGTTTTCCCAACACCATTTATTAAATAGGGAATCCTTTCCCCATTGCTTGTTTTTGTCAGGTTTGTCAATGATCAGATGGTTGTAGAGGTGGGGTGTTAATTCTGAGGCCTCTGTTCTGTTCCATTTTTCTATATATCTGTTTTGGTACCAGTACTATGCTGTTTTGGTTACTGTAGTCTTGTAGTATAGTTTGAAGTCAGGTAGTGTGATGCCTCCAGCTTTGTTCTTTTTGCTTAGGATTGTCTTGGTTACACGGGCTCTTTTTTGGTTCCATATGAAATTTAAAGTAGTATTTTCTAGTTCTGTGAAGAAAGCCAATGGTATCTTGATGGGAATAGCAACGAGTCTATAAATTACTTTGGGCAGTATGGCCATTTTCACGATACTGATTCTTCTTATCAATGAACATGGAATTTTTTTTCCATTTGTTTGTGTCGTCTCTTATTTCCTTGAGCAATGGTTTGTCGTTCTCCTTGAAGAGGTCCTTCATGTCCCTTGTAAGTTGTGTTCCTATGTATTTTATTTTCTTTGTAGCAATTGTGAATGGGAGTTCACTCATGATTTGGCTCTGTGCTTTTCTATTCTTGGTGTATAGGAATGCTTGTTATTTTTGCACATTGATTTTGTATCCTGAGACTTTGCTGAAGTTGTTTATCAGCTTAAGGAGTTTTGGGGCTGAGACGATGGGGTTTTCTAAATATATAAAATCATGTCATCTGCAAACAGAGACAATTTGACTTCCTCTCTTCCTATTTGAATACACTTTATTTCTTTCTCTGGCATGATTGCTTTGGCCAGAACTTCCAATACTATGTTGAATAGGAGTGGTGAGAGAGGGCATCCTTGTCTTGTGCCGGTTTTCAAAGGGAATGCTTCCAGCTTTTGCCCATTCAGTATGATGTTGGCTATGGGTTTGTCATAAATAGCTCTTATTATTTTGTGATGCTGAGAAGAATGTATATTCTGTTGATTTGGGGTAGAGTCTTCTATAGGTGTCTGTTAGGTCTGCTTGGTCCAGAGCTGAGTTCAAGTCCTGAATATCCTTGTTAATTTTCTATCTCGTTGATCTGTCTAATATTGACAGTGGGTTGTTAAAGTCTCCCACTATTATTGTGTGGGAGTCTGTCTTTTTGTAGGTCTGTAGGAATTTGTTTTATGAATCTGAGTGCTCCTGTATTGGGTGCATATGTATTTAGGATAATTAGCTCTTCTTTTTGCATTGATTCCCTTTACCATTATGTAATGCCCTTCTTTGTCTTTTTTGATTTAAATTTGTTTTATCAGAGACTAGGATTGGTTTTTTTTTTCTTTCTATTTGCTTGGTGAAATTTCTCCATCCCTTTATTTTGAGACTGTGTATGTCTTTGCATGTGAGATGGGTCTCCTGAATACAGGACACCAATGGGTCTTGGCTCTATCCAATTTGCCAGTCTCTGTATTGTAATTGGGGCATTTAGCCGATTTACATTTAAGGTTAATATTGTTATGTGTGAATTTGATCCTGTCATCATGATGCTAGCTGTTTTGCACATTAGTTGATGCAGTTTCTTCATAGTGTCATTGGTCTTTGTATTTTGGCGTGTTTTTGCAGTGGCTGGTACTGGTTTTTCCTTTCCATATTTAGTGCTTCCTTCAGGTACTCTTGTAAGGCAGGCCTGGTGGTGACAGAATCCCTTAGGATTTGCTTGTCTGTAAGGATTTTATTTCTCCTTCGCTTATGAAGCTTAGTTTGGCTGGATATGAAATTCTGGGTTGAAAATTCTTTTCTTTAAGAATATTAAATATTGGCCCCACTCTATTCTGGCTTGTAGGGTTTCTGCAGAGAGATCTGCTGTTAGTCTGATGGGCTTCCCTTTGTAGGTAACCTGACCTTTCTGTCTTGCTGCTCTTAACATTTTTTCCTTCATTTCAACCTTGGTGAGTCTGATGATTATGTGCCTTGGGGTTGCTCTTCTCGAGGAGTATCTTTGTGGTGTTCTATTTCCTGAATTTGAATGTTGGCCTGTCTTGCTAGGTTAGGGGAAGTTCTCCTGGATAACATCCTGAAGTGTGTTTTCCAACTTTGTTCCATTCTCCCCGTCACTTTCAGGGACCTCAATCAAACGTAGGTTTTGTCTTTTCACATAGTCCCATATTTCTTGGAGGCTTTTTTCATTCCTTTTCAATCTTTTTTCTCTAATCTTGTCTTCACGCCTTATTTCATTAAGTTGATCTTCAATCCCTAATATCCTTTCTTCTTCTTGATTGATTTGGCTATTGATACTTGTGTATGCTTCACGAAGTTCTCGTGCTGTGTTTTTCAGCTCCATCAGTTCATTTATGTTCTTCTCTAAACTGGTTATTCTAGTTAGCAGTTCCTGTAACCTTTTGTCAAGATTCTTAGCTTCCTTGCATTAGATTAGAACATGCTCCTTTAGCTCAGAGGAGTTTGTTATTACCCACCTTCTGAAGCCTACTTTGTCAAACCCATTCTCTATCCAGTTTTCTGCCCTTGCCGGAGAGGAGTTGTGATCATTTGGAGGCGAAGAGGCATTCTGGTTTTTGGAATTTTCAGCATTTTTGCACTGTTTTTTCCTCATTTTTGTGGATTTATCTACCTTTGATCTTTGAGGCTGAAGAACTTTGGATGGGATTTCTGTGTGGGGGTTCTTTTTGCTGATGTTGATGTTACTGCTTTCCATTTGTTAGGTTTTCTTCTAACAGTCAGGCCCCTCTGTGGCAGGTCTGCTCTAGTTTGCTGGAGGTTCACCCCAGACCCTGTTTTCCTGGTTATCACCAGTGGAGGCTGCAGAACAGCAAAGATTGCTTTCTGCTCCTTTCTCTGGAAGCTTCATCTCAGAGGGGCACCAGCCTGATGCCAGCCAGAGCTCTCCTGTATGAGGCTCCTGTCACCCCCTGTTGGGAGGTCTCTCCCAGTCAGGAGGCACAGGGGTCAGGGACCCACTTGAGGATGCAGTCTGTCCCTTAGCAGAGCTCGAGTGCTGTGCTTGTAGAACCCTCCTTGTCAGGGTCCACTGCTCTCTTCAGAAGTGGCAGGCAGGAACGTTTAAGTCTGCTGAAGCTGCGCCGACAGCCGCCCCTTTCCTCGGGTGCTCTGTCCCAGTGAGACGGGAGTTATATCTTTAAGCCCTTGACTGGGGTTGCTGCCTTTCTTTCAGAGATGCCCTGCCCAGTGAAGAGGAATCTAGAGAGGCTGTCTGGACACAGCTGTTTTGCCACACTGTGTTGAGTTCCACCCAGTCCTTAGCACAGTCAGGGGAAAGCCGCCTACTCAAGCCTCAGTAATGGTGGATGTCCCTCCCCACACCAAGCTCAATTGTCCCAGGTCGACTTCAGACTGCTGTGCTGGCAGGGAGAAATTCAAGCCAGTCATTCTTAGCTTCCTGGGCTCTGTGGGAGTTGGACCCACTGGCTTGGCTCCCTGGCTTCAGCCCCCTTTCCAGGGGAGTGAACAGTTCTGTCTCACTGGGGTTCCAGGTGCCACTGGGCTAAGAAAAAAAAAAAAAAAACAAAAGCTCCTGCAGCTAGCTCCGTGTCTGTCTGAACAGCTGCCAGTTTTGTGCTTGAAACCCAGGGCCCTGGTGGTGTAGGCACATGAGGGAATCTCCTGGTCTGTGGACTGCAAAAACCATAGAAAAAGCATAGTATCTGGGCCAGATAGCACAGTCTGTCACAGCTTCGCTTGGCTGGGAAAGGGATGCCTCTGCTCCTTGCACTTCCCAGGTAAGGCGACACCCCACCCTGCTTCTACTCACCCTCCGTGGGCTTCACCCACTGCCTAACCAGTCCCAATGAGATGAACAGGGTACCTCAGTTGGAAATGCAGAAATCACCCAACTTCTGCATTGGTCTTGCTGGGAGCTGCAGACCAGAGCTGTTCCTTTTCGGCCATCTTGCCAGCAGATGCCCCTGTTTTTGTATTTTTATATTGATATATCATAGTTGTATGTATTTTTGGGGTATATGTGATATTTTAATATGTATATACAATGTGTAGTGATCAAATCCAGGTAATTGAGATATCCATTACCTCAAAAATTTATCTTTGTGTTGGGAACATTCCAATTCTTCTCTTCTAGCTACTTTGAAATATAAAACAAATTATTATTAACTATAATTTCTCTGTTACAAGGGAGGTTTTGTTTAGTGTTTCAATCTCTTTATTTGTTATAGGTATTCTTTGAAAGGTCTTCCCTCCTTAACCTCCCTTCACAAAGTACTACATTTCCTTTCCCTTCTTTCAGAAATGACTTTCTCTCATAGGTGACTTTCCTCCCTCATCTCTCCCAAGACCTTCTTTTCAGTACCTCCATCACATGGGACTAACCTTCTTCACCACACCGCTGAAACCACTAACCTCCATCATCTCCTCTCTTAAAGCTTTTCCACCCCTAACCTCACTTGCTAACCTCCCTTACTTCACCACACATTTCCTCAATCTCCTCCCTTCACAAAAGTCTTTCCTTGCTCATTTCCCCTCATGAAAGCCTTTCTTTACTCACCTTCCATCACAGAGTCCTACCCTCCCGCATGTTCACTCACAAATGCTTTCTTTTATCTCTCTCTAAAGGCTTCCTACCACACTTCTGAAAAAGTGCTTACTTTTCTCACCTCAGTCGTGGAGGCCTTTAATTCCTCAACTCTTCACTAAAATTCCTTGTCTTCCTTCACAAAGACCTTTCTCCCTCATCTCCTCTCACAAGGGCCTTTCTTCTTTCACCTCCCTCATGAAATAATAACCTCCTTCATCTCCTCTTCATAGTCCTTTCTTATCTCACCAGTACATTCCCTGCCTCACCTTTGCTTATATAGTTCCAACCTCCCTTATCTCTCCTCACAAAGGTATACCCTCCATCTTCTCCTCTACCAAAATCTTCTTTCCATGCTCTCCCCTAACAAAATTCTAACCTCTTTCACCTCCCCTCACAAAGACCTAATCTTCTTTCATGGTTACCTTTCCTGCTTTCTTTACCTTCACAATTGACTTCCTTCCCTGCTCAAAGGCCTCCTTCCCTCAAGTCCCCTCACAAAACCCTAACTTTCTCACCTCCTTTCCCAAAAAACTTCCTTCCTTCACTTATCATCACAAAGGCCTTCCTTCTTTTTTTTTTTTTTTTTAATTTATTTTTTTATTGATAATTCTTGGGTGTTTCTCACAGAGGGGGATTTGGCAGGGTCATGGGACAATAGTGGAGGGAAGGTCAGCAGATAAACAAGTGAACAAAGGTCTCTGGTTTTCCTAGGCAGAGGACCCTGCGGCCTTCAGCAGTGTTTGTGTCCCTGATTACTTGAGATTAGGGATTGGTGATGACTCTTAACGAGCATGCTGCCTTCAAGCATCTGTTTAACAAAGCACATCTTGCACCGCCCTTAATCCATTTAACCCTGAGTGGACACAGCACATGTTTCAGAGAGCACAGGGTTGGGGGCAAGGTCACAGATCAACAGGATCCCAAGGCAGAGGAATTTCTCCCAGTGCAGAACAAAATGAAAAGTCTCCCATGTCTACTTCCTTCCACACAGACACGGCAACTATCTGACTTCTCAATCCCTTCCCCACCTTTCCCGCCTTTCTACTCCACAAAGCTGCCATTGTCATCCCGTCCCGTTCTCAATGAGCTGTTGGGCACACCTCCCAGACGGGGTGGTGGCCGGGCAGAGGGGCTCCTCACTTCCCAGTAGGGGTGGCTGGGCAGAGGCGCCCCTCACCTCCCGGACGGGGCGGCTGGCCGGGCAGGGGGGCTGACCCCCCCCACCTCCCTCCCAGAGGGGGCGGCTGGCCGGGCAGGGGGCTGACCCCCCACCTCCCTCCCGGACGGGGCGGCTGGCTGGGCAGAGGGGCTCCTCACTTCCCAGTAGGGGCCGCCGGGCAGAGGCACCCCTCACCTCCCAGACGGGGCGGCTGGCCGGGCGGAGTGCTGACCCCCCCACCTCCCTCCCGGACGGGGCAGCTGGCCGGGCGGGGGGCTGACCCCCCCCACCTCCCTCCCGGACGGGGTGGCTGCCGGGCGGAGACGCTCCTCACTTCCCAGATGGGGTGGCTGCCGGGCGGAGAGGCTCCTCACTTCTCAGACGGGGCAGCTGCCGGGCGGAGGGGCTCCTCACTTCTCAGACGGGGTGGTTGCCAGGCAGAGGGTCTCCTCACTTCTCAGACGGGGCGGCCGGGCAGAGACGCTCCTCACCTCCCAGACAGGGTCTCGGCCGGGCAGAGGCGCTCCTCACATCCCAGATGGGGTGGCGGGGCAGAGGCGCTCCCCACATCTCAGATGATGGGTGGCCGGGCAGAGACGCTCCTCACTTCCTAGATGTGATGGCGGCTGGGAAGAGGCGCTCCTCACTTCCTAGATGGGATGGCGGCCGGGCGGAGATGCTCCTCACTTTCCAGGCTGGGCAGCCAGGCAGAGGGGCTCCTCACATCCCAGACAATGGGCGGCCAGGCAGAGACACTCCTCACTTCCCAGACGGGGTGGCGGCCGGGCAGAGGCTGCAATCTCGGCACTTTGGGAGGCCAAGGCAGGCGGCTGGGAGGTGTAGGTTGTAGTGAGCCGAGATCACGCCACTGCACTCCAGCCTGGGCACCATTGAGCACTGAGTGAACGAGACTCCGTCTGCAATTCCGGCACCTCGGGAGGCCGAGGTTGGCGGATCACTCGCGGCCAGGGGCTGGAGACCGGCCCGGCCAACACAGCGAAACCCCGTCTCCACCAAAACCAGTCAGGCGTGGCGGCGCGTGCCTGCAATCGCAGGCATTCGGCAGACTGAGGCAGGAGAATCAGGCAGGGAGGTTGCAGTGAGCCGAGATGGCAGCAGTACAGTCCAGCTTCGGTTCCGCATGAGAGGGAGACCGTGGGGAGAGGGAGAGGGAGAGGGGCCTTCCTTCTTTTACCCTCACAAATGCCTTCCCTCCTTCATCACCATTCCAAAAGTTTTTCTTGTCCTTCAATCAAGGTCCTTTCATTTCTCACCTCCCCACAATGACTTTCCTTTGCTCACTTCACAGGCCTTTTCTCAAAAGCTTTTCATTCCTTATCTCACAGAGCCCTTTTCTCCTCTCTTAAAGTCTTCAGTCCCTTACTTCCCTTCTTTTACCTTATATCATCCTCTCCCTCTCTAAGCTACCTTCACTAAGGCCTTCCCCTCTCCCTCAAATTCCTTCTCTTACCTCTTTATTTACCCTCCTCCAGGCCTTCACTCACTCCCTCTCAGAAGCCTACTTTCAGCTCTCCAAAAGTTCTTCTCCCCACTCAGGTTTTCCTTCCTTCACCACCCAAAGGTACTTTCCACTTCTTCCCCAAAAGCCTTCTTTTCTTCCTTCCACTTAATGGTCTTTCTGCCTCACTTGCTTCACTCAAAGTCTTTCCCTCCTCCTCCAGATTCTCCCAACCTGAACTGCTTTTCCTTTTCCTACAACCTTCTTTCCTTCCATAACCTTCCTAAGTCTCAGATGGTTTTCTCAAAACAGCTTTCTCAATATTACCCATAATGGCGTGCCTTTTCTCCCAACCCCCTCACAAACGTATTTTATGTTCTCATCTGCACAAAGGCCTTAGATTTCCCACAGTCTCCTGCCTTTGAGCTCCAGACCCAAGCCCAAAGACTTCAGCATCCCCACCTCTAATCCCAAGGGCTTCTTTCTCCCTGCTCTCCCTAGAGGTTTTCCGTCTTCTCAACCAAGGTCCACCCACAGTCAAAGAGGGAGGCAAAGATTGGGCAGTGGCATCACAACTAAAAAGAATAGAGACTTCTATACACTATGTCACAACTACATGGGTTTCTAGGTTTTTGTGAGGAATGAAATTCATAATTAAATAAAGTATATGCTGTTTTATCAATTATTTGAAATAAGTTAGAAAATATGATTTCTGTTCTTTGAAAAAATGTTAAGATATTTTTAATGATCATTTACAAATCATAATATTACTACAAATTATTCAGGTTTATTTCTACTATTTATCTAAAACACCAAAGTATTTCTGAATTACTGTATTTGTAATAGTACAATACTAAAAGTCTTCTTATCCTCTAAAAAAGTAAGCTGAAAAACAAAACTATAAATTGTGTATTTTTTCTTAGTCAGCGAGTTCTTCATTTTCTATTTCTATTTTGAGTAGAACTCCCACACAAAAAAGAATACTGTCTAATTCAGTGTGATTTCTTTATTTCCAGGAGTACTTTTTCCATTATAGGTCTAACATGTTTTCTCCTAAAATAATCTATGATTCATTCTTTACATTGTTAGATTTCCCAGATTCTCAGGAGGTAATATGTGACTGTATGAATTAAATTTAATTTGCATTTAAAATTATTTCACTTAATTAACATAACAAAATGCACTTGTTATGGGTTGAATTGTGTTCCCTCACCAAAAACAGTTGCAATTATAACCCCAATACCTTATTTGTGATCTTGTTTGGAGATAAGGTCTTCATAGAGATAATCAAGTTAAAATGAGGTCATCTGAAGTGTATTTTAATCCACTATGAATGGTGTCCTTATAAAAAGGGGAAACTTGGATGCAGAGACAGACACCCATACAGGAAAGACTATTTCAACCTGCAAGCCAAGGAGAGGCGTTTCCTCACAATCCTCAGAAGGAACCAGCCCTACTAACACCTTGGTTTTGGACTTCTAGCCTCCAGAGGTGTGAGACAATAAATTTCTGTTTTAAGCCACCCAGTTTATGGTATGTTGTTACAACAGCCCTAGGAAACTAATATACATCAGAAGGTAAAATAATTGTCCATGGTCCTGTAGAATTATGGCAAAAGCAAAACATATGGTTCTGACATTAAAATTCCCTTTCTCATTTCTAGACGGACCCTAGTGAGTTCTCTTAGATTTAATGGTACTGACAGGAATTGAAGTTGAGTGACCTGAGGTAACTCTGGGATATACCTCCAGTTTGTATTGTCATTTGCATTCCCAAGCCACATTGCCTTTCAAGTTATATTTATGCAGAAGACGTACAGACCAGTGGCATACAGGATAAGGAGAGAAGCAAACTGTGGACTGGGAGTTTGATTCCACCAATAATCTGTAACCTATTCAGTCAGTCCTAATTGCTCATCCTTTTCAGGGAAATTTAAAAAATGAGAAATAAAGATGGACTAGTAGGTAATATTTTCAAATTGCCTTAGCTGCATGGACAGATCTCAGTAACTAGTTTCTGTATCATTATATTAGAATACTTTATTTATCTGATATCCTTGGGGAGTGAATGAGGCATTACACATAGAAAGTCTGGCTGCCTGCCGTGTACCTAATTGAGCACGAGGCTAGCTTTTGCTTTAACCCTGTGTACGTGTGGTGTAGTTGGAGGAGCCCTAAGCTAGGAATCAAGAGATCTAGGTTGCCCTGATTGTTCACACTAACTTGCTGTGTGACCATTGATGAGTCATTTTACCTCTTTAGGCTTCAGTTATCTTATCGAAAAAATGAAGAAATTTCACTAGGTGGGCATTTTTCCTGTTCAGTCAAAATGCTTGGTTATCTTAATGATACCAGTCATTCATATTTTCCTTTAAGCTACCTTACTTTTTTACATTAATATATTTATTTAAAAAGGGAACTGTACCATAGTTATAAATGGAAAGTTGACCATATTTGCTATTAAGAAAGTTATTAATAAAAATAAATATCCTGAAAACAAGTAATGATATTAAATTTAAAATTGTAAGCAATAAAAATAAACGATGAAAGACATGTAACAAACTGTTTTGCATTGTATTAAGCCCTTCACATGTGACTTCATTTAATCCTCATAACACTTCAAAATAAATATCACCATTTTGCAGATGAGTAAACTGAGGCAACGAGAAGTTTACTGACATGCTCAAGTTCACCACCTAGTATGTGGCAGAGTCAGGATACAAACTCAGGTCTGTTTGAGGCCAACACCCAGAAAGATAGTGGCATAGGTAGACCCTCAACTTGAAGCCTCAGTAAAATCCTTTAGAAACTGATACAGTTAGCCACTGCTCTTTCTGTCTCCTCACCCTGTCATTCAGTTTCTCATCTATTAGACCTCACACCACAGCGGGGATGGGGGGGGCGGGGGCAACATAATTTGTAAAATGAAAATACAAGATCTCTCATTTAAAATTCATGGTTTTCAAAATGGCGATAGCAAAACATTAAACCAAGCATGGAGCTCCCCAAGTGTGGGGCCCTGTTTGACTGCACAAGTCACATATAGATGAAGCTCTCTGTCTGCACTGAGTCTGGTGTTTCTTTTCCGTTGAAATGTAGTTAGATTTTTAGTCTTTTATTTGTAACAGGGAAATTAAAAAATAAAAAATTCTTTGTGACAAGGAAACATAATTCGTTCTTTAATATTTTCTGCTACCAATTTAAAAGGCTGACTCCTAATCTTTTATTTGCTGAACATGCTAATGAGTGTAAAGATGCAAATTAGAGGCAAAGAGGATGACATTATTCTTCATATGAAAAATAATGGAGGAGGGGAAAAAGGCTGGAGGCTGTTTGGGTAGAGAGGAAGACCTGAGAAAAAGGCTTGTGTGCTAGCTGGTGGGAGACTTTGGAGAGAGTTAAAGAGGAAAAGGAGGCAATTGTCCCAGGGAAGAAAGAGCAGGGACAAAAGTTTATAAAGCCTAAGCAAAAAGAACAAAGCTGGAGGCATCACACTACCTGACTTCAAACTATACTACAAGGCTATAGTAACCAAAACAGCATGGTACTGGTACCAAAACAGACATACAGACCAATGGAGAAGAACAGAGGCCTCAGAAATAATGCCACACATCTACAACCATCTGATCTTTGACAAACCTGTCAAATACAAGCAATGGGGAAAGGATTTCCTATTTAATAAAGGGTATTGGAAAAACTGGCTAGCCATATGCAGGAAACAGAAATTGGACCCCTTCCTTATACCTTATACAAAAACTAACTCAAGATGGATTAAACACTTATGTGTAAGACCTAAAACCATAAAAACCCTAGAAGAAAACCTAGACAGTTCCATTCAGGACAATGGCATGGGCAAAGACTTCATGACTAAAACACCAAAAGCAATGGCAACAAAAGCCAAAATTGACAAATGGGATCTAATTAAACTAAAGAGCTTCTACTCAGTAAAAGAAACTATCATCGGAGTGAACTGGCAACCTATAGAATGGGAGAAAATTTTTGCAATCTATCCATCTGACAAAAGGCTAATATCCAGAATCTACAAGGAGCTTAAACAAATTTACAAGAGAAAAAAAAACCATCAAAAAGTGGGCAAAGGATATGAACAGACACTTCTCAAAAGAAGACATTTATGAGGCCAAAAAACATATGAAAAAAAACTCATCATCACTGGTCATTAGAGAAATGCAAATAAAAACCACAATGAGATACCATCTCTCGCCTGTTAGAATGGCAATCATTAAAATGTGTGGAAACAACAGATGATGGAGAGGATGTGGAGAAACAGGAACGCTTTTACACTGTTGATGGGAGTATAAATTAGTTCAACCATTGTGGAAGACAGTGTGGCAATTCCTCAAGTATCTAGAACCAGAAATACCATTTGACCTAGCAATCCCATTACTGGGTATATACCCAAAGGATTATAAATCATTCTAGTATAAAGACACATGCACACGTATGTTTATTGCAGCACTATTTACAATAGCAAAGACTTGGAACCAACCCAAATGCCCATCAATGATAGACTGGATAAAGAAAATATGGCACATATACATCATGGAATACTATGCAGCCATAAAAAAGAATGAGTTCATGTCCTTTGCAGGGACATGGATGAGGCTTGAAACCATCATTCTCAGCAAACTAACACAGGGACAGAAAACTAAACACCGCATGTTCTCACACATAAGTGGGAGTTGAACAATGAGAACATATGGACACAGGGAGAGGAACATCACACACCAGGGCCTGTCAGGGGGTGGGGGGCTAGAGGAGGGAGAGCATTAGGAGAAATACCTAATGTAGATGACGGGTTGATGGGTGCAGCAAACCACCATGGCCCATGTATACCTATGTAACAAACCTGCACATTCTGCACATGTATCCCAGAACTCAAAGTATCAAAAAAGACAAAGTTTATAAAGATTTGCCCTATGGCAAGTGATGTCAGCCGTGTTTGGTGTCATGGTAGGTTTGATATGTTACTCATTTTTTTCTTTTACACTTTCAAATAAACTCATAGCAAACATTAATATATCCATAAATATTCATCTATGTTCCACCTAAAATTCTTATGTACTACTAGTGATAGACTACACTTTGAGACATACTGCTCAAATTAATTTAAAAATAATTTTCTTTCAGAGTACGGAAGAAACCAAAGGTGGAGGGCAGGGTAAAATATATTCTAGACTTATGGTTGAGACTGCCACTGATGTTGCTCATCTTAGTTAAGATGTTTAATTGTCGCTTTCATTTCAATGCCCATTGTAATGACCGAAAGATCTATAAAGGGTGAAAACCTGGAGAACCTAGAAAGTTTCCATCTGGCATCTATATGCCAGAAACTTGGAGGGTTCTCTGAAAGATAAAAACATGATGGAGAGAAATCACAGCAACTTGTGTTTCATGTCAAGCCAAGGGCAAGCCTGTCCAGCAGGGTCTGGAGGCTAGGGCACTCTGAGTTGGGGACTCTAAGTTGGGGGATCAATATTCTAGAGGAATTCCAGAGAGCACATAACTTGCTGAATATAACTTAGGATGGAGACTTGGGCCTCAGTGTGCTACTGTCAGCCAACACTTACTTCAGATGGTGTGCTGAATCGAGTGGCAACAAGGACAGCAAATTGACGAAGGGGAACACTGAGCAAACAAACAGCAATATGGAACTAAAGTCTTGTCAAGGTCCCTTCCATCTGTAGCTCCCTTCTCATGTCATGTAGGACAGAGGGTTCTCTGATCTGGCAAAATGTGCCTAGCAACATTAATCTCATTTCTTGTCCTTGTGCTGGAAGCACTCTCCCAGGCCCTTTGTTCAGCCAGCTACTTCTAGTCTTTTTTTTTTTTCCACTTAAATATCATCTCCTCAGAGAGACTGGCTCCCATTTAAAGTAGCCCCCCTCCTTTATTCTGTATCAGTATCCACTTTTCTTCATAGCACTCATTACAATTTGTAATTACTTAATTTGTTAGTGGTCTGTCTTCTCCACTGCATTGTAGTAAGCTCCATGAGGGCAGGGATCTTGTCTGACTTGTTCACTGATATATCCTCAAAACACAGAATATAGTGGGTGTTCAATAATGAGTAAGCATTAGTAGAAAACAAGCAGGACAAAATGGATTATGTTTAATATTGTCAAGGTGTAATATATAGTGAAGATAAAATTGTCATGATTGAATATGCACTATTGGAATATATGAAACAAATAGTTTTAGAAATTTAAGTAGAAATCGTCAAAACCACAATCATGGTGAGATACTTTAATATTTATCTTTTAGTCCTTGACAGAAAAATAAAGATACAGAGCATTTGCATAATATAATTTAGCTTGATTTAACATTTATAATAGAGTTCATTGTGAGAGTACACATTCAAATGTATGTGTATGGAAGTTGCTCTCATTAAAATGAGAAAGAAGATATTATCATTGATATAAAGGAGATTTAAATATTACAAGTGAATAGTCTTATGATTCCATGCTAATAATTGCTTTGTAAATAGATGATTTCCTAGCAAAATAAAAATAACAAAATTAACTGTGACCATGAAGAAGCAAAAGATAAAGAACTACCCCTCTCCAAAAAATGAAGACTCAGACTTTTTCTGGATGAGTTTTCCCAAACCTTTAATGGATCAAATCATTCCTATATTGTTTCATCTGTTTTAGTCTAGAAAAGCAACAGGAAGCTTCCTAGGTTATTTTATGAATGAAACAGGTATAACTCTTATGCCAAAATTTACAGATGTAGCACACAAAAGAAAACTGCAGACACACTTCACTTAGGAATGTTGAATCATGAATCCTATATAAAACATTAGCACTTGTGGACTTTGTTCAAGAATGCAAGAATATTTTAATATTGGCAAATATATTAATAACATTCAATAATTAATAGGCAGGGGGAAATATCATCATGGCAGTAAATATTAAAAGGATTTGATAGAATCCCAGTTCTATCCCTGATTCAAAATGAAACAAAATAACAACAGAAAATTTGTAGAAAACTAAAACTAGAGAAATACATCCTTAATTTAATAAAGGGTATCTATCTTACACCAGCAGCCAACATTATACTTCATTATGAAATATTAGCACATTCCCATTAAAGTCAGGAATGACTCAAGAACGCCCATTATTATGGTTATTAATCAACATAGTTTAAACATTTCTAGGCAATACAGTGAAAGAAGAAAAATAATTCAGGTGTTAATATTGTAAAGAAAGGAGACAAAGTCATCTATATTTAGTGATAATATTATTGTCTATCTGGAATGAAACTGAAGAACAATGAGAACTAACGAGAGTTAACTAAGGGAGGAAGAAAATATATGTATAAAAATCAATAGCTCTCTTACATACCATCAATCCACTAGAAAATGTGGTGAAATGGATTATGTTCACAAAACAACAAAATATATATGATGCCTGGGAATAAATGTACTAAGAAAAGTGCAGGGCCTATCTGAATACAATGATAAACCTTATTCAGGGACATAAAAAGAGACTTGAATGAACAGAGAAACAAAACTACTTAGGTGAAAAAATTTTGTAACATTATCAATTCTCTCCAAATGAGTCTACATTTAATTGAATTCATGCCTAGCACGTGGGACACACAATAAATGATTTTTGAATGAATGATAAATAAGTGAACATAATTACCATAAAATTTAGAATTTTTTTTGACTTGACAAAACGATTTTAAGGTTCATCTAAAAAATTCTCAGAGCTGAAAATAAAATTTGATAGTAGAGACAATGAAAGGATTACCAGATCAGTTATTAAAACATAATGACATAAGATAGGCCGGGTGCAGTGGCTTACGGAGGCCTAGACAGGTGGATCACGATACCAGCCTGGGAAACATGGTGAAACCCCGTCTCTACTAAAAATACAAAAATTAGTTGAGCGTGATGGTGCATGCCTGTAATCTCAGCTACTCGGGAGGCCAAGGCACAAGAATCACTTGAACCAGGAAGGCGGAGGTTGCAGTGAGCTGAGATTGCGCCATTGCACTCCAGCCTGGGCAACAGAGCGATACTCTGTCTCAAAAAAAAAATAAAAGAAAAGATAAAATAAACAATAACATTAGTATTGGCACATGAATAGATAGGTTGGTGGAACAGAATAGAAAGTCAAGAAGCAGATCTATGACTATAAGGATATAGTAAGGATTTAGAATGTGATGATGTTATCTTAAGTATAACAGAAAAGGATGGATTTAATAAAGGGCCTTATGACTGCTGGAAAAATCGTATCCCTACTCCACAACACACTCCAAAATATACTCCAGGTGTATTAAATATTTAAATTTAAAAAGTACAACCATGAAAATGTTGGGAGTATTAGAGTATAGAATGCCTTTATAGAGGTAAAAATAATAAAGGAAGAGATTGATAGATTTAATTACATATAACATTTTAAGCTTCTGAGCTTCCCAAACACCATAAAAAAGTAAGGATAACCAATTACCTTGAAAAAAATATTTTAAATATGTGGCAGATTAAGAGTTAAGTTCTCTACTATGCAACACAATATGAAATATGTAAGCTCACTGATTATGAAAGTTGCAAATTAAAACAAAAGATATTTTGTTTTATTTTGGCCATCAAATTGGCAAATAATAAAAAATGGAGAGGTGTCAGAAAACTGGCACTTGCCTGTACTACTGGTAGAAGTGTATTTTAGGGTTGCCCTGCTGGAGGGTAATTTGGACATACTCAAGAGCCACCATGCCTTAAGAATTTATCTTAAGTAATTTTTCATGAATATTTGCAAATATATAAATATAAAGCTTCAGTGATAATCATTGCAAGCTAACGATAATGTAATGATAATCATTGCAGTGTTCTTTATAACATCAATAAATTGTAAACAGCCTAAATGTTTTCCTATGGAGAAATTGCTAACTGAGTTATAATAGAGCCATATAATGGAATTCTGTGACATTATTAAAGATAGTTTTGGGAAATATTTAATGCTATGGACAAATCTGTGTTATCCTCTTCTCTCATGTAGGAGGGAATTGTGTAAATAAGACTAAAAACCAGTTCTTTAAAATAGTGAGAAAGAAGGATAAGGAAGGTTTTACTGTATGTAAGGCCTTGATTTTTGTCAATATATATGTAAGCCAACATATTTTCCAAGACTTTCTGTGATGGGATCTGATTTAGTTGGAATACATACTGTTTTCAGCTCATCAGTTGATTAGGCCTCTTAATGCCATTTGTCAGAGGCAAGTTTACTATTGTAAATCAGCTTACAACAATGGCATGTGTCAGCCTATAGCTTAAGCATTTGTAAATTTAACACTTTTTCAGTTTCACAACAAAATTGCATTCTGATTATTAATGATGCTTAAGCTGTTATGAGATGAAAGTATATCTGTTAGCTATTTGACATTCTATAATTAATTTAAGCAAAGGTAATTACCATTCAAGGGTCATTGAAAGTGATAAATGCTTTATATGTTGGGATTAATAATTTTACTTCTTCTTAAGGGTCCTCATATTTTGTGCTTGCAAATGGACATATCCTGCCCAACAGTGAAAATGCTCATGGCCAATCTCTGGAAGAAGATTCCGCATTGGAAGCTTTGCTGAATTTTTTCTTTCCAACAAGTAAGTTCTTGTTTGATTTTTTTCCCCCTCTAATGTTCTTGTTTTGAAAACAGTAATTAAATGTTTAGGAAGCAGTGTGGTGTAATGGCACTGGAGTGGGACAGAGCTGAGTTTGAATCCTGGCTCTGCTCTTTGGCTTAGGCAAGACAATCTCTCTGAACCTCAGTGCCCTCATCTTTGAAATGAAGATATTTACCACAAAGAATTATGAGGATGAACTGAGATAATATTCATAAGGCATTTCATAAATGTTTGTTACTGTTTATAAAATACTTTTCCTTCGCAAATATCTAATCTTTCACAATTTGCCTGAATGGCATTGCCTGAAATTCAGTCACTGACCCAGTATTGTGAAATTGATGTCTTCTGTGGCATTAGTGAGGGTACTGTGTGACTGATGTTATGGAATATGCCAGATGTTTTCCCATCTGTTTTAATGATAGAAATCCCAGGTTTCAAGTCTCACTGTCTTTTTGTGATTCTGTATATAATGTGTTTATCAAGCACATTATGACCCCTGAGAATTATTAACCACAAATAAACACGTTTCATTTTGTATAGCATGTGGTGCCCTTTCAAGGAGAAGCTTCATATAAATTGGAATATGTGAAGTACAAAGATAAAGCTCTTATGAAAAATCATGCAGAATTTATTCTAACAAAATTTGATATACTCTATAAGCACAAAATTATATCTGTTCTTTGATTCCAGGCCTTTCCACTGAATTCTTTAGTGAACTTGAAAAAATCTCTTTATGTTTCTTTATACTTGTTACATTAAGTTTAAAACAGGCATCTACCAATGAGAATAGCAAAATAAACAAGTTCCTTAAATAAACTCAAAATACTGCCATGGTCAAATTGAGTAAATAAAAAAGAAATCTGAGACGGTGTTATGTCGTATAGGCTGAAAGAATGGTTTGAGTGCCACAGTTAGTCGTAAACAACAACTAATGATGATTTAAGCTTTAAAGCTTATGAAAACAACAGATGTAAACAGTCACATACTTACCTGTAATAACTACATTGTACAGACACTGAAGCCACCTGTAAAAATGGTTCGAAAAAGATATCTGCATTTCCCAAATATTTCTCCAACCTGGTGCAGGAAAGTAAGTCAAAATCAATTATATGAAGTAAAAATTTTGTCCAACAAAATAAAATTGTTCCATTTTAATAGAAACATCTGACCTAGGTTGATTCAAAAAGTGATTAAATATTTATCAAATGTACATACTGTCTTTGAAGACAATAACTACAGCTTCATAAAACGTGAAATATTTTTAACCAATTTATTTCTTCCCCCACATAATTGAAAATAAACACTCTTACCACTTAAGCATGAAAAAAAAGTTCGTTGTTTTGCCATTAGGCTACTATTTGTAAAATATTTATCTCTTGCAGATTAAAATGACAACCTTGATACACACTGGCAGGGAAGCTTGAGAGATCACCTGATCTTTCTCCCTTTGGACAAAATTACATACTTAAACCTGACAAAAAAAAATTGTTCTACCTTTTTGATTCTTTAAAATTACCAATGCCTCTTAGTAATTTGAGCTTGAAAGTTAATTTGTTTTTGTTTTTTTGAGACAGAGTCTCGCTCTGTTGCCAGGCTGGAGTGCAGTGGCACAATCTCGGCTCACTGCAACCTCTGCTTCCCAGGTTCAAGCAATTCTCCTACCTCAGCCTCCTGAGTAGCTGGGACTACAGGCACATGCCACCACGCCCAGCTAATTTTTGTATTTTTAGTAGAGACAGGTTTTCACCATGTTGGCCAGGACGGTCTCGATCTCTTGACCTCGTGATCCGCCCGCCTTGGGCTCCCAAAGTGCTGGGATTACAGGCACTAGCCATCGTGCCTGGCCTGTGTTAATTTTAATATCTAGCATAAAGTCCATCAGATGCACTTAAAGCAGAAATTAACAGATGATCTTAGAGATCATATAGTCTAGTCTCTTCTACGATTTAACCCTAACCCTAACCCTCTCTTTAGCATTTCTGGGAAGTGGTGTTTGAACAGTACCCATGGTGAGAAACTCAGCATGCAAGGAAATCCATCCCATCTCTGAGTAGTCCTGACTATTGTCACCATTTTCTGGGTGTTTGACACCCAGAACTGAACACTTGATGCAATCCAACCTAGGGGAGAAGAGCCGCTCTGGGCCTAGCAGAATTGAAGAACAGATTACTTAGAATATAGAACAACAAGTAGGATAAACTCTCATGTCTAAAATGTTTGGAAAATGAGTGTCTAGGCCAGTTGGTAGTGCATTAAATTTTTGATCTTGCATAAGTTACTTTGATCCTTTATTATTTTTAAAACAGAGATTGTAAAACTCAATTTGGGAGTTTGTTGCAAAGATTAGTAATAAAGTGTGTAAAGCAAGGTTCCTGGCCCAAACAGGTGCCTAAATAATGGTAGATATTATTATTTTTACCTTGGCTTCAGCAATTGCCAATCTTTAAAAAAGAGGAATGTAGTAAAATATACTGAGGTTAAAATTTGCATAAAACAATTACGTTGTTCTTTGCTGATGTTGAAGTGCTTTAGTGATTATAAAATATCAGTTACTACTTTTAAGTTTGTAATTGTTGATAGTATAAGAGATTGAACCGAATCTATTCTGGCCTTAACACATAGACATACTGTGGAGGTTTTTCTTTTTGAATGAAAATCTAATATTGTGCTTTTTAGTTTGTATTTGTTTCTCTTATAAAGCAGGATATTATAGAAAATAAGCTATTTGAGCTTGCAGGTCTTTTAGATTCAGGTATGTACGAATTTATTGCAGTTGCATAATCTTGGTGTTAATGCCATAAATCATTGCCTGTTTAAAATTATAGAGTCATAATTTAAGGGTGAAACGAAGAATCTTAAAATATATTATAGTGCCAATATGATAAGTGTTCACAAAAAGTAGGTCAATGCCAGTGTATCACTTACTTTAGTCACTAGCAGCAAACTATGTAATTTTTACTTAGTTCTGTGGCTTAGTAACGTTAAGCCGGAGGATATATGTGGGATCATTTTAACAAGGGATTAGTTTTAAAAGCATTTGACTTGTTGTTATTTAGTTCCTTCTGTGTTATATTTGCATCATCACCACTCAGCACATGATTTATTGTCCTTTTAAACTATCTTACCAAAGATTTTTTAACAACTTGTAATTTTCTGCAATTCACCTAGATTTGAAAATGTGATATTAAATAACTTAGTGGTAACTTTTAGCTTAAGTCTTATTTTCTTTTAGCACCCATCATTAGCTGTATATGCCATTAAATGTTTGCTTTTCTTCTTTGTCTTCCAGTAATTATTTAATTAGGGAAAGTGGTAACTAACCATGCTGAATTCTCTTTCTTAAATTTCTGTTTTTAAAAGCTTGCAATCTGAGGGAAAATCAGGTGGCAAAGCCTTGTAATGAGCTGCAAGATCTTAGTGAGAGTGAATGTTTGAGACACAAATGCTGTTTTTCATCATCGGGGACCACGAGCTTCAAATGTTTTGCTCCATTTAGAGATGGTAAGTTATTCCTCTTTCATTTATTTCTATTTTTTAATATTAAATAAACAGATCGCAGTGGCATAAGTTCATATTTGGATTTCCTAGCTTAATACTTAAATGGGACTCCCAGTCCTAGAGCGGTGCTCCTTAGAAGGTCCTGAGGTGGTCATGACTCTGGTCAGGAGCAGTTTTTGCTTAGCCTTTGGATGGTGACTTTGGTAATACAAAAATTAGTCTCACATTTTCTTTTGCTTTAGTCACTCTCTGTGTTTTGTCCAAAAGTTTCCAGGCTCTATGGAACCCTCAATGGCTGAGAGAAGATACCGGTTGGGCATGCCTTAGCTTACTTCTCTTTGCCCAGCTTTTCCTCCTAGGTAGAATTCTTCCCATTTGTCTTGTCTTCATCTCAGTATGTAACAGTAGACTTGAATGTTTCTTGTTAAGGTCTGCTTATTAGTTTTTCTTTATTGGGTATTTTTTGAGATAGCATCTCACTCTGTTACCCAGGCTGGAGTACAGTGGTGACGTGATCACAGCTGACTGCAGCCTCGACATCCGGGGCTCAAGTGATCCACCCGCCTCAGCTTCCTGAGTAGTTGGGACTACAGACGTGCACCAGCAAGCCCGACTAATTTTTAGTTTTTTTGTAGAGACAAGGTCTCCCTAGGCTTCCCAGGCTGGTCTCCAACTCTTGGGTTCCAGCAGTTCTTCTGCCTCGGCCTCCCAAAGTGCTGGAATTTATAGGTGTGAGCCACCACACCGAGTCTTGTTCTATAGTTTTTGAATTAGGTTCTTCTGAATATTTTTTTCTTTACAAAGTTTTGAGAACTACACCATCTGTTTTTGCTACCTTCATTTGGATATTGGGGATGTATTTCCAGTTGCTCTCATGATGCATGGATTTGATATGATGAAACACTAATACTACAAAAAGGATGCATGCAAAATAATATCTTAAGTTAATATAGTCCCTATTCAATTTACGGCTTTTTGTTGAATATGTAGTATTAATACTGGAAACTAAAACCTGATCGTGAATATAATATTACAATTTTAACACTGTCACATGTTATTTGTAATTCATTTATCAGTTTGGTCTTTATATTATGTATGAAGCAACATTTGGTTCTTGCAGAGGAAAAAATTTAACTGTGACTTACAATTCCCCAATCACATTAGAATGCATTTTCCGATGAATATAAGACTAAAATATGCTTATTTCACCTGCACATTCTTGATTCCTTGTTTAATTTAATATTTTGTAATTTGGAAGTAAACCTGCAGCATCTGGTTATTCCCAGTCTCCCATCCAAGCACTAACCAGGCTAGACCTTGCTTAGCTCACAAGATCAGATGAGATGGGGCACATTCAGGATGGTGTGACCATAGATTAAGAAGCTATTTATTTACCAAGTTAACGGTTCATAGATTAATGTGCTCCCCAAGTGCTCTAGGATATACAACATATGGCCAAGAGAAAAAGCCAATTTAGGGCCAGAGGAAGAAATATCGTATGCATCATAGTAATCAATGATGGTACAAAAAATAGGATCATTTTGTTAAGGCTTCATTAAGGGGTACATATTGAAAGTGTAGCCTTCAGTTGTATTTCAAGAACATTTCATGAACTCCTGTTCCTTATAAAGTAGCAAGGATATTTACCTGTCACATAAGAATACCTCCTCATTTCACTTTATTAACTGATAGTTTCTTTATAAAGACTTTATGAAAGAACTTGGATTTACTTCTCTTGCTTAAGTCATGAAAGTAACAGGATATAATTAAACCAACAGTGCCTAAACAGATGATGCAAATGTTTGGGCTTGGTGCGATCAGCCTTATCCTGGTATGTCTGCCCATTTATTGCCGCTCTCTTTTCTGGAGGAGGTAGGTGAACATAAACTTTTATTTGCTCGTTGCTAAGTATACATGAGTATTTGTGTATAGACATATTTATTAATACACTTCAGAAATACAGGGATTATGTTTGGGTTCTTTATGTTGAAAATATGGTAGCTTGGGAAAGACCTAAAACTAGAGTTGCCATAATATGTTTTTAAAATGCATGTTATCGGCCAGGCACGGTGGCTCACGCCTGTAATCCCAGCACTTTGGGAGGCCGAGGCGGGTGGATCACTTGAGGTCAGGAGTTCGAGACCAGTCTGACCAACATGGCGAAACCCCGTTTCTATTAAAAAAAAATACAAAATTAGCCGGGCATGGTGGTGCACGCCTGTAATCCCAGCTACTTGGGAGGCTTAGGCAAGAGAATTGCTTGAACCTGGGAGGCAGAGGTTGCAGTGAGCCAAGATCCCACCACTGCACTCCAGTCTCAGCAACAAGAGTGAAAATACGTCTCAAAAATAAAATAAAATGCGTGTTATTTTATTTTTCCATAGATTTTCTTCTTGCATAGTATCTGTACATTCCCTTATGAAACAAACCCACAATTAGAAGGAAAAATAAATTAGCAAGCTTGGTGTGTGTGCAGTGGGGGTGGCTATTAACTGCAAATCAGAACAGTTCCTGGAAGTGTTAGTTTCCATTGAGTCATCTGCCATTGGTCTTTAATGATCATCTACTATTGGGTCATAAAGCCTTGATCTGTCTTCAAGCCAATTGGAAAACAAATTTCTTCTTAGCATCTTATACAAAATGCCAATGGACTACTAGCATGATGCTTCCAAGCTTTTTTTTTTTTTTTATAGCTCCCCACCTATGGGGACAGAGTGGGTATAGAGGTACAGAGCACAGTCAGGACTAGAGTGAGGTGAGTGAAGCACTTAGAGCACAAAGTTAAGGGAAGCACTCACTCTCAGGTTTGTGCGCGTGCAAGGTCAGCATTGTCACTACCCTGAGAATAAGTACCTCCTTAAATTCTCTGATAAAGACAAGGTGCCTGTTGAAGGTTAAGCATGTTTTATGTTTTTATTGAAGTTAATGTGGAAGTAGTAGTTGAGTTACCAGAATATGGTTTAGATTTCGCAAGAAGAGTTAGACTATATACACTGCCTTACTTTGGATGAAGATCATCGAAGTGATTGGCAGTAGGAGTGGAATTTTTGGCCCTTCCTTCTTCTCTTCAAAGGTTGATTTTGTATTAAAAAAATAAACCATGAATAACAATAAAGTAACATTTGCTAGAAATTGGTGGCTAGGAATATACCATGAAATTTAGAGAGTTTCTAGGATTATAAGTTTGGTATGATAACTTCATTATGGTCCCTGTGTTATACCTCTGCAAAGGAATTTTATGGGGGTGTTCAGGTCCCCTGGATTTTTTTTTCTCTAAAATGAAATCCAAAGGATTGTTCTCTGATCCTAATATATTTCCTTCTTTCTACATAGTACAGACTGCTTGAGAAACAATGTGAATAAGTGTATATATTGGATACTATACATTTTGGTTTACTATGTTTTATTTATTTATTTTACTATTTTGTGCAAGAGCAGTATGCTCCTTCGGTCATCTTGAGCTGACTATCATGACCCTTGGAGCAGGTAGCAGATTCATCTTGCTGCTTAGCTGAATTTCCAGGAACAATGATTGAGAGTGGATGGGCACTTTCAGCCTATTGTGGTAGGCTGATTTTAGAGGCAAGGAGAATAATTGTGTAAGAACGGGGAAATCCCATCCCTGATATCAAACAAGGAGCCAAGTGCAGGCCATAGTCAGCTTTTGCAGGGCAAGATATCTCCTTAGAACGATTTCCTTAACTCACTTTCTGTTCTCCATTTCAAAGAATAAAGAGATAGATAAAATATTAGGGTAGGTAAAATAAATAACCCATAAAAGAGAAATAGACACAGCAGTAAAATCAATATGTGGTGGCTTAAAAAGGAAAAGAAAGAAGCCAAACACAATTGTTTGTCCAAATCAGAGGTACCAAAAGCTATTATGACTATCTGCAGTAATGTGATTTGGGCCTCTTTTGGAAGACCTTTTTTTGCTCTTTCATCATTGGAAGATACCCTTAAGCTCCTCCTCCTGCTAAATCCTGTCTTAAACATTAAATAACTGAGAATTCCTTTAAGAAAGAGCTGTCATAGCTCTCCTCTTGGCCTTCGGTTGCAAGCCAAAACAAACAATGTTTTGGTATTCCCCAACCTCTGCAATTTGGACAGTGCCTTTTTTAAGGATCACCTAAGGAGCCAGCAACTGACAAGAGTTGGAGAGCTTAAAAAATGAGAAGCACTTTGGGAGGCCAAGGCGGGCAGATCACGAGGTCAGGAGTTCGAGACCAGCCTGAACAACATGGTGAAACCCTGTCTCTACTAACAATACAAAAATTAGCCGGGCATGGTGACATGCGCCTGTAATCCCAGCTACTCAGGAGGCTGAGGCAGGAGAATCGCTTGAACCCGGGAGGCGGCAGTTACAGTGAGCCGAGATCGCGTCACTGCACTCTAGCCTGGGCGACAGAGTGAGACTCCATCTCAAAAAAAACAAAAACAAAAACAAAAAAAAAATGTGAAGCAATTTGAGTTGGTGGGAGAACTAAAAGCAGTGTAGGTGAAAAGGGTAATTATGCACCAGAGCCATATGTACTTCAGTTTTTGGCGCCTAAGTCATTTTTTCCACTATTGACCATATTCATTGAATGTTTGCCTGTGCCGGGTATAACGGAGGATACAGAAATTTTTAAGATATAGGCCCTACTTTTAAGGAGCTTAAATCCACCTTAAAACAAATCCCAAGTATGACACATTTAAATTACAATATAAGACGAAAATAATTAAGGACTAAAATGGATGGTAGCAATAACTTACAAAAGTTTTGAAGCAGTGGAGATCAGGTTAAGTAGGAGAGGGCACGTCAGGCTTCATGGTAGAGGTGCCGTTTCAGGTCGATTTTGAAGGGGGACAGATTTGGAGTAGATAGAGAGGGGTCCTTTTCACAGAATTAATTACATTCAGATGGTGGTCTTCTCACTATAGACACCTTAATTTATTTCATTTCCTAGCAGATACAGCTTAATTTTGCCACTGAAAAAATCTATAACTGAATCTCTAGTTTACTTCTACTTGACTTGAGTTCTAGTGTGATATGAACCTGGTACACAGAGGACTCAAGCCGGTTTGAACTGGTTGCACATACAAAAGGAAGCAGAGAGCATTAGTGAAAAACTTTCTAAGAATTCACTAATAGCCATATTAAACTAACATATAAGATGTGTTTTTGAAATTTATTGTGTCCTTAAGGTTATGTAAGATCTATTTTTATCCTCAATAGGGATCAGAAGCTTCATTAGGTATAAGTGTCACTAGTAGGCTTAAGCCTTTGCTTAGAGGAGAAGGAAGGAAAAGATCAAGTGGATAGCGACAAAAGGAAGCAGGGGAGAGGAATTCTAAGGGGAAGAGAAAAAGGGAGGTGGCTGAATTGTTCTTATTAACAGCTATTACTGTAGCCAGCGACAGTAGTCTCAAGTGCAGTTTCTAATTCAGTTTCTAATCTTTATCTGTTTTTAGATAAAGTTTAAATCTGTGTGTATATGCCATTTAAACATCTGTGGATTATATAGTGATATGATACTTGAGTGTGTCTGTAGCTTTGGTAAGGTGGAAAATTTAAACATAATACCATGCCTGTTAAATTCAGATGAAGTGCATTTTCATGTTCTTTTTCTTCCTATCAGATTGAATTTGTAACTTTGAATTAAGACAAAATTCAGAACTCAGTCTGAAAATGACAAAACTGTGTTTTCTTTCAACTAATAAAATGTCTATTTTTTTTTGAAGATTGTAGATCATCTGATACACAGATGATGTAAAAAGCACATCCCCCATACACTTTCAATGTTGCTACTTGCCAGATGGCTGTTACTGAAAATTTCTACATTTAGACCAATCCTGCTGCATGATTCCCTGTATTATAATCTGGTTTTCATTATGCCGCTAGTCTTAGTGCCACTTATTTTCTTACAATGGGAGGTAAAGAACTGGGAATAAATGTGTCAAAAACTGCCTAAAAATCATCACCCTTTGAATTTAAAAAATAGACATTTACATTTTCAATTTCCCATGTTTGCATATCTCATTATACTGTACAATATAATTAGTAATGTTATTTTGAAAAGCTTTATGCAGTAATTAGCGAACTACTGGAAAGTTTGAAGTTCCTAGGATTATATACATCTGGATTCAGAGGAAGGAAATAAAATCTATAAATTTTGAAAAGTATGACTAGGCTGTAAGAACTTTGATAAAATATGTCAGATGAGAATGTGAGCAAACTGGAACTCTGTTCTAGCATGAGTCACTATAGGTTTGAAATTCGTATAAAGCTGGTACTTCTTGGACGCTGTTCATGGTAATTTAATTACTGAAATAATAAGAGAACCTCATTATGCGGATCATATGTCTGAGGTGTTCTCATTGCAAGGACTCCAAGGACAGCATTTTAGAGAACTCTGGCATAGTAGGTACTATTAAAAAGAACATTCTGTTGCCAAGTAACTAATAACTTCATTGCAAAATGAAGTGTCCTTTTCTCAATTCCCATTTAATTTGATCTTTTTGTCACAGAGTACACTGTTGACTGCTCCCTTCTTGAAATTTTCCCCCCTTGGATTTCATTGTTCCTCTTACAATTTTGATCCATCTCAGTCTGCTTTTCTTTGTTCACCCAAATGTGGTTGTTTCCCAAAGCCTTACTCCCATTTATCAGAAAATGTTAGAAATATATAGTAGGAAGAACATTCTAAAAGATCTGCGTTCTCATTCTGCTTTCACCACGTTTCATGGATGTGTTTAAATTCTTTGAGTATTGATTTCCTAACAAAATTATAGTAGAGACTTGAGTTAGATAATTTCTATGGTATTTTCTGACCATAGTATTCCAAGAGTCTCTGGGTAAATTACTCTTAATTCCAAATCCTAAAATCTTCACCTCTACCTGTTCCATATTTCCAGTCACTCTCGTGAATTAGATGTTTTATCAGCACCTCAAATGCAATATGTGAAAAAGTGAACTCATTTTCTTTTTCTCCTAAATTATCTCCCCTTGACCCTTCTCCATTCCTGTCAGTGATTTCTTTAGTTTCCCAGGCTAGAACCTTAGAGTCTTTGGTGACTATTTCTTCTCATTTATCCTCAATATATAATCTTTTCACTTACTCTCCTTGTCATTGTGTTCTGTTTTGTTTTGTTCTTCTTTGGAATGAGTCTGGAATTTGCCCCTTCTCCCATTTTATTGTAATTTAGTACCAGCCTTGAGTGCCTTTTCCCATTCTAGGCAAGTGGCTTCAGGAGAGGAGCAAAAGGGAACTAAGGGTAGCATCTAAAGAGCGAAGGCAGGTTTCAGAGCTGAGAGGTCATAATGATATATCTAATCCAAGAGATTCTTATAGGAGAGACACCATCTGAGATGGGGCCGCAAGTGGGGCTTGGAGGATGGCTAGGAGGTGGGTTCCAGAGAGGTTTCCTGGTACTTAAATAGGAATGTATAGCATTGGCCTTAGGTAAAGAGGAATTAAGGATACCTGCCAAACCAGTTTGGACATATACCTGGACTCCTAATCTACTCTCCCTCTAATCCATCCTGCAATGTCTTGCCAGACTCATCTTCCTGAAATATCTCTATTTCATTTCATTATATCATTCAAGAACTTCTAATGCTTTCAAGAATATCTGTGTTCCAGGCCTTGTGTTAGGTGCTGTGAAGGACAAAGAAGCAAATCAGATTATGCTCTGTGCTCTCAAGGAACACACATAGTCTGTGTAATAAGGGACATATACAAGTATCCAAAGTAGAAAATCATTGTCCGTAAAAGAGGTACAGATAAAAAGTTAGCATGTAGATGGCTTCTACGGAAGTAAACTTGGGAATTTTTTTTTTTAAGACAAGTTCTCGCTCTGTCACCCAGGTTGGAGTGCAGTGGCACAATCACGGCTTACTGCAGCCTCGACTTCCCGGGCTCCGGCAATCCTCCCACCTCAGCCTCCCGAGTACCCAGGACCACAGGCGTGTGCCACCACACCCAACTAATTTTTGTATATTTGGTAGAAACAGAGCTTCACCATGTTGCCCAGGCTGGTCTCAAACTCCTGAGCTCAAGGAATCCACCTGCCTTGGCCTCCTGAAGTGCTGGGATTACAGACAGAAGCCAACATGCCCAGCCCGTGGGTCCTGGGCTTTTCTTTTCCTGGGAGAGTTTTATTATAGCCTTGCTCTCGTTACTTGTTATTGGTCTATTCGGGTTTTGGATTTCTTCCTGGTTCAATTTAGTTAGGTTGTATGTGTCTAGACATTTTTCCATTTCTTCTAGATTTTACAATTTATTGGCATATAGTTGCTCAGAGTAGCCACTATTGAACCTTTGAATTTCTATGGTATCAGTTATAATGTCTTCTTTTTCATCTCTGATTTTACTTATTTGGGTATTCTCTCTTGTTTGCTTAGTCTGGCTAAAGGTTTGTGAATTTTATTTATCTTTCTTAAAAAAACAACTTTTTGTTTCATTAATCTTCTGTATTGTTTTCTTCATTTCAAATTTATTTATTTCTGCTCTCATCTTTATTATTTTTATTCCCTAATTGTGGGTTTGGTTTGATTTTGCTTTTCTGGTTATTTAAGATGTATCATTAGGCTGTTTATGTGAAGTTTTTCCTCTTTTTGATATAGGTACTTACAGCTATAATCTTCCCTCTGAGTACTGCTTATGTTGTATCCCAGGTTTTGGTATATCATGTTTCCATTATCAGTTGTTTCAAGAAGGGTTTTAATTTCCTTCTTAATCTCTTCATTGATTCATTGGCTATTCAGGAACATATTGTTTAATTTCCATGTGTTTGTATAGTTTCCAAATTTCCTTTTGTTATTGATTTCTAGTTTTATTCCATTTTGGTGAGAGAAGATGCTTGTTATCGTTTTAATTTTTTTCAATGTTTTAGGGCTTGCTTTGTGACCTAACACACAGTCTATCCTTGAGGATAATTCATGTGCTGGGGAAAGAAAGTGTATTCTGTAGGGTTTTCTCTAAATATCTATTAGGTCTATTTGGTGTACAGTGCAGATTAAGTCTGATGTTACTTTGTTCATTTTCTGTCTGGAATATCTGTCCAGTGCTGACAGTAGGGTATTGAAGTCACTAGCTATTATTGTACAGGGGTCTATCTCTATCTTTAGCTCTAATACTATTTGCTTTATGTATCTGGGTGTTCCAGTGTTGGGTGCACATATATTTACTATTGCTATATTCCATTGCTGAATTGGCCTCTATCATTATGTGGTGACTGTCTTTGTCTCTTCATATAGTTTTGTTTTGAAATAGATTTTTTTCTGATGTAAGTATAGCTACTCCTTCCCTTTCTTGGTTTCCATTGGTATGGAATGTCTTTTTTCATTCCTTTATTTTCAGTCTATATGTGTCTTTATAGGTGAAGTGTGTTTCTTCATATAGTTTTGTTTTGAAATATATTTTTTTCTGATGTAAGTATAGCTACTCCTGCTCTGTCTTGGTTTCCATTGGTATGGAATGTCTTTTTTTCATTCCTTTATTTTCAAGCTATATGTGTCTTTATAGGTGAAGTGTGTTTCTTGTAGGCAACTGATGATTGGGTCTCATTTTTATATCCATTCAGCCACTCTGTGTCTTTTGATTGGAGAGTGTAGTCCTTTTATATTCAGTGTTATTATTGATAAGTAATGACTTACTTCTGCCATTTTGTTATTTGTTTTCTGGTGGCCTTGTGGTCTTCTCCTTCTACTTTCCTTCCTTCCTGTCTTCCTCTAGTGAAGGTGACTTTCTCTGGTGATATGATTTAGTTTCTTGCTTTTTATTTTCTGTGAATCCATTGCATGTTTTTTGATTAGAGGTTACCATGAGGCTTGCAAATACTATCTAATAACCTATTATTTTAAGCTGATAACAACATAACATTGTTTGCATAAACAGTCAACAAAAAGGCAACTAATAAAAACTCTACCTCATAGTTTCATCCCCCAATTTTTAAACTTTTTATTGTTTCTGCTTGTATCTTATAGTAGTCGATGTTTTGAAGAGTTGTTGCAGTTAATATTTTTGATTGGTTCGTCTTTAGTCTTTCCACTTAAGAGTAGTTTATACAACAAAGTTACTTTGTTATAATATTTTGTGGTTTTCTGCATACTTATTATTGCCAGTGAGTTTTGTACCTTCAGATGATTTATTATTGGTCATTAACACCCTTTTCTTTCTCATTAAAGTATTCAATGTAGCATTTTGTGTAGGACAGATCTGGTATTGATGAAATCCCCCAGCTTTTGTTTGTCTGGGAAAGTCTTTATTTTTCTTCATGTCTGAAGGATATTTTCGTTGGACATACTGCTCTAGGGTGAAAGAGTAGTATGTCGTATTTTTCCTTCAGCACCTTATATATATCATGCTACTCTCTCCTGGCCATAAGGTTTCTGCTGGTAACTCTGCTGCCAGACTTACTGGGGCTCCATTGTATGTTATTTGTTTCTTTTCTCTTAGTGCTTTTAGGATCTGTTGTTCATCCTTGACCTTTGGGAGTTTGATTATTAAATGCCTTGAGGTCATCTTCTTTTGGTTAAATCTGCCTGGTATTCTATAACCTTCTTGTACTTGTATATTGATATCTTTGTCTAGGTTTGGGACATCCTCTGTTATTATTGCTTTGAACAAACTTTTACCCCATCACCTTCTCTACCTCCTTTTTAAGGCCACTAACTCTTAGATTTGTCCTTTTGAGACTATTTTCTTTTTTTTTCTTTTTTTTAATTTTTTAAATTTTATTATTATTATACTTTAAGTTTTAGGGTACATGTGCACAATGTGCAGGTTAGTTACATATGTATACATGTGCCATGCTGGTGCGCTGCACCCACATTAGGTATATCTCCCAATGCTATCCCTCCCCCCTCCCCCGACCCCACCACAGTCCCCAGAGTGTGATATTCCCCTTCCTGTGTCCATGTGATCTCATTGTTCAATTCCCACCTATGAGTGAGAATATGCGGTGTTTGGTTTTTTGTTCTTGCGATAGTTTACTGAGAATGATGATTTCCAATTTCATCCATGTCCCTACAAAGGACGTGAACTCATCATTTTTTATGGCTGCATAGTATTCCATGGTGTACATGTGCCACATTTTCTTAATCCAGTCTATCATTGTTGGACATTTGGGTTGGTTCCAAGTCTTTGCTATTGTGAATAGTGCCGCAATAAACATACGTGTGCATGTGTCTTTATAGCAGCATGATTTATAGTCCTTTGGGTATATACCCAGTAATGGGATGGCTGGGTCAAATGGTATTTCTAGTTCTAGATCCCTGAGGAATCGCCACACTGACTTGCACAAGGGTTGAACTAGTTTACAGTCCCACCAACAGTGTGAAAGTGTTCCTATTTCTCCACATCCTCTCCAGCACCTGTTGTTTCCTGACTTTTTAATGATTGCCATTCTAACTGGCGTGAGAGGGTATCTCATTGTGGTTTTGATTTGCATTTCTCTGATGGCCAGTGATGGTGAGCATTTTTTCATGTGTTTTTTTGGCTGCATAAATGTCTTCTTTTGAGAAGTGTCTGTTCATGCCAAGTCAATCCTAAGCCAAAAGAACAAAGCTGGAGGCATCACACTACCTGACTTCAAACTATACTACAAGGCTACAGTAACCAAAACAGCATGGTACTGGTATCAAAACAGAGACATAGATCAATGGAACAGAACAGAGCCCTCAGAAGTAACACTGCATATCTATAACTATCTGATCTTTGACAAACCTGAGAAAAACAAGCAATGGGGAAAGCATTCCCTATTTGATAAATGGTGCTGGGAAAACTGGCTAGCCATATGTAGAAAGCTGAAACTGGATCCCTTCCTTACACCTTATACAAAAATTAATTCAAGATGGATTAAAGACTTAAACGTTAGACCTAAAACCATAAAAACCCTAGAAGAAAACCTAGGCATTACCATTCAGGACATAGGCATGGGCAAGGACTTCATGTCTAAAACACCAAAAGCAATGACAACAAAAGACAAAATTGACAAATGGGATCTAATTAAACTAAAGAGCTTCTGCACAGCAAAAGAAACTACCATCAGTGTGAACAGGCAACCTACAAAATGGGAGAAAATTTTCGCAACCTACTCGTCTGACAAAGGGCTAATATCCAGAATCTACAATGAACTCAAACAAATTTACAAGAAAAAAACAAACAACCCCATCAAAAAGTGGGTGAAGGACATGAACAGACACCTTTTGAGACTATTTTCTAGATGTTGTAGGCATGTTTCATTGTTTTCTTTTTTCTTTTGTCTCCTCTGACCATTTTAAATGGTATTAAATGTATTTTAAAATAGCCTATCTTCAAGGTCACTAATTGTTTATTCTACTTGATCAATCTACTATTAAAAAACTCTGATGCATTCTTCAGTATGTCAGTTGCATATTTAACTCCAGAATTTCTGCCTGATTATTTTTAATTATTTCAACCTCTTTTTTCAGTTTGTCTGATATAATTATGCATTCCTTGTCTGAGTTCTATTGAATTTCTTTGTGTTTCCTCAAAACAGCTATTTTGAATTCTTTGTTTGAAAGATAATATGTCTTTGTTTCTCCAGGATTAGTTTCTGGTGCCTTATTTAGTTCATTTGGTGATTTCACATTTTCCTGGATGGTGTTGATGCTTGTGAACATTTGTCTGTGTCTGGGCATTGAAGAGTTAGGTATTCATTGTACTGTTCACTATCTGGGCTTGTTTGTACCTGTCTTTCTTCGGACAGCTTTCCAGGTGTTCTAAGGGACTTGAGTGTTGTGATCTAAGCTGTATTCACATTAGGAGGCATACCAAATCCAGTGACACTGTGACTCTTGCAGACTTGTAGAGGTACTTCCTTAATGATCTTGGGAAAAAAACCAGAATAATTCTCTGGATTACCATCAGAGGCTCTTGTTCTCTTCCTTTCCTTTTCCCCAATCAAATGGAGTCTCTCTCTCTGGACTGAGCTGCCTGGAGCTTTGGGGTGAGGTGACCCAAACACCACTGAGGCCACCACCACTGGGACTGCACTAGGGCAGACCTTAAGCCAGCACAGCACTAGGGCTTGTCCAAGGCCCACTGTAATCACTACCTGGCCACTGCTTATGTTTGCTCAAGGCACTGGGACTCTACAAACAGCAGGTGGCAAAGCCAGCCAGCCTTGTATCCTTCCCTTCAGGGTGGTGAGTTCTTGCAGGCCCCAGGCATGTCCAGGGGTACTTTCCAGGAGCCAAGAACTAGAGTCAAAACCTTAGAAATATACCCAGTGTTCTGTTGTACTGCAGGTGATCTGGCACTCACCACAAGATGCAGTTCTTCCCACTGTTTCTTCCCCTTTCTACAGGCAGAAGAGCCCTACCTTGTGGCAATCAACACTGCAGGCCCACAGGGAGTACTGCCAATGTTCTCTTAAAGCCCAAGGGCTCTTCTATCAGCTTGTGGTGAATGTTACCTGGCCTGGGACTCACCACCCTTCAGGGCAGTGGGCTCCCCTCTGGCCCAGGGCAGGTCCAGAAATGCCATCCAACAGCCAAGGCCCGGGATTGGGTACACTAAAAGCCCACTTGGTGCTCTACTCCCCTGTGACTAAGCTGGTATTTAAGGTTCGAGACAAAATTCCCTTTACTTTTCCCACTGCTTTTCTCAAGCAGGAGTCTCTCCCTGTAGCCACCACAGCTGAGGATGTGCTGAGTCACACCTGAATTCAGCAAGTCTCAAAGTCTCACCCAAGGCTCACAGCATAACCTAGGTATCACTGCTTGTTATTCAGGGCCCAAGGGATTTTCAGTCAGCAGGTCCTGCTAGGACTGGATCCTTCCCTTTAAGGCAGTAGATTGTCTCCTGGTTCAGGGTGTATCTAGAACTGTCATCTGTGAGCTAGGGCCTGAAAAGGGGACCTCTTGACTCTGACTGGTGCCCTTTCCTACTGTGGCTGAGCTGATATCCAAGATGTAAGACAAAGTCTGCTTTACTCTTCCCTCTCCTCTTCTGAAACAGATGGAAGGAGTCTCTTTTGGAGCTATGAGTTTTGCAGCCTGGAGTTAGGGGAGGGGTGGCACCAACATTCCCTTAGCCACCCTGGCTAGTGTGTCAGTAGGTTGTGTGCTTCCTAAATCCACTGACTCTTAACCCAGTTCAGCACTAGGACTAACCTAAGAATTGCAGTCCTTGTGGCCTAGACTGCCTTTCAAGGTTATTGAGGGCCCCAGTGAACTTTTGGCCCACAGTGGCAAGGCTTGCCAGATTCAATCCTGACTACTGGGATGGGTGGTTCCTCTCTGGCTAGGTCTGGTTTAAATAGTCCCTCTGTGAGTGGGCATCAGCTGGGTTCAGCCTGGTTTTGCTTTCTGCTTTGACAGGGCAGCTCTGAGTTCAATGTAATGTCTCACAATTGCTGCACTCTTTCTCTCCCAAGTGCACAGATTCTCTTTCTGTGCCATGCAGCCACTGCTGGGGGATAGGGGAGAGGCGGCATTGGCAATTCAAGACTGTCTTTCCTACTCTCTTCAGTACTTCTTTCAGCTGTATGAAGTTAAAAGCAAGTACTCTGAGTGCTCCCCTGATTTTTGGTTCTTATGAAGGGGCTTTTTTTTTTTTTTTCCTGTGTAGATAGTTGTTAAATTTGGTGTTCCTATGGCGGGGTAGGATGGGGGTAATTGTTAGAGCATTCTGTTCTGCCATCTTGCTCTGTCCTCAGGCCATTTCTTTCTTTCTGATCAGTTATGTTAAACTCTTGAGGTTCCAAAACACCCAACAAATTTCTTCAATGATGTATGTTTTTGTTTCTTTGAGCCCCTAGCCTCAGAGTTCCCTGATGTACTCAATCCGGAGGAATTGCCCCTTTACTCATCCTTGGCCACCCAGTTTCATGCCCACATCTTGAACATTGTTATTCACTCAAAACTGAACCTCTGAATCTCTGAAATCTTAAAGTTCAAAATCTTACTCTTTCACCATAGGTTCCTTGTCCTCCAGCTTTTTCTCCGCTTCATTTTTGCTGAACCTGTTCTTTAACACATTGAGGCCTCCAGTGTCTTTAACTCTCTCTTTTCTCCCAGTCTGCCATCTTCCTAACATCATCTGCTTTTTTTTTTTTTTTATCCAGCCTGGATCCCATTGTCTAGTACTTTAATCCATTCTTGTTTCCAGTCCCCTTGTTTCATGGAAACTGAATCCATACCACTTCTCTGCTCTTAGATCTAGGCTCCTGGGAATTTTTAGAAGAAAAAAAATGTCCCACAACTGTGTGGATCTGTGTCATTAGGAATTTCCAGTGAGCTCACTTAACATTTCCAGCCATGCCACTCTACTAGATGTTTACAAACAACATGCCACCTTGTCACTCTGAGTCTCATAAAGTGTATCTGCTGACTGAAATGCTCTTATGCATCTCCCCACCTCCACTTTTCTTTATCTGGCTCTCTCCACTCAGGCTGCAGGCCTCATCTTAGAGGTCACCTCTTCTAGGAAGCTTACTCCAAACCTCCTGCACACATTGGGTCAGGCTTCTTCTTGTCTGCCTTCTACCAACCTCTGATTACCTCTACTTGAACTCATCTCAACATAATATTGTTAGTCTGTATATCTACTTTCCCTTCTAAATTTTAAGCTCCTCAAGGACAGGTACCATATCTTAGTCATGTTTATGTCTCTAGTACTTAGAATAATGTTTATTTAATAAATGAGCAAATATATCAGTGAGTGAATGAGTGTGCAAGAAATTGACCTTTTCCGTGTGCGTATGCTGGTCATGATATATGACACTTTATATGAAAAGAAGAAAACCACCTCTAGGACACTGAAAAATCATTTCACTCCTACTCTCTCCCTTGGGCATTTTCATTGCCTATTAGGTAGAATAGCTAACCTTGGATCTCAGTAGTAAATGTTAGTCATATAGCCAGTTAGTGATGAGGCTGAACAAAAACCAAGTCCTCTGAAACCTAGGTCAGTTTTGAAATAATAAGGCCGTGTTGCTTTTTTGTTGTTAATTAAGGTGAAATGTACATGACCAAATTTAAAAGAAAATCTGTAGATAAAGAAAACATAGTCATTTTAATTATATAAAGTAGGCTATATTGACGTCACAGCATTAGAAAAAAGCATAAGTTCTCAATTTCTTCTCTAAAATCCTGAAATTCAAAAATTTCTGCAAACCTAAAAATTTTGTTGTATTCATTTTGCGACAAACCTGGACTGAGATTCCTTCTAGTCATTATTTAATTCTTAGAGTGAATATTCATATATTTGTTGCAGAAATGTTACTGTGTTTGATTATGAGATGCTACCCCAGACCCCATGGGAATGTCATGTAGTATTCAATATATCGTGTCATATTACCTTTCTAAATCCAAAAGAATCTGCATTCTCAAGCACATCTGGCCCCAAGGTACTGAGAACTGTGTAGTTGTTTCAGTTATTATTTTTTTTAGACTGTAGGTAACAACATGGCAACATAAATAGGCCATAGATAAATCATATAAATATATTTTTTGCCTTCATTCACCATTTCATTTATGCCCAGAGACATTTTTTTGATTAATTGGGAAAGAATTTGTTTCTTTGCCCCACATTTGTCTTACCTAGTGGAGCTCAGTGTCAACCCAGTAATACAGTTTTAGGGGAGAAAAGTTAGTATTATTTATCTTCAAAGTCATAATTTCAAAGGCAGACTTATCTTTCTCTGGGACCCACATGCTCAGAACCTTGTTTTTCTGTACAGCTAAGTAGCACTTACAAGGTCCTGGTATCTTCTTCTGCATGCTACCTAGCTTGAGCTGAGGATAGGATTATTTATCTGTCATTACCTCTTCATAATATTGTGTGCAAATCTTTCTTTTTTTCTGTCTTTGGATTTTTCTCTTTACCTCTGCCATGAACATTACTATTTTTTTTGGCTTATGTTTAGTTCTTTAGAAAGTAAAAGCCCTATAAGCATAAAAATCAACAAACATTTCCATTTCCTCTGTGGGATATAAAAAGTGATAAGGTAAGGTTCCAGTCTGAAGGAATTTACAAGCTTTGAGGAGAGAATGAGACAGGTTAGTGTAGTAGGAGAGAGATTGTACTTTAGATTTAGGTAGGTCTGGATTTGAATCCTGGTTCTACTACTGAGTAGTTTGGTGACCTCGGCAAGTTACTTTCCGTCTTGGTGCCTCAGTTTCCCCATATGAAAAATGGGAATGATAGAAATAGTACCTGCCTCATCAAGTCGTTAATGAAGATTAAATGAGATCATGCACGTGAAGTGCTTATTATGCACATAGGAAGTTTATCATACCTGCTGCTAGCCATTATTCACGAACACTGCAAAGTGGTCTAATGGAAAAAGCTTGTACTTTAGAGTCAAACAGACCTACGTTTAAATTCTAGCATCTCCATTACTAGTTATCTGTGACCTTGGGTGAATTATTTTACCTCTTTAAGCCCCAGATTAATCATTTGCAAAATAGGAAACACACTATCCACCTTCTAGGGTCGTTATGAGGATTTAATGAGAAAGTATATAAAGCACTTAGTGAAGTTCTTGGCATGTGGTAGCCTCTCAAGTGCCCCTTTACCAACTGTCCACACAAATACAAGGAGGTACGAGATTGTATACCCAATGACAACAGGAGTAAGTGAAGGTGCTTTGAAAATTGTAAATGCTAATACAATGTGAGCCATTACTGTGTAGATTTGAAGTTCATAGGAGGAAGGAATCCCTCTAAACTAGGAGTGGAAGAGCTGGCTTCCTAGACAAGATAATATCTAAACTTACCATTAAAGAGTGGGTAACATTGATGTCAGCACAGGGAAGTGGGAGAGCATTTCTGTTACAGATGGTCACATAATCAAAATGACTGTATAGAGAATAATAATGATGGTTATGATGATCAATATGAGCAAGCCAAGTGGAATAATTTCTATCGGATTTATTAAATCTGGTGAGTTAAAAATATCAGGTGGGAAAGTATAGTTATCTGGGCAAATATTTTTTTCCTTATAACCCTCCCATTGTTATTCTATCACTAATGAGAAATAAGGTTTCACTTGAACTTTTTATGTTACAGCGAACCGGCCGATGATTTACAAAGGCAGGACAACAGAGTTGTAACGGGTTTGAAGAAACAAAGAAGGAAGCGAAAGAGGAAGTCTGAAATGTTACAGAAAGCAGCAAGAGGACGTGAGGAACATGGTGACGAGTAGCAAGAGACCAAAGGTAATTGACAATAGGATATAAAGTTGAAGTGCTCAATCTCTGATTCTTGTTAGCTTTATATTTCTACCATCATCTTGGCTTGACTGACACATTTTTTTTAACCACACAAATGTTTGGATCACAGGAGGGCCAGCTTCTGAACAAATATTTATCACTAGAGATATTGAGATGGTAGGAAAATGGATAAGAAATGTGCCAAATTGTTTTGAGTGCCACATTATATGGTATACACAGGTCAGCTTTTCAGAGGGAGAAAAGAAGTTGATCCTGCCCACTCTGACTCTATGGCTCCCTGATAGACACCCTTGGTAAATAATGAAGGCCACAGTCCTCATATGTGACCACATCACATATCCAGGGGAAGGAGAATGGCCTTAGGAGTCTGACAGAGATGAGATTGAATCCTGGATCTTACCTGTTAGTCTCAGCTACCTGTTCTTCAAACCTGCACGATGTAGTGTTAGAAGAGGTTGAGAGAGGGATCCCAGAATCATACACTAGGGACTACTTTGTACAGGTTATACTTGTACAGGGTTATAGATCCCTAGCCTTGACTTGGGTCTCCTCCTCCCAAAATAACTGTGAAGGGACAAGTAAGAATAAAATGGTTGGTGAGAAACAAAGCTGTATCTCAGGGACTGGGAGTAAGGAGACCCAGGTCATTAACTAGTAGTGTTTCCATGGGCAGTGAAATTAACCTTTCAGTTCCTTGATACCATCATAGATTTTTTGTGTAACTTAAACAATATAATGTATGTGAAAATGTTTTGAAAATTGCAATGCAGTACCCAAAATTATGGTATTAAGTTACAGAGAAGCAAAGGAATGGAATGACAGGCCATTGAATTCCGTGTCAGGAGACTCTGGCTTTAGTCCCAGTTCTGCCATTATTTACAGTGTTTGCTTGAGCAAGTCCTTTAACTTTCTTGGGCTTCATTTCACCAATCTTCAGAATGAGAAGGTTGATTTGATGAATAGGAAAAGTGATTTATCTCAGAAGAAAAAAAAGAAAATCTTTATATAAGGTATCATATATATATATGGGATACATATTTACTTAAGGTAACACATAAATATGTATTACTATAATGCCTGTGTATTATTATTCATATAAATATATTACCTTGTATTAGTTTAATGCAATACATGTGTGCATATGTACACATGTACACACACATATATACATATGTAACATTATAACTAGACTAACAAAACTTGGTTTCTGTGGACCATTCACTGAGACATGGAAGTTAACTTTGTTATTCAGAAATTATCTCTGTAATGATATTTGCTCTAATCTGTTTTATATGTATGCCTCACAGTAACAGAAGATGATGTACTGGCAAACTGAAAATACATAAGTTAATCATAACATTCACTATATAGAATTTGATAATTTTGTTGCAGGGACTTCTTTTATGACAAAGTGCGATATGTGAATACCAGCCTTTTCAAGTTGTTTAACCCTACTTTACTTTTCTCCCATAGCATTATTTTCCCCTCAAGACAACAGAAACCATTCAGAGCAGAGGGGACTGTCTCAGCCATGCAAACCTCATGGAGCATTTTGGAAAGTTAAAAATTGATTCTTATTTTTGTCATGTTTACTTTCAAACATGAAATAAAATTGAGTTCTGTTTTCATGCATCAAACCAGAATCTGAATTCTTTTTATTAAAAACAGTTCCTACAGAATCTTTAAAAACATGCCTAAAACACCGGTGGCATTCAGATCCTAAAAAGTTACATGATTTTTGCAACTTGGGTTATTGTATCAACATATACTTCTGTTGGTACTAAATAAGACAGATGTTCCATATTGTTATTCACCTGTCAGCAAGCAGAGAGAAAAACCCCAATGATCATATGTTGCAGTGTGTGATACTTTGTTTATTTTGAGGAAAAGAGGTGAAGATAATTTGTAGGGTTTTTTTATTTTATAAATTATAATGTTATTTTTCCCACTATAAAAGTAAAATACACTTACAGGAAATTTGGTAAAGAAGAATATATAGGATAAAGGAAAAAATCAAATCATAATTTCACTAGTGCTAAATACTGTTACCTTGTTGTGTTTTCTTTTCTTTTTAAATAATTGTGTTCTGTGATATATATGAATTTATTATGCTGTTTTTAAAAATTATGTCTTATGATTCACTTTTTTCTTTTGAAATATGTGAGACTCAGGTTTACCTGGGCTTGTTACTCATTCATGTGGCAAACATTTATTGAGTTCCTGTTATGTGCCATGCACTCTGTGTGCTTGGAGATAGAGTCATGAGCAAGACAGACTTGGCCCTGTCTTGATGGAACTCACAGTATAGCTGGAGAGGAAGCCAGGTAAAGAAGTAATGACAGGGCTATGATAAGAAGAGTACCAAGTTCTGTGGCAGCACATAACAGGGGCACCTTGCCCCAGACTAGTAGTCGCTTGGAGAATGAGAAGAACTGAAAGGGGAGGACACTCAAGTTTCTCAGGATTCAGTTATGATATGAATAGATTGCAATTTTGAGGGAAGAAGTCTTGGTTTTTGGTGATCAGAAAAGAAAAAACTCTTATTACAAAAACTTTAGATAGATCCAAAGCTCGCAGATATAATGAGAATAAAAGAGTTCCTGTCAAACGGAGGTTCATAAAGACACCATACCTGGGAAATGTGCACATCTCCATATGTGCTCTATTGCAGGAGGCGTCATTTGAGCCAACAAAGCACAAAGCCCCACAATTGAAAATGCTTGCTGAAGGTAAGATCCACAACATGTGCATTGCAAGATTTATCAAGACAGCAGTATGATTACCTTCTGAAGAAGCTGTCGAGATGTTTGATAGACACCAGACAGAAGGAGACCTGTTGCAGATACCCTTTTGAATCAGGAGTCCAAACTTTTCAGTGCAACTCACTTGGATGCAAATGAAAATAATGCGGTCATTTATTCATTTCTTCAACAATATGAGCTAGGTACTGTGGTGCTGGGGAGACAGAAGCAAAAAAAAAATACAAAAATATCTGCCCTTATAGAGTTTACATTCTAGTGAAGTAGCCAGAAAAGAAACAAAATCAATCAGTAAAATACATAGTATGTTAGATAACGTGTGCTAAGGAGGAAAAAAATAAAGCAAGGAAAAGTACTAGGGAGTATGAGGGAAGTATGTAGTTTTACATAAGGTGGTCAGAGTAGGTCTCACTGAGAATATGGTATTTGAGTGAGAATCTCAGGAAGGAAGGGAGAGAAAGCTGTACAGATATCATTAGGGTGTGTATGTATGTGTATTATATATATATGAACATATCATATATACACAAATAAATGTATTATAAGAAATGGGCTCACATGATTATGTAGGTGGACAAGTCCCAAGATCTGCAGGGTGGGTCAGCAAGCTGGAGATCCAAGAGAGCTGGGTTTAGTTCTAGTCTGAGTTCAAAGGCCTGAGAACCAGGAGAGCCAATGGTATAGTTTCCATTCAAAAGCTGGTGGGCTTGAGACTCAGGAAGAGCCAGTGCCTCAGATTGAAGGTATTTTGGCAGGGGGAATTCTTTCTTACTCAAAGGAAGGTCACTCCTTTTTGTTCTACTCAGGCCTTCAACTGATTGGATGAGGCCCACTCATGTGAGGGAGCACAATCTGCTTTACTTAGTCTACCAATTTAAGTGTTAATCATATCCCAAAACACCCTCACTGACACACCCAGAATAATATTTGACCAAATATCTGGTCACCCCATGGCCCAGTCAAGTTGACACACAAAATTAACCATCATAGTCTAAAGTGCCTAGGACAGTGTCTGATGTTCAGCAAATAAAATATCTGTGTGTATAATTGAATTAGAAACAAAAATGACTTGTGGAGTTCTTCGCTTTTGCTATGATGAACAGGCATCTCCAAGGCAAAGTGAAATCTTAGAAAGGAGTCATCATGTATACCAAATGATCACCAGAGTTCAGTAAACAAGTGTTTGCTTTGAAAGTTATTTCCCAAGAATCTGATATTGCTGCTCTAAATTTTCAGAGCTGTATTCAGCAAAAACAAAATAAAAAGAGCAACAAAAAAGTTTGTTGTGTAGAAATAAATAATAAAATAACACATAAGAAAACAATTCCTTTAGAACAAGCTTGTCCAACCTGCAGCCCATGGGCTCCACGTGGCCTAGGACGGCTTTGAATGCTACCCAACACAAATTTGTAAACTTTCTTAAAACGTTACAAGAGTTTTTTTTGCAAATTTTTTTAAAGCTCATCAGCTATCTTTAGTGTTAGTGTATTTTATGTGTGGCCCAATTCTTCTTCTTCCAGTATGGCCCAGGGAAGCCAAAAGATTGGACACTCCTGCTTTAAAACCTAATATTGAAATTTTAGTGAAGCCATTTGTAATCTATAAAGAAGATAAGCATAGTCTGAAGTAATACTTTGAAAGCAATAGAGAAGAATTATCTGCAACTATTCTTTAACAGATTAGAAGTTAGGTTTCAGGGTACACAGACAAAGATTATCATTAAGTTGTCAAAGAGTGTGAGCTTAGAGTGACTGTTGAACAGTTAGTGCTGTAGAATAAATGCTGGACCAGAGATGAGAATTGAGGCAATCGAAGGTTGTTATTATTAACGATTAAATGCCAAAGGGACTCACAAGAGTGGGAAGGAAATAAGGTTGTTCAGAATGCTGTCTCCAACACCAGTGCCTAATGCAGTACCAAATCATGTCTGACATGGATGTTTAAGCCCTGCAAGTCATAGATGGGTAGATAATAAGTGTGTCACTAATGTACAAGCATTAATGGTCACAGAGTCATTTCCCTCAAGCCATGACCATATCTGTTCCAAATGAAAAGATACTAGCTAAATGAGAAGCTCTCTGATGAAGAGCCTGAATTTAACTTGACTAGGGTGACTGCTTTAAGCCAGAGGTGCTAGACAATCTCCTTACTTCCACAGACACAGGGACTTTAAACCAAGGATCACCAAGTGGTCAAAAACAAAGATCTTTCACTTCAGCCCTAGGACAAGCAGACTTCGGTAGAGAATCTGGATACATGTAAAGTTCAGTCACTTGGAAAATGTGGACAAGCTCTCTCTTGGCTATTAGCATCAGCATCGTGGACAATGGAAGCTCTATAAAATAAGTGGCTCTTTAGTGTAATAAAGGAATATTTTATTCATTATGACATTTTGGAATGCTTTTTGTATTTATGGTCTAAATGATACACAAATTTCCCTTGTGGGGACTGGGAGAACTGATACTACTACGGGATTGCCAGCCTGAATTTAGAGCCCCAGTCCAAGCTGTAATATGTGGGCACTCCAGGTTAGCGGCTGCCCTCCCCACATCTCAGGCAGGGGACTTGCCAAGAGAATTTACCTGTAGATGAGTTATAACTTCAAGGGTGCCAAACTCAAATGGAAAGGTATTCAGGACTAGCAGGACTGGCTATTTGACGTGTGGGGCCTAGTGCAAAATGAAAATATGGGGCCCTATTTCAAGATAGCAACAGCAGAGCATTAAACCAAGCATGGGACCCTTCTAAGAACAAGATGCTATGTGACTGCATAAGTTGCATACTCAGGAAGCCAGCCTTAAGAAATAGGTTAGCTCATAGGATTGATGCAGTGCTTAGCAAGGGATATCAAGGTGTATTGTGAATAATAAACTCTACTTAAATATTTCATTGGCTTCAATTTTGCAGGAGTGCATATATAAAGCAGAATGCACTGTTTATAGTACTATCAGGACACTATACTCAGCAATTCATTCATTCATTCATTCATTCATTCATTCAAGAAATACTTATAGAGCCCTTATTTTTTGTCAGTTACTGTTCTATGTACCAGGGATATAGCAGTGGGCAAAATGGACAAACATTTTTGCTCTCACGAACTCTACATTTTGCGTATGTGTTTGCTGTCTAATTGAGGCTTATTTTAATTTCACGCATTATAGTCTCTTGCATAGCCAAGCCTGGCTATTTGCATCATGAGGACAGAACCACAAAGTCACTGCCCACTTACTGGCAGGATACAGTAGGTGAAGGCAGAATAAATAGGCAGAAATGACTCTTTGAAATTTAAAAGTTGAGAATAGTGTTACGAATGCACTGAAACTATGACTTGACAGGTAAGAGGAAGTATGAGGGGTAGAACTCTAATGGGTAGGTCCATTGCTTGCTAGTCAGGATTCCTAAATCCTTCTCATGGCTTGTACACACTACTTGAGTGATGTTGGCCCAAATGATAAGAAAAAAATAATAGTTGCCTGTCTTCTCCTAGAGGAAAGTTCTCTGAAAATAATCAAGACAGTATATGTTGGGTTATGAGATGCTAATTAGTTCATAACATTCTCTATAATTACGCTAATCATTCAACACAATTTAACAGCCTCCTACTGTATGTTAGACACTGTGTTAAATACTGGGAGAGGGTAAAAATGAATAGCCACAATCCTCCTTAAGAAGCTTGCAATATAATGAGGGCAGACATTTGTCAACAGTGCCTTAGACTTAGAAACAGATCACTGCTATGGGAACAGAGAGGAGAGGTGCCTAACGTTCTTTGTGGTGGGTAGAGCAGGGAAACATTTTCCAAAGTTCTAAGGAATTTTGAGCAAACAGGAAAGAGAGATGACATCGGAAAGGCAAAGAATGTCTGAATGTGCTGTAAGAGCAAAGGAAGGCAATTGACAAAATTTTTAAAGGCCTATGTTTCCTCTTGCTTGCAAAGTTCCTTTAAATCAGCATACTGGGTCATATTGAACAGAAGTTGTCATATTTGGCAAATCAAGTTATTATATATGGCTCCCTCCCCCACATTCCACTCCGCCAGTGCCAAAAGATTGATAGGGGAGTTAATGGAACTTGGTGTCAAACAGCAATGAAAAGTCTAAAAGTCTAACAACAAAGTTTTTCAAAGATCTTTGAGCAGGGCCAGTATATGAAGGGAAATGTACAAGATAGGGCCTACGTATGGTGGAGTGGTTAGGGTAAAGGTTTCTTTTTGCAATCTTTACTTTCCCCTACTTGTTCTTAGGGTCAGACCCCAAATTTTTCAGGTGAATTTTACTGAAATTTCAGAACAAATAATCCCAATCTTATATATGTTGTTCTACAAAGTAGAAGAACAGAAAAAGCTGCTCATCATGTTTATGAAACTAATATGCTGTAGATATCACAACCAGCCAAAGATAGTGCAAGAAAAAAGTGATAGAGGCCAATTTAACTTACAGACATAGATATAAAAATCTTCCAAGTCTGTCTATCTATCTATCTACCTATCTGTAATCTCACGATGTACTAGGTAGACCTTATTTTAGGAGTTCAAGGATGTTTCACTGCTGGAATGTGCAGGAGTATAATTACATTAATGGAACAAAGGAGAAAAATTACATGATTTTCTGAAAAGTTATAGAAGAAAGCAATAGATAGATATCAATGATGATTTCAGATTTAAAGAACTCAGTACACTAGAAATGGAAGGGAACTCCCCTAACCTTATAAAAGTAAGCCAAAATAAAAATATTTAATGGAGAAAATGTAGAAGCATTCCCTTTAAGGTCAAGAGCAAGGCAGTGATGCTTGTTATCACAGCTACTATTTAACATAATACTGGAAGATCTAGCCGAAGAAATTATATAAGAGAAAGAAATGACCTCTAAAGTCCAAATCAGGGATTAGGAAGAGAATTAAAATTGCTAGACCCAGCCCCTAGAGCCTAAATGTGGCCTGAAACACATAACTGCTTCCCCTTACTTAACTGCATTGGGCAAAGATGGCCAATTACCCGGGTTGCCTAGGATGGAAGAGTTATCCTGTATGTGGAACATTTCATACGAAACCTGAGACAGTCATCCTAGTTCTGGCTCTGATTTCTTTCTTTCCTTATGACCCCTGGAAATTTACTTTCCTTTCAAGCTAGGCTATACCTTAAAGTTGGATGGTTTAGGCATTATATTTTATTCAGCATTCCTAGATGTTTTTAAGCAGAAAGTATATATTCATATCAGCTCAATCTGCTCTTTTGCCAGAATTCTCCTTATTTAGCCCTTAATAATAATGAAATGTTTAATGGCATGGGAAAATGCTCATGTGTAGAGTGAAAAAAGCAGATTATAAAACTCTCTATATAGTTGGATTCCAATTTTGTTGGAAAAATGTATCACATATTCATGTCCTTGAAATTTTTTGATAGCTACCTAAACTTCTGCAGGTATAATTGACTTCAGTGTCTTTGTGGGGGAAAAGTTATTGTGGATAGGTGGGGAAAAGAAATCTTACAGGAAGAGTAGCTGGAAAAAGGAAAGGATGGTGGGGTAGGGGAAGAAAAATGATGCAGATTGGAAGAGGTAACACAGTGGGAATGTTTCCGTTATAATGAGAGGGTTTGCATTTTAAATACTTATGACCCATAGCTCTTTTGCACATTGGAGATAGAAAGTTATCGAATGTTATTCCTTAGAGCCCTAGATCTAGTCGTCATTGTCTTATTGAGCATGTAACTAGGTCATTGGAGGAGGCATTTTAAACAATCGCTTACTAAGGGATTTTTTTTTTTAAATCTAGGCTTCAATACCAACAAGAATAGAATAAGTTAATTAAAATATATTTGAATATTAAATATCCCTAGAAAGGCCCTGATATAGCTCAGATTCTTTTACGGCAATAAAGCAAACTGGTAGTTTTGAGCTTAGGCTCAAAACAGAGGTTTGACAAGTTGTCAGAGATTTCTTTGCAATGAAAATGATACAACTGTTCTCGGAGTTTTTAGGTATAGGTCACAACAGGAAAATCCCATCTGCTGCGGCACATTCCTTAAATAGCTAAAAATAGATTAAGTAGAGAGGAGGAGGATGGGTGTAACTGTAAATGTTTAGCACTAGGGAGATCCTTGTGGTGATGGAATACAGCAGGTCCTCGTATAACATTGTTTCATTCAACAATGTTTCCTCATAACATCCATGAGGAAAAAAATTGATTTTCTGCCAGGACCACTGTCTGTGTGGAGTTTACATGTTCCTCCCATATCTGCGTGGGTTTTCGCTAAATACTCCAGTTTCCTCCTACATCCAAAAGCTGTGCACCTTAGGCTCATTGGCCTGTCTACGTTGTCTGAGTGAGTGTGGAGGTGTGCGTGAGTGTACCCCGTGATGGAATGCTGTCCTGGCCAGGGTAGGTTACTGCCTTGCACCCTGAGCTGCAGGGATAGGCTCTGGCCCTCCAGAACCCTAAACTGGAATAAGTAGGATGGAAAATGAATGAATGAATGAGTACAAATTATGGTAAAATAAAAATTTGTAAAGCCTACGGTAATCTTACACATACATGACAATACATGAAATGGTAAGAAAGTGATCAGTGAGCCTGCCATATATGTTATTGCTTGTTTCTGAACTGAGTGGTGGGAGGAGGTGTTCCTAACAATGTTCACTTTGCAGACATTTATTTCTTTATTTAATCCATTATCACTATGACCACTGTCATTCAGTGATTCACCAAAAATTGGGTAAATAATTATCTTGTTTTCATTAATCTTTTTAAAATGTAGGGATAGCTTGCATTCATTTCAGTGTTTAATATTAGAAGTGTTTGAGGTCTATATTTAAAAGTTTGGTGATGTTTTTGTGACCAGAAATATACCATAGAAACTTGGCTCTTGTTTATATCAGTTAGCCTGTGGTCAAATTGGCTTCATTGTACATAATTTCACTTTAAAGTCACAGTTTCCAATAACTATCAACAACATTAAGTGAGGACTTACTGTATTTCTGCATTTGGATTTCAGTGATGGTTACAAAAAATCTACACATGTGATCAAATGGAATAGAACTATATATACACACATTGTTCCAATGCCAATTTCCAAGTTTTGATAGTGCACTGTAGTTATGTAAGATGTAACTATTGGGGGAAATTGGGTGAAGAATACACCAGATCCCTCTTTTTCATCTTTGCAACTTCTAATGAATCTGTCGTTATTTCTGTTAACCTAAATAACAAACAGAGAGAAACCTCTTTAAAAGAAAAGATGTTTATTTGGGAATAGAGTATTGTAATGGGAATACTCATGTCATATTTAGGGAAGTAAAGGAAGACAAAGCTTTTTCAAGGAAAAAATGGGGCGAATTGTATATTTGTTTTGAAATAATTATCTTTGGCTACAAAGATCAATAACAAGGGTGATACCCGTCCAAGGTTGGACAGGCAGTTGTTGGGCAGATAGTCCTGTGGAAGTATTTTTATGTATTCGGTTGTGATGGCCCTGGTGTAAGGTTGTGTTTTTTGTAGTATTCTGAAATTTATTTTTTGTTATTGGTCATACAAGCATGAGAACCCTCTCTTCATGGCGTTTCCTGACTCTATTTGTTAGGGTGTTCTTAACATTAGTAACTGCATTTTGATTTTGACAACTTTTGCATTACAAAATAAAATTTTTAAAAATATAGAAACAACAATAAAATAAGTCAAATAGACTAGACTCTCCCAGGAAAAGCCAACATGACCCTCTTATGTCCTGCCTACTCTGTCTTAATTGGGCACCAAAGCTGGGAGAAGACGCTTGGGCTGGCTGATGCCTGTGTCTCTTGCCAAATAATGTGATAGATAAGGGAAAGCTAAATATAGCTTTGTTTACTTTCACTTATATAGGCCACAGTGTCTTGCTGACTTTAGAGAAATGCCCTTCCAAAACATTATTCTACAACTGGTTTATTTGGACAGTCCAGTCAAATGACCAGTTGATTCACTGAAGGGGGAAAAAAAATCACCTAACGAGTTGAATGAGCACTCAGAATATCAACTCCTTCACCCAGTACAGACAGTCATGGGATGCATGTTCATGATAAAACAGCTCCCAGAACAGCTTTTAGGTAATTTAACTTAGGCTTTTTAAAAGTAGAGAGTCATACTTGGAATAAGCATTACAAATAATTAGAACTTTGGAAATGTGCTAATTTAACTGTAAACACTAAGCTGAAATGTCACAAGAACATTTAGAACTAGAAAAGACCAGAACTGTTCCTGTGTTAGTTTCCTAAGGATAATGGCCTCCAGCTCCATCCATGTTCCTGCAAAGGACATGATCTTATTCATTTTTATGGTCGCATAGTATTCCATGGTGTATATTCATCACATTTTCTTTACCACATTTTCTAATACCACATGTTCTACCTTGTAAGTGGGAGATAAATAATGAGAACCAATGAGCACAAAGAGGGGGAACAACAGACGCTGGGGCCTACTTGATGGGGGAGTGTAACAGGAGGGAGTGGAGCAGGAAAAATAACTATTGGGTACTATGCTTAGTACCTGGGTGATGAAATAATCTGTATACCAAACACCCATGACATGACAAACCTACACATGTACCCCTGAACCTTAAATAAAAGTTAAGCAATAAAAAAGACCAGAACTCATCTACTCTAATCACTTTATAGTAGCAGAAGTTTATATCTGAGTGAAAACTAAATTTCAGACATATCTGGGCATCCGTTTCCGTAGGTTCATTATATTGGGACTGGGGCCTTGGAGGAGTTTGTTTTACTTTCTGGCCCTTGAGGGAAGAATCTTGGTGATCAATGGGTGAGCAGAATGCCTATTCCTTTGACTGGCTCCATAGACTAGGCCTGAGTCCTATGGAAAGAAGAGCATTCTTTCCATTTCTCCTCAGAACATAGCATGTGTTAAATGCAGTGCGGACTGAATGGAAGCTGCAGATTGGGAGCACAAGAAGGCAGTGTTTCAAAAACAGTAGCAATGGCAGTGACTTTTCTGGAAGAAAAGAGAAAATGTGTCTATTTATTTAATAAATATTTGTCGAGGACTTACTATATTCCAGGCACTGTTCTGGGTGCTTGTGATACAGCAATGCTCTCAAGGAGCTTAAATTCTAGTGATGGGGGTATGGAGAGTAAGAAGAGAAGAAACAACAGGCATAATGAATAAATAAATTATATAATGCACTTGAATGTTGTAAGTAGTATGGAAAAAAGTAAAAATGCAGAAGGAGAGGGGTTCAGAGTGGCTCTGAGGAGAGGTACAGGCTGTACTACTGAATAGTTAGAATAGACTTCATTAAGCAGAGAAGATTTGAAGGACATAAAGGAGTTAACAAAGCTGACATCTAAGGGAGGTGCATTCCAGCAGAGGAGACAGCCAGAGCAAAAGCCCCAAGGTGGGCATGTGCCTGCAAGTTTGTGGAATGGCAAAGAGGCCTGTGTGACTGATTGAGAGAGGACAAGGGAAAGAGTATTGGGTAAGTAGTTAGAAAGATGATTGCACCGGATGACATATAGGGCCTTGCAGGCCATGGTGAGTACTGGGATTTGACTCTGCAGGAGATGGCAGCCAGTTCAGGGTTTTGAGCAGAGGAGGGGCAGGGCCTGGCTTGTGTTTGAATGCAATCACTCTGGTTGCTGTGCTGGGAATAGACTGTAGGATGGCAAGAAGATAAACAGAATGCCAGTGATGAGCCTGTTGCAGCAATGTAGGGGCTCACACCAGAGTGTTAGCAGGTGAGAGGTGGTGTTAAGAAGGTCAGATTTGGCCAGGTGTGGTGGCTCACACCTGTGATCCCAGCACTTTGAGAAGTCGAAGTATGTGGATTGCCTGAGCTCAGGAGTTTGAGACCAGCCTGGGCATCATGGTGAAACCTCTTCTCTACAAAAAATACAAAAATTAGCCAGGCATGGTGATGCATGCCTATAGTCCCAGCTACTTGGGAGGCTGAGGTGGGAGGACTGCTTGAGCCTGGGAGATTGAGGCTACAGTGAGCCATGATCATGGCACTGCACTCCAGCCTGGGTGACCCAGTGAGACCCTGTCTCAAAACCAAAAACAAACAAAAAAAAGTCAAGTAGAAGGTCAGATTTTGGGGAATGAGTTGAAGGAAGTGTGTATAGGATGTGTATAGGATCTCCTGACAGATTGGATGTGAGGTGTATGAGAAAGGAAGTAATCCAGAAAGCATGAGAAGGATGGAGTTGTTATCAGTACTGATATGGGGCAGAGCACAATAGAAGCTGGTTTGAGGAACCAGGAGTTGGCCGTGTTGAATTGGAGATGAGTATTAGACACTGAAGTGCAGATGTTGAATAGTTGCTGGATATAAGAGTAAGGAATTCAGAGCTAGAGATATAAATTTGGGGATCGTCAGCAAAAAGCTGATATTTAAAGCTGTGTAGTAGAGCAAATGAGATAGTTACAGAAGAGGACCCAAGGACCCAATCCCAAAATTGACGTAGGGAAAGAGAGGAAAGCCAGCAAAGGAGACTGAGAGTGTTGAATGAGGTAGGAGGGAAACACAAAGTGTAGGGTGTTTTCGAAGTCAAGGGAAGAAAGGGGAAGGGTGTAATACAAGCTCAAATGCTGCTGCTAAGTCAGGTGAGAGATAAGACTTGAAGGTAGGTTTATCAATATAGAGGTCATTGTAGACCTTGATTAGGGTAGTTGTGATAGAATGGTAGGAGTGAAAGCTTGATTGTAGTGATTTTAAGAAAGACTAGAGGATGCCTGGGTGTGACAGCTTGCAGTTGTAATCCCAGTGCTTTGGGAAGTGAAGGCAGGAGGGTCACTTGAGGCCAGGAGTTTAAGACCAGCCTGGGCAACATAGTGAGACCGCATCTCTACACAAATTAAAAAAGAAAAATTAGCCAGGTATGGTGGGATGTGCCTGTAGTCCTAGCTATTTGAGAAGTTGATCATGACACTGCACTCTAACCTAGGCTAAAGAGTGAGATTCTGTCTCAAAAAGAAAGAAAGAAAGAAAGAAAGAAAGAAAGAAAGAAAGAAAGAAAGAAAGACAGACTAGAGGAATTGGAGACAGCAGAGATAGGAACTCTTTTGAGAATTTTTGCCTCAAACAGGAATGAACAAATCAAACAATAATTGGTGGGAGGAGTGAGGTCAAGGGAAATGCGTATTTTCTAAGGTAATGTATTCCATAATTTAAAAAGGAGATTGTTTCCACCTTTGAAGTTTATCGACAAATGCCCAATTGATGCAGATTTGTTGAATTAAGATATGATGTGTCAAATGTAAAAAGAGGGTGTAGAGCAGTGATTTTCAAAGTAAGATCCCCATAACAGCAAGAGCAGTATCAACTGGGCGTACTTGAGAAATGTAAATTCTAGGAGGCCACATCCCAAACCTACCAAGTCAGAAATTCTGTGGTTCAACAAGCCCTTCAGGTGATTCTGATGTACATTAAATTTTGAGAGCTCCTGGCGTAGAACACTGTTATCAGGTGAGTTTACTTCCAAATCATTAACATGAATGAATGAAGAATGTTTATTTTTTCATTAAGAGCAGAAGGTATGTTTTTTTTTTCCTGTCCTTGCCCAACCACCTATTGTTCAGATGTCTCCATCCTAAGGAAAATCCCCCCCGCCCCCGCACTCCCCAACTCAGAAATAACAGCATATTTATATGTTGGTGGAAATGATCCAGTAGAGAGTAAAACATTAGTGATATAGGAGAAAGAGTGTAAAAATGTTGGAGTCATGTACTTCAATAGGTGAGAGAGGAAGGATCAAATACATAGGTGACATTAGATAGGAGCAAGTAGAGCCTCACATATGGTGATAAGCAAGATGGCAGAGAGCATAGGCACAAAGGCGGTGGCAATAGGAGTCTGAAGTTTCTTATTGCTTCAGTTTTCTCAGTTAAGTAGGAATCAAAGTCATTAGCTGAGAGTGAGAATGGAGGAGTTTTGACAAGCTTGGCAACTCATTCTGTGGGCAATACTCTATGAAAATAGTCACTCAAACATTGCTAGTGGGAGTGTGAAATTATAGCGACTCCTTTGGAGAGAGATTTTGCAGTATTTTTATCTTTTGACACAGCAATCTCACTTCTGGTATTTTAACCAGAAGATCCCCCTCCACAAACAAGAAACAACGTATGTACCGAGGTTATTTACTGCAGCATTGTTTGTAACGGAAAACAATATTGGAAATAACCTATATGATCATTTATAGAGGACTGGCTAATGATGCATCATTAGGTTGTTTATTCTGAGTTTTTCTTCTTTTTTTGATGTAGGTGCTTATTGCTATAAATTCTCCTCTTAGTAAAGCTATCACTATATACCATAGGTTTTGGTATGTTGTTGTGTTTCCATTTTCATTTGTTTGAAGACATTTTTTAATTTCCTTTTTAATCTCTTCATTGACCCACTGGCCATTCAGGTTCATATTGCTTAATTTCCATGTGTTTATGTAGTTTCCAAAATTCCTCTTATTATTGATCTCTAGTTTTATACCATTGTAGTTAGAGACAATGCTTGATATTATCTCAATATTTTTAATTTTTAATACTTGTTTTGTGGCTACTATATGGTCTATCTTTGGGAATGATCCATGTACTGAGAATAATGTGTATTCTGCAGCCATATGATGAAATGTTCTATTCTGTAAATATCTGTTAGGTTCATTTGTTCTATAGTGGAGATTAAGTCTGATGTTTCTTTGTTGATTTTCTATCTGGAAGGTCTGTCCAGTGCTGACAGTTGGGTGTTAAATTACACAGCTATTTTTGTATTGGGGTCTATTTCTCTAGCTCTAATAATATTTGCTTTATATATCTGTGTGTTCCAGTGTTGGATGCATATCTGTTTAAAGTTATTACATCCTCTTGATGAATTCACTCCTTTGTCACTATATAGTGACCTAATTTGTCTCTCCTTATAGTTTTCCTCTTGAACTCTATTTTGTCTAAGTACAGTGACTCCTACTTTTTTTTGGTTTCCATTAGCATGAAATATCTTTTTCCATCCCTTTATTTGCAGTCTATCTGTGTCTTTATAGGTGAAGTGTGTTACATTTAGGCAACCGATCATTGGGTCTTGCTTTTTAATCCCTTCAGCCATTCTATGTCTTTTGATTGGAGAGTTTAGTCCATTTACATTCAATGTCATTATTGTTAAGTAATGACATTCTCCTGCCATTTTCTTACTCGTTTTCTGGTTGTTTTGTAGTCTTTTTTTTTTTTTTTTCTTTCCTGCCTTCCTCTCTTCCTTTTAGTGAAGGTGATTTTCTCTGGGATATATTTTAATTTCTTCCTTTTTAATTTCGTGTATCTGTTGTATGTTTTAAGATTTGAGGTTACCATGAGGCTTGCAAATAATATGGCCCATATTTTAAACTGATAATAACACTTATTACATAAATTAAAAAAAATCAACTAGCGATAAGAAGACTAATAAAATCTCCACACTTTAACTTCATTCCTCCAATTTTTACTTTTTGTTGTTTCTATTTCTATCTTACCATACTGCCTAAGTCTTGAAAAGTTGTTTTAGTTACTAGTTTTGATTGGACCATCTTTTGGTGTTTCTACTCAAACTACGAGTAATTTATACACCATAATTTCAATGTTATACTTGTCTGTTTTTCTGTGCACTATTACCAGTGAGGTTTTCTTTTTGTCTGTTTGTTTGTTTGTTTTTTGAGATGGAGTTTTGCTCTTGTTGCCCAGGCTGGAGTGCAATGGTGTGATTTCGGCTCACTGCAACCTCCGCCTCCCAAGTTCAAGCAATTCTCCTGCCTCACCCTCCCAAGTGGCTGGGATTATAGGCATGCGCCACCATGCCCGGCTAATTTTGTATTTTTAGTAGTGACGGGGTTTCGCCATGTTTGCCAGGATGGTTTCGAACCCCTGACCTCAGGTGATCCACCCGCCTTGGCCTCCCAAAGTGCTGGGATTACAGGCGTGAGCCATGGCGCCAGGCGCAGATGTTTTCTTATAGTTCATTAGCATCCTGTTCTTTCAGATTGAAGAACTCCCCCTAGCATTTCTTGCAGGACAGGTCTTGTGTTGAAATCCCTCAGCTTTTGTTTGTCTGGGAAAGTCTTTATTTCTCCTTCATGTTTGAAGGATATTTTGTCTGGAAATGCTAATCTAGGATAAAAGTTTTTTTTTTTTTCTTCAGCACTTTAAGTATGTCATGCCACTCTTTCCTGGCCTGTAAGCTTTCTACCAAGAAGTCTGCTCCCAGACATATCAGAGCTCCATTGTATGTTATTTGTTTCTTTTCTCTTGCTGCTTTTAGGATTCTTTCTTTCTTTTTTTTCTTTTTTTCTTTTTTTTTTTTTTGAGATGGAGTCTTGCTCTGTCACCCAGGCTGGAGTGCAGTGGCGTGATCTCGGCTTACTGCAAGCTCCGCCTCCTGGGTTCACGCCATTCTCCTGCCTCAGCCTCCCCAGCAGCTGGGACTACGGGCGCCGGCCATCACGCCCGGCTAGTTTTTTTTGTATTTTTAGTAGAGACAGGGTGACCTCGTGATCCGCCCGCCTCAGCCTCCCAAAGTGCTGGGAATACAGGCGTGAGCCACAGCGCCTGGCCAAGGATTCTTTCTTTATCCTTGACCTTTGGGAGTTTGATTAATAAATGTCTTGAGGTAGTCTTATTTGTGTTCAATGTGCTTGATGTTCTATAGACTTGTTTTTGTACTTGAATATTGGTATCTTTCTCTAGGTTTGGGACATTCTCTGTTTCTATCTCTTTGAATAAACTTTCTACTCCTATTTCTCTCTCTACCTTCTATTTAAGGTCACTATCTCTTAGATTTGCCCTTTGAGGCTAGTTTGTAGATCTCGTAGGCATGCTTCATTCTTTTCTTTTTTTTTCTTTCATCTCCTCTGAGTGCAGATTTTCAAATAGCCTGTCTTCAAGCTCACTCTTTCTTTCTTCTGCTTTATCAATTCTGCTGTTAGGAGACTTTGATGCATTCTTCAGTATGTCACTTGCCTTGTTCAGCTCCGGAATTTCTGCTTTATTTATTTATTTATTTATTTATTTATTTTTTGAGACAGGGTCTCACTTTGTCACTCACGCTGTACTGCAGTGGTGTGATCTTGGCTCACTGCAACTTCTGCCTCCTGGGTTCAAGCAATTCTTGTGCCTCAGCCTCCCGAGTAGCTGGAATTACAGGCATGTGCCACCGCACCCAGCTAATTTTTGTATTTTTAGTGGAGATAGGATTTTGCCATGTTGGCCAGACTGGCCTTGAACTCCTGGCCTCAAAGTGATCTGCCTGCTTCGGCCTTCCAAAGCACTAGGATTACAGGCATGAACCACTGCACCAGGCCTGCTTGATTCTTTTTTAATTTCAATATCTTTGTTAAATGTATCTGATAGGAGTCTGAATTCCTTCTCTGTGTTATCTTGCATTTCCTTGAGCTACCTCAAAACAGCTATTTTGAATTCTGTCTTAAAGGTCACATATCTCTGTTTCTTTGGGATTAGTCACTGGCGCCTTATTCAGTTGGTGAAGTTATGTTTTTTTGGATGGTGTTGATGCTTGTGGATGTTTATCAGTATGTGGGCATCAAAGAGTTAGGTATTTATTGTAATTTTCACAGTCTGGGCTTGTTTGTATCCTTCCTGGGATCTTTCCAGGTATTTGAAGGAGCTTGAGTGTTGTGATCTAAGTCTTTGGTTACTGTGGCCATATCTGCTTTGAGGGTTCCCCAAGCCCAGTAATGCTGTGGCTCTTTAAGACTCGTAAAGTTACCGCCTTTGTGGTCTTAGGTAAGATCTGGGAGAATCCAGGCAGAGACTCTTGTCTTCTTCCCTTACATTCCCTGAAACAGAGTCCCTCTCTCTCTCTGTGATGAGCTGCCAGGAGCTGGAGGAAGGGTGACACAAGTACCCCTGTGACCACCATGACTAAGACTGTACTGAGTCAGACCTGGAGCCAGTACAGCACTGGGTCTTACACAAGGCCTGCAGTCACCACTGCCTGACTACTGCTTATGTTCACTCAAGGCCCAAGGACTCTACAATCAGCAGATGGTAGAGCCAGCCAGGTTTGTGTCCTTCCCTTAAGGATGGTGAATTCTCTCTGGCTCTGGGTAGGTCCAGTGATGCTGTCCAGTAGCCAGGGCCTGGAGTTGGAAACCTTAGAATTCTACCTGGTGCTCTGTTTTATTATGGCTGAGCTGGTACCCATGCCATGAGACAAAATCCTTCTCACTCTACCCTCACCTTTCCTCAAGCAGAGGAGACTCTCCCCATGGCCACCACTGCTTAGGCCCACAGTAAGTGCTGCCTGGCTACCACAGATGTTCAACTAAAGACCAAGGATTCTTCTGTCAGCTTGCAGTGAATGCTGCCAGTCTTGAGTCTCTTCAGCATTGTAGATTCTCCTTTGTCCCAGGGCAGGTCCAGGAATGCCATCTATGGTCCAAGGCCTGGAAACAGGGATCCTAAGTGCCTGTTTGGTGCTCTACCCCACTGTGGCCAAGCTGGTACCCAAGCTGAAAAACAAAGTCCCCTTTACTCTTCCCTCTCCTTTCCTAAAGCAGAAGGAGTCTCTCCCCATAGCCACCATAGCTGGGAATATGTTGGGTCACACCTGAAGCCAGCACAACTCTGAATCTCACCCAAGGCCTACAGTGAGTGCTGACTGGCTACCACTGCTGATTATTCTGGGCTCAAGGGCTCTTTAGTCAACAGGTGATGATTTCTGCTAGGACTGAGTCTTTCCCTTTAAGGCAACAGTTTCCCTTCTGGCCCAGGGTGTGTTTAGAAATGGCATCTGGGAGCTAGGGCCTCAAGAATCTTCCTCGGTTCCCTATTCTACTATGGCTAAGCTGGTATACAACTTGCAAGATAACATCCTCTTTGCTTTCCACTCTTCTCTCCTCAAGCCCAGGGAAGGAGTCTCTCCCAGAGCTGCAAGTTGTGCTGCCTGGTGTTGAGGGAGAGGGTGATGCAAGCACTCCCTTGGCCACTCCAGCTTGTCTCACTATGTTGTGTGCCCCCTAGCCCACTGGCTCCTAGCTCGGCAGAGCACCAGGACTTGCCCAGGAGTTGCTGTCCTTGTGGCCTAGACTGCCTTTCAAGTTTATTTAAGATCCTATAGCCCTTTAGCATACAGTGGTGGGGCTTGCTGGAACTTAGGTTCCAACCACTGGGCTGGATAATTTGCCTTTGTCTAAGGTTGGTCTAAATGCTCCCTCTATGGGCACCGGCTGAATTCTGCCCCATGTTGCTTTCCACTCTGACAGGGCAGCACTGAATTCCAATGCATAGTCCCACAACCACTGTGCTCTCCCTCCATCAAGTGCGTGGATTCTCTCTCCATGTGCCGTGTGACCACTGCCGGGGAAGGGGGAGGGGTTGTGTAGGCGATTGGGGACTGTCTTTCCTACCCTCTTCAGTGCCTCTTTCTTTAATATGATGTTATAATAAAACCAGGTACTGTGATTTCTTAATTTTTGGTTCTTGTGAAGGTGTATTTTTGTGTAGATAGCTGTTCAATTTTGTATTCCTGTGTGGGGAACAATTGTGGGAGGCTTCTATTCAGCCATCTTGCTCTACTTCCCCCTCCAACTGAGGTTTCATATAAATTTGAATATCAGCTTATTAATTTTCACAACAACCTTGTGACTTTTTGGGGGAGAGATTTTATTGACTCCACAAATGAAGTTGGGAGGAAATGATATATTAACAAAATCAAGATTCCAGCCTATGAACATGTATATTCATGTTCATAAGCATATTCCTATATTTAAATCGGTTTTTAAAAAATTTCTCAGAAATATCTTATGGTTTTTAGTGTAAAGACCTTACACATCTTTTTAAAGATTTATTTCTAGGTATTTGCCTATTTTTGGAAGATATTGTAGTTTTAAAAATTTGTACTTACTCTCATGATCTAGATAAATGAAATTGATTTTTATATTTTGAACTCATACCAACCTCCTTAAAACAGCTATTAATTCAAAACTTTTGTAGATACTTTTGGATTTTTTTCACTTCTAATCCTTATACCTTTCCCTCCTTTCTTCCTTGACTTATTATGCTGATTAGGATCTCTAGTATGACATCAAATAGAAGTGTTGCTAACAGATATCTTATCTTGTTCCTGATCTCAGGGGAAATTTTTAAGATAATTTAACAATAATTATGATGTTTGCTGTAGGATTTTTGTAGCTGCTATTTTTTCAGATTGAGGAAGTTCCCTTGTCTTCTAAGTTTGCTAAGAGGCTTTCTTTTTTTTTTTTCAAATCACAACTGAAAGTAGAATTTTATTAAATATCTTTTCTGCATCTAGTGAGGTGATCATATGATTTTCTGTCCTTTTTTCCTGTTAATATAGTAAATTATAAGTTAAATGAATTAATTTTCCATAAGCTTCATGTGGTTGTGATATATTAGCATTGTTAAATATCACTAAGTTAGATTTACACACACACACACACACACATTATTAATGTGATTTTTATTTCTTGGAATGTCCTTTACAAGTTTTGGTTTTGGTGGCTTCATAAAACAAGATGAGAAGTGTTCCATGTTTTCTCTCTCTTTTTTTTTTTTTGGAAGTATTCGTGTAAGATTAATGTTATTTACTCTCCAAGTGTTGGAAACACTTTGTCAGTGAAGCCATTTAAGCCTGGAGTTTTACTTTGTGGTGAGGTTTTTAATAACAGGTTTCAGTTCTTTCATAGATCTAGGACTATTTATTTTTGTTTCAATTTTATTGAGTTGTGTTTCTTAAAGAATTTGTCCACTTTCTCTAAGGCTGCTTCTACCCTAACTCCCTTGCTCTTCTTTTCTTAGGTCCCCCAACTACACTTATATTAGTCTTTCCCACTATTATATATATATATATCTTACAACCTTTTCAGCAATATCAATGCTTTTTACTTCTACACTTCATTCTAGATACTATCTAGTGCACTAATTCCATTTTCAACTTTGCCCAATCTGCTGTTAAATCCATCTGTTGAGCTCTTAATTTTAGCTATTTTATTTCCTGTTCCAGACTTCCATTTGGCTTTTTATTGTAGATTCCAATTCTGTGGAACCTGTTCATCACAATTATTTTAAAGTCTTGGTCTGATAACTCCAATATTACCTGTTTCTGTTTCTAGCCTCTCTCTTTTTCTCTTGCTCCTATTTATTTGTATGTCAGTAATTTTTACTGAATAGATCAAGAACGTGAAGGATTAGACCCTCCTCCTCCCTGCCTATTTCTGACCCAAGAGATGAGGCCTAAACTGAGATTGAAGAGAAGATTTGAATTCAGAATGAGATTGAAGTTTTGATTTAAACTCTGAAAAGCTTTAATACCTGAAAAGAAGATTGTTTTAAAAAATGAAAGTGCTTATGTTTCTCTTATTGTTTCTTCAGAGTTTAAAAGAATACAACTCTTTGTCATATAAAAAATGGTTTTGACTGAATGCCCAACATTGTGTATGAAACATATAGAGACTCCAGATCATGTTATCTTCCTTCAGAGGATATTGCCTTTTCCTCTGTCAGGCAGCAGAGAATTAGATAAATGTAATTCAACTTGGGGCTTTGCTAACTGAAAGCTAATTTGCGGTCTTTGTATGTCCCAGTTTGCTTCTGGTTTACTCCCACTTCTAGGGCGTAGCTCTCTAGGAGTTCCAACTAAGAATCAGGGTTGTTTGTTGGAACTCCTCCTACTTATAAGGTCATGAACTCCAATTTTTCACCCTCGAACATTGTGAGCCTGCTTGCTTGCTCTACTTTGTTGATGCTTTCTGATTGGCTTCTTACCCTAATTTTCTGCACAGTTTAAACTGTAAATGCCTCTAGAAGAACACTGGTTCCAAGCGCTAGGTTCTATTCTCTGTCCCTTCTATCTCTCTGAGAGCTTGGTCTCTCAACACCTAGCTGCATTGTCCACTGAACACTTTTAATCTCCCCAGCCCCAAGAGGTGACCTAAAACTGCTCTGCTAAATTCTTTATCTCATTCTCCATGCCAAAAACATCAAGGAGGAAAATAAGTGTCCATGAAGTAAGCTCACCTTAATGAGCTCCCTTCTTTCTGGATCTAGTTTCTCAAGTCCTGGCTACCTTAGTAGCCTTCTTATTTCTTCTCAAAAAATGTTTATAAAAACCTGCCTTTTCTACTTTTTCTTGTTAAAATATTCATCTCTACTACAAGCTACTCAATCATAGAAGACCTCTGAACTCATGATTAAAATACGTGCATGCGTGTGTGTGTGTGTGTGTGTGTGTGTGAGTGTGTGTGTATGTATTTCTATCTCTGTTCATTGATTGACTGGATATAGGAGTAATGACCCTGTAGTAGCATACATACCTAACACCAAGATATTTGTTTCTATGCATCATTTCTTACTTAAACTAATCAGGTTTCTTTGGAGAAACTACTGATTTCAGTGAAAGTACAAGCACAATGTGAGCCTAGATATAGATATCTTGCTATACCAGTGATATGGTTTGGCTATGTCCCCACCCAAATCTCATCTTGAATTGTAGCTCCCATAATCCCCACATGTTGTGAGAGGGACCCAGTGGGAGGCAAATGAATCATGGAGAAGGGTTTTTTTTCCCTGCTGTTCTCATGGTAGTGAATAAGACTTACAAGATCTGATGGTTGTATAAAGGGCGGTTCTCCTGCACATGCTCTCTTGCCTGCTGCCATGTAAGACATACCTTTGCTCCTCCTTTGCCTTCCACCATGATTGTGAGGCCACACCAGCCATGTGGCACTTGAGTCCATTAAACCTCTTTTTTCTTTATAAATTACCCAGTCTCGGGTATTTCTTCATATCAGTATGAAAATGGATTAATACAACCAGAAAGTAAGAAAGTGATCAGAGAATGATGGGGACATTTCATAAGGACACAGGAAGCAACTTGAAGGGACACCCACTGGCCAAGTCTGGGATAATTTAAACATAAAAAAAATTTGGTAATAGTTTATAGTACATTGAGTTAAGAAAAAAAAATCCATAAATTCATGGTAATATTCAAAGTAAAATAAAAGGAGAGGAGAAAAAAGAATTCCCAGTGTGTTTTTTTTAAAACAGAAGAATGCCAGCTACTAAATGTAGAAGGAATAAAATAATTAGAAAAGCAATACTTTTTAACACCCAAAGTAATAATTGGCTCAGGTAAGGATCATCAGAGGATGCTAATATGACTGGGTAAAATGTTGAAAATAAGTCTCAAAATATCACTCTACAGACTACTTTTAAAGAGAAAAAATGTGCTTTCTCAATGGAAAAGTCTGGTGGTCATCACTTTAACCAAGTGGTCAAGCTTGGCAATGCCAATAGTGGTTTTGCTTGATGATGTGCCTTCAGTATGATCAAGAGGAAGGTACACAACGTCATTTATGTGATGTTCTTGCTGGAAATGTTTGATCTAACTATCATAGCGAGGAAAGAGGCAATTCTAGAATGTGAGGTATGATGGAGGACATCCTACCTGGACTCTTTAAAGAGACACTCAAATGCTCTGAGTGAATCTTGAGTGGATCTTGGATTGGAAAAACAGAAGCTATAAAGGATATTTTGGAGGATAATCGAAGGAATTTTAGTGAAGACTGGATGCTGGATGATATTGAATTCATGGTGACTTTCTTAGGTGTGTTGGTATTGTGGTTATAGGAATCAGTTTATTCTTGGAAAATACATCCTGAAATATTTTGCAGTGAAGTGTCATGATGAAAGCAACCTACTTTTGTATGATTTGGAAAAAAAGGATGTGTGGGTATGGGTGTGTATTTAGATAAATAGAGTGGATGTATCCAGATGTTAACAGTTGGCAAACATAGGTGAGAGGTATGCAGGTCTTGAAAATTAGAAGAAAAAACTCTTGTAGCGTTTTATTTTTTCAACGAAAATCCACAAGATGGCAGTAGAGGAACACCCTCAGAATGGGTTTCTTGGGGGCCTCTTATAAGGTGACATTTTCTGATTTGAAAAGCAGGATGAGAGATCCAACAAAGGATTGTTTTGGCTTTGTGAATACATTTACATGTAATGTTATACAAAGGTATGAAGACAAAATGCCGTTTGGTTGTATCATTCTATGAATTGCTTTCATCGAAATAAATACCATTTTGTTAAATTTGGTCCATAAACTCCTGAAATGTGTCCAAAATGTTATGTGTATGAGCATTCTCCTTTTATGATGAGAATATCTACAGTTTCTACTATGTCTCAAAGGGGTCAATTATTGCTCCCCAAACTTAGAAGCTTGAGGGGTTCAAGAAAGTGGCACTAGATCAATGCCTTAATCACATCAGAACTGGTAGTAGTTTAAGCCATTTCTCTTTAATATGTGCTTTGAAAGTGAGTTTAGTGAAGTGCTCTGGCAGTGCTTATTTGTTAAATGGATTGATGTAGGAACTAGTGGATGTGGATGGATAGGAGTCAGAAGACCTGGGTGTGAATGTAGCACTTATGCCATCCTCTTCCCCAACATCTTTCCCCAAACACACACACCAAGTTAAAACTGTAGCCAGCAAGATGTTTGTGGTCACATAAAACAATTCTCCCCCAAACAAAATCAGTTGTTTGCCTGTATTTCATTTTTTTACTCCCCAAACAGAAACAGCTTATTGGTCAGTGGAGATGCCTGCAATATAAAATTTTCTCTTTATAAACATTTGTGAAAAGAGTTCATATTTTTAGGGCAACATGAGCCAAGCTTGTAATTGCGGGAAGCTTCTAGTCTTCTGTGAGTGTCAGCTTGCCTCTTGTTCCCACCTTCAACCCCTGCCACCCCAAGAGTTTTGGTTTGGATCAGGACTAGGTTTCTATAAACTGCAACGTGAGCTGCTAGGTGATCACAGTAAGAGCCAAGCCACATAATGCTCTTCTTTCGATTCATTGGGCAGATAGTTGTCTTAGAAACTTACATGATGACTTGATTGTAAAATAAAATCCCTGTTGAGCAACTTGATCTGGCTATTTGGGTGGAATGGATTTTTTTAAAAGTGTAAACTAAGGGAAAATAAAATACTCATTTAAAATGTGTTGGCAGCGTGTAGTTGGCTTAAAATGTCATTTACTGAGTTGTTACCATTTTTGCTCTCTCAATTTTATTAGTATTAAAAATTCATTATTGAGGGACCATGAGCTACATGCAATTAGTAATGTGACTGAAAGTGAGAGACTAAATAGTAAGATGGTCATGTCTTTAGAAATAAACTTTTAACTTCTCTTTACTGCATTCCCCATGGAAATACCATGTTGTGCCATGTTGTTCCTTAAAAGAGCTTACGTTCAGTAGAGAACTGGTGAAATAAATAATGACACATTCATATATTGAGATTGTATGTAACTGTTGAAAATAATGACATAGATTCATATATATTGACATGGAAAGATATCCAAGCTGAACTGTAGGAGAAACAGAGCAAGTTGCAGAGCTATATGTAAAGCAGAATACTATTTTGGAGTATACATTTGCTATTATATGTTCAGAAAATAAGATATGGGAGATCATATAAAAATTTGCTTAAAGCGATTTATTTATGTTGTGGGGAAAGGAGTAGTATTGTAGTACAAGGGAACTTATGTTTTGTGTTTCATATGTTTTTCTGTTGTCTGGATTTTTAAAAATGAGAATGTAGTCTGAATAAATAATGATATAAAGGGAGTGTATGTTGGCACTATCCTTTGAGACCTTCATGTGCTAAATATAATTGTGCAGTATGATCAGTTCTGTCATTCATCTTGAATAGACAACAGCTAAAGAGAGCCAGCTGGTTAACTTATAAGTTATATCCCTTCCACATTCAAAGATGTTTACAATATTAATAGACTGAAATGAAACAATAAAAAACAAATGTATAAACTAAAAAAGACAAATTATTTAGAACGAATGAGATAACTCTTTAGAAGGAATGAGATAACAGGACCTGGAATATGGAATGACTTCTCTACAGAATATAGCAAAAAGTTTACCTCTGAGCTTTCTGGTATCCAAGGGGAAAAGGAAAATATGTTGGCTCTATATATTTCTTCCAAAGTAAGAATGCTACAAAGAAATTAATCATACGGCATCACATATGTGACACTGACATATTGGACAATGTTTTAAAAACAATTTTGCTTATAATTTATTTCACTGATTTATTTTACATATATGAAATAGAAAAATGATATTCCAAAGAATTATGCCTCTCAAATTTTGGAGGAAATTATTTTTTAGAAATAAAAAATTAAATTCAAATTGCACAAATAAAAGATAAGTTTAAGCTCTGCTTAAAAGTAAATTTCAGAGACGTTCTTCGCCGAGAGTCGTCGAGGTTTCCTGCTTCAACTGTGCTTGGACGGAACCCGGCGCTCGTCCCCCACCCCGGCCGGCCACCCATAGCCAGCCCTCCGTCACCTTTTCACCGCGCCCTCGGACTGCCCCAAGGTCCCCGCCGCCGCTCCAGGGCCGCGCAGCCACCGCCGCCGCCTCTCCTTAGTCGCCGCCTTGACGACCGCGTCCACCTCGCAGGTGCGCCAGAACTACCACCAGGACTCAGAGGCGGCCATCAACCGCCAGATCAACCTGGAGCTCTACGCCTCCTACGTTTACCTGTCCATGTCTTACTACTTTGACCACGATGATGTGGCTTTGAAGAACTTTGCCAAATACTTTCTTCACCAATCTCATGAGGAGAGGGAACATGCTGAGGAACTGATGAAGCTGCAGAACCAATGAGGTGGCCGAATCTTCCTTCAGGATATCAAGAAACCAGACTGTGATGACTGGGAGCGGGCTGAATGAGATGGAGTGTGCATTACATTTGGAAAAAAATGTGAATCAGTCACCACTGGAACTGCACAAACTGGCCACTGACAAAAATGACCCCCATTTGTGTGACTTCATTGAGACACATTACCTGAATGAGCAGGTGAAAGCCATCAAAGAATTGGGTGACCACGTGACCAACTTGCACAAGATGGGAGCGCCCGAATCTGGCTTGGCGGAATATCTCTTCGACAAGCACACCCCGGGGAGACAGTGACAATGAAAGGTAAGCCTCAGGCTAATTTCCCCATAGCCGTGGGTTGACTTCCCTGGTCACCAAGGCAGTGCATGCATGTTGGGGTTTCCTTTACCTTTTCTATAAATTGTACCAAAACATCCACTTAAGTTCTTTGATTTGTACCATTCCTGCAAATAAAGAAATTTGGTACCCCCCCCCAAAAAAAAGTAAATTTCAATAGAAGATTGTTGTTTTCCTTGAATAAGAAGCTGAAATTGTGGAGTGAAGTTTTTATTTGGTTTAATTTTTATGGGGGTTTTTATTTTTTAATTTTTATTTTAGATTCAGGGGGTACGTATGCAAGTTTGTTAACTGAGTATATTGTGTGATGCCGAGGTTTGGAGTATATGAATGATCCCATCACCCAAGTACTGAGCATAATACCCAACAGTTTTTCAACCTATCCCCTCCCTCCTCCCTCCCTCCCTCCCTGCCTCTTCTAGTAGTTCCTAGTTTCTATTGTTGCTATCTTTAGGACAATGGTTTTTTAATTATATTTTTAGAAAAGACACAGAGACCTTTGATTGAATATTTTCACTATCTACCCTCTATAAAAATGCAGTCAAAACATCAAATCACAACTCACTCACTGAAAACATCTTTTTGGGAAAACTGAGGGAATATAATCCAGGTACGTATTTTCCTGAAAATCCAAACAAATTTTTTTCAAACCTGGCTGCACAACAGAATCAACTGGGGAGTTTTTAAAAATTTACTGTCTGTAATCCACCATGAATCTTCAGAGATTCTCATTCCAAAGGTCTGGCATGGATCTTGGGAAACTAGCTATTGATGCTCTGCACATGTTCTGATGCAAATCCTGGTTCGAGAACCACTGATCTGTGATACATAATAGGCATAGCATGCCTTCCTCTAGCATATGTTTTATTTGAAGGCAAATAAGTTAAAACATTTTTGTATGAAAACAAACAGGTGAATTATGGAACAGAATTCTAATTTTGCATTGGTTGCTGAAATAAAATATGAGCTTTAGACATTTGATGCACTCAAGGGCTCACTTAGGGCTATATTCCCAGACTCTGTGGAGGTAGAGTTTATGATTCACTGCTATAAAATTGTTTTGGTGGAAAGGTTTTTTAAAGCACCAAGGGAATTGTATCAGTTAGGGTTCAGTGCTTATAAAATCCTTGGAAAGGTTAGAAGATTGGAGGTTGGGAAACACACCACCATAACTGTCACCTAGAGGCTAAGAAGCTACCACTCAAGAACTTCTGCCATCAATGCTGTTACTTCCACTACTTCTCCCCCACAGAGCTCAAAGCTGACTAGTAAATTTGACCAACAGTGGCCAAAGCAGTAGGAAGATGGCATTTTCCTCCCTCCCACACTTCAAATCTTGTGCAAGTGCATCTCGTTGGACAAATGGAATTCACATCCAGAATTTTGGTTGCAAGAGAGGCTGGGAAATAGAGTTTTTAGTTTTTTTTTTTTACCCCTGTGAAATAGGAAGGTGCATGGAAGAGGGTGCTGAGGATGCTGAGGGTCAAACAATGTTGTCAAGCACAATCATGAATCAAAAGTGCTAAAAAGTTTGATATAATTGGCTAGGGAGGACACTGAGATTCACAAAGCATGGAGATAATGCCATCTCCTTGTAAAGCTGAGTGAAATACTCCTTCCATACAGCCTAAAATGGAAATTTACATTTTATCTATTTTGTAGAAGTTATTCTATAGATGGCTCTGTCTTGAAAGATGACATTCATTATTGGCAGTGACATTTCAGCCAAATTCCTTCAACTGAGTTTGTGAATCGCATTTTTTCTAAATTAATAAATTGCTTATGAAAAATAGCTTCTTTCAGTGTATACGCAACTGAATCTGAATTATATGTGAAATGTTATCCTATTCATTTTGCTTGGGGTGTGCATGTGCATGTGTGTTTGTGTGTGTGTGTGTGTGTGTGTGTATTTGTGCATGTGGACACTTTCTGGAGGGCTTTATTAAGCTAGGATATAAACTGGTTATTTCCCTGATTGTCCACACATAGGTCATTCAAGACTAACTTTAACCTGACAATGATTCTATTGGCCTGGAGTCAGAAGGGGTGCTTCTCTGAGGGAATCACAGTAATAATAGTTACTTATTGAGTACCTGTTCTCTGCCTAACTTTGTGCTAAATGCTTTACAGGTAGTGTTTCTCTTATCCTTATGACAATTACTTGAAGTATGTATTACTATTCCCATTTTGTAGGTGAGGACATATGCACAAAGAGGTCAAATATCTTTCTGAGTTGACAGAGCTTGTAAGTGATATAATCGGAATTTGAATGCAGGTGTTTGATGCCAAAGGTTCCACTAACTTAGGTGACATTGAAGAGAACCTCAGGAGATTTCTTGTGGAACTGCTGAAGCCTCTTTTCCACTTTACTGTTATCACCTTAGCCCCTGTATTTTGGCTAAATGTATGACCATACTTAGTAGGGTAACTGAGTTTAAGAGGAGAAGAGAGCATTTTTAACACAAGCTGAGATACCCGCAAATGCAGACAGAAGAAAAACTGGGTCGTTGAATCAGCTGTTCCAGAGCAGACATAAGACGATAACCCTCTCATCTTCCCTCCTTTCAAAGCTATTCAGCAGTATTAAATTGTGGAGTGGGATTATAGTACATAACATAAATTCCTATAATGCTTTGAGTTTAGATAGTGAAAAAAATAGTAATGTGGGAGAAAAAAACATGCGTTTGTCCACTGCCTTGTGTGAACTAGTTCTGAGTTACATAGGAAACTTCTCTCAGAAAGGATTGAATTATGGGAATTTTTTGCCTGTAACTGGACTGATGGCAACAGAATTGAAATGATTTCTGCTTATTCTTTAACTTATTACCCCCAATTGCATCATTCCAGTTTTACGTGTGGGACTGGATCATATACAGTAAAAGTACATGGGAAGGGAATACTTTCCATCCAGTATAAAATGGCCAACTCAATAATAAACTAAGCACAGTAGCTTTTATCACACAGACATTTGGCACAGTGTTTATCAAACAAGGCACCATTAATATTTTGGGAGGGACTGTTTTTCATTGTGCAGGGCTGTCTCAGAGAAATTGTTTAGGGTCTCTGCCTTCAGGGCACTAAGTGTCAATAGCCTAACTCCATCTTCTGGAGAAGCAGGATAGGTGAGGGCTCTGCCTCATCCATGGCATGACTGAATAGGAAATGCTGCTTCCCTGTGGGCATTTCTTTAGGGAAACTGCCTGAAACACAGACAAGTAATTTGCTCAAAGTGGGATAACCAGATGAAAATACAGGATGCTTGGTTAAATTTTAATTTCAGATAAACAATGAGGAATTGTTTTGTATATGTCCCTAGATTTTTACTGGGTGTCCTGGATTTTTATTTGCTAAATCTGGCAAGTAATCAGGCAACCTTAGCCCAAAGTCAATTGGCAGATTCATGACTCAATAAGTGGTAGATCCATGACTTGAAGCCAGGTCTGTTTAGTCTGACGTCAGACCCTGAGTGCTTTCTACTGTTCTGTACTGGTTTCTACACTTGAGCAACTTTCATGCACAAAAATAATGCCCTGGAAGATACAAAGATAAAGTATAATCCGTGCTTTCAAATTATTTGGCTTTTCCAGGACAAGAAAAGAGAATTTGGGAAGAAATGCGTATTAACACTATCTTCTTGAGGGCCTACTATATGATGAAAGTTGAATCAATTTATATTCTAGGAAAATTTTAAAAGTTTAAACAAGGAACATATGTTATGCCTTCCTCTGAGAGTCTTGTTAAAACATTCAGGTTGTTTTATAGGGTGATATATCTGTAAAGGAAGCACCATGAGAGGCTCTCCCTTGATGTGACTTCCTATTCTTATTTCTCCTTTGGTTCAAGAGGTAGCTGATTAGGAAGCTCAACCAAGGTCAGAACTTAAGTTAATTAATGGCTTTCATATATTGAGCATGGTGGCCCTAAAGATAAGAATACAGCTCAGATCCTAGTAGGTTTCTTGAGCTAATGAAGTCTTTACTAAAAATTCTCAGGACTCTCAAAACTGAAAAAAGCACTTTTAAACATTAACACGTTCATCTTCCTATTTGTCTTTATTAATGAGATTGTGTATATAAAAGTGCTTTGCAAACTGTAAAAGATATTTAATTGAAATAACTGTGAAATAATATTTTGTGATCTGTGTTTTAAACATGAATAAACAGACATCAGAAAGCTTAGAGTTACAGGGGAGTAAACAAATATGTAGATGGTATCATCCTGCATGTATAATTTGCAAGTTGCCTTATTTACCTGACATTGTTTTTGAGATTTATTTGTGTTGATACATTTAGATCTAACCAATTTATTTTAACTTCTCTATGGTATTCTATGATATGAATAAACCACAGTGTTATTTATCAATTCCTCTACTGATGGACAATTAGATTATATTCACTGTCCATTTTGCTATTGCAAATGGTACAACAGTGCATAGTACTGTAATGCACATATGTGTCTTCTTGTGAACATGTGTAAAAATTTTCCTAGGATAGATACCTGGAAGTGGGCAGTTTGATATTAGTTATGCAAATTAAAAATTACCCTGTATGATATTGTATATTGTTTATGAAACATACATACAGAGAAAAGAATAAGAACATTCATTGAGGCCAGGCACAGTGGCTCACTCCTGTAATCCTAGCACTTTTGGAGCTCAGGAGTTTGAGACCAGCCTGGACAATATGCCAAAACCTCATTTCTACAAAAAGTACAAAAATTAGCCAGACATGGTGGCATGTACCTGTAGTCCCAGCTAGTTGGGAGGCTGAGGTGGGCAGATCTCTTGAGCCCGGGAGGTCGAGGCTGCAATAAGCCATGATTGCACCACTGCACTTCAGCCTGGGTGACACAGTAAGACCCTATCTCAAAAAAATAAAACCTAGAAAAGACCATTTATTGAAATGATACACAGCAACTTCAGCAGAGTGGTTATTCTAAGGAGGGAAAGGCAAGAAAAAGATGGGAGGGGTTTGGAGCTTTAGCTCTAACATTTTATTTCTATTCCATTTTACTTTATTTTTTTTTCAAAAAGCTATTCCCCTTTATTTATTTATTTTATTCATCCTCCTCCCTCTAACCTCCTCTTCCTGGCCTCTGGTAACCAATAATCTACTGTTTGCCTTCATAATATTTACTTTTTTTTAGTTCCCACATATGAGTGAGAAAATGAAATATTTGTCTTTCTGTGCCTGGTTTATTTCACTTAAAATGTCCACCAGTTCCATTCATGTTGCTGCAAATGACAGGATTTCATTCTTTTTTTATAACCAAATAGTATTCCATTGTGTATAGATACCACATTTTCTTTATCCACTCATCCATTGATGGATACTTAAGTTGATTCCATATCTTTGCTATTGTGAGCAGTTCTATAATGAAGATGGAGCTTAGATATCTCTTTGATATACTAACTACATTTATTTGGGGGATATACCCAGCAGTGGGATTGCTGGACCATGTGGCAGTTCTGTTTTTTAGTTTTTTTCAGGAATGTCCATACTGTTTTCCATAGTGGTGTACTAATTTACATTCCCACCAACAGCATATGAGGGTTTCCCCTTTCTTCAAATCCTCACCATCATCTGTTATTCTTTGTTTTGTAATAAAAGCCATTTTAACTGGGATGAGATAATATCTCATTATGGTTTTGATTTGCATTATTCTGATGATTAGCGATGTTGAGAATTTTTTATATACCTGTTTGCTATTTGTATGTCTTCTTTTGATTAATGTCTATTCAGATCTTTTGCCCATTTTTTAATCATATTATTTGTTTCCCTGCTATTGAGTTGAGTTTCTCATATATTCTGGTTATTAATCCCTTGCCAAATGTATAGTTTGCAAACATTTTCTCCCATTCAGTGGGCTATCTCTTCACTTTGTTGATTGTTTCCTTTGTTGTGCAGAAGATTTTTAGCTTAAAGTGATCCCATTTGCCTATTTTTACTTTTGTTACCGTGCTTTTGAGGTCTTACACAAAAACTTTGCCCAGCCCAATGTCCAGAAGTGCTTTCCCAATGTTTCTTTCTAGTGGTTTCACAGTTTGAGGTCTTAGATTGGAGTCATTAATACATTTTGAATTGATGTTTGTATATGGTGAGAGCTAGAGGTCTACTTTCATTCTTCTACACATGATTATTCAAATTTTCCAACACCATTTATTGAAGACACTGTCCTTTCTTCATTGTAGGTTCTTGGCACCTTTATAAAAAAATGAGTTGGCTGTAAATGCATAGATTTATATCTGGGTTCTTTACTCTGTTCTGTTGGTTTATATGTCTGTTTTTCTGGCAGTACCATGCTGTTTTGCCTACTATAGCTTTGTAATATATTTTCAAGTCAGGTGGTGTGATGTTTCCAGCTCTGCTTTTTTTGGTCAGGAATGCTTTACCTATTTGGGGTCTTTTGTAGTTACATATACATCTTAGAATTGTTTACTCTCTTTCTGTGAAAAATGTCCTGGTATTTTGATAAAGATTGCATTGTATCTGTAAATTGCTTTGGGTAGTGTATTAGTCTGTTCTCATGCTGCTAATAAAGACATACCCCAGACTGGGTAATTTATAACCTCCACCTCAATTGAACCTTGAGACAAGGTTCAATTCTTGTCTTCTGCATACCTGTAGGACCAACACCATGTAGAAGCTGCTAAGGCTTGGAGTTTGCACCTTCTGAAGCAACAGCCCGAGCTCTACCTTGGCCCCATTTAGCCATGGCTGGAGCTGCTGAGACACAGGGCACCAAGTCCCAAGACTGCACATAGCAGGCAGGCCCTGGATCCAGCCCACAAAATCATTTTTTTTTCCTCCTAGGCCTTCAGGCCTGTGATAGGAGGAGCTGCCATGAAGGTCTCTGACATGCCCTGGAGACATTTTCCCCATTGTCTTGGTGATTGACATCTGGCTCCTCGTTACTTATGCAAATTTCTGCAGCTGTCTTGAATTTCTCTCCAGAAAATGGGTTATTCTTTTCTATCACATTGTCAGGCTGCAAATTTTCCAAACTTTTATGCTCTGTCACCTCTTGAATGCTTTGCTGCTTAGTAATTTCTTCTACCAGATGCCCTAAATTATCTCTCTCAAGTTCGAAGTTCCACAAATCTCTAGGGTAGTGGCAAAATGCCATGCCACCAATCTGTTTGCTAAAACACAACAAGTGTCACCTTTATTGCAGTTCCCAACAAGTTCCTCATCTCCATCTGAGACCATCTCAACCTGGACTTCATTGTCCATATCACTATCAGCATTTTGGTCAAAGTCATTCAACAAGTCTCTAGGAAGTTCCAAACTTTCCCACATCTTCCTGTCCTCTTCCGGCCCCTCCAAACTGTTCCAAGCTCTGCCTGTTACCCAGTTCCAAAGTCAGTTCCACATTTTCAGGTATCTTTACAGCACCCCACTTCCCAGTACCAATTTAATGTATTAGTCTGTTCTCACACTGCTAATAAAGACATACCCGAGGCTGGGTAATTTATAAAGGGAAGAGGTTTAATGGATTCACAGTTCCACATGGCTGGGGAGACCGCACAATCATGGTGGAAGGAAAAGGAGAGCAGAGCTGCATCTTACATGGGAGCAGGCAAAAGAGCTTGAGCAGGGGAACTCCCATTTTTCTTTTTTCTTTTTCTTTTTCTTTTCGTTTTTTTTTTTTTTTTTTAAGATGGAGTCTCACTTTGTCTCCAAGGCTGGAGGGCAGTGGCACAATCTCGGCTCACTGCATCTCTGCCTCCCAGGTTCCAGCGATTCTCCTGCCTCAGCCTCCCGAGTAGTTGGGACTATAGGCACATGCCACCACACCTGGCTAGTTTTTTTATTTTTAGTAGAGATAGGGTTTCCCCATGTTGGCTAGGCTGGTCTCAAACTCCTGACCTCAAGTGATCCACCAACCTCGGCCTCCCAAAGTGCTGGGATTACAGATGTGAACCATCGCACCCGGCCGGAACTCCCATTTTTAAAACCATCAGATCTTGTGAGACTTATTCACCACCACAAGAACAGTATGGGTGAAAACACCCTCATGATTCAATTATCCACACTTGGCCCCGCCCTTGACAGATCCGGATTATTACATTTCAGGTTGAGATTTGGGTGGGGACATCCAAACCATATCAGGTAGTTTTGTCATTTTAACAATATTAATTCTTCCAACCCATGAGTATGGAATGTATTTCTATTTTTTTGTCTGCCCTCATCAGTTTCTTTAATCAGAGTTTTATAGTTTCCTTGCAAACATCTTTCACTTCTTTAGTTAAATTGATTCCTAGGCATTTTATATTCTTTTTGGCTATTGTAAATGGGATTGTTTTCTTGATTTCTTTTTCAACTTGTTTGCTGTTGGCATATATAAATGCTACTGATTTTGTATGTCAATTTTATATCCTACAACTTTGCTAAATTCATTTATCAATTCTTACAGTTTTTGTTGGAGTCTTTAAGTTTTCACAAATCATTTCATCTGCAAACAAGGATAATTTAGATTTTTCTTTTCCAATTTGTATGCCCTTTATTTCTTTCTCTTGCTGAATTGCTCTGGCTAGGATTTCCAATACTATGATGAATAAAAGTGATGAAAGTGGGCATCATTATCTTCCAGATCTTAGGGGAAAGGCCTTCAATTTTTTCCCATTCAGTAAAATGTTAACTGTGGGTTTATCATATGTGCCATTTATTATGTTGTGGTATGTTCCTTCTATACCCAGTTTTTTTTTAATTTTTAATTTTTGTGAATATATAGTAGGTGTATATATTTATGGGGTATATTTAATATTTTGATATAAGCATACAATGTGTAATCATCAGGGTGAAGTATCCATCACCTCAAGCATTTATCATTCATTTTACAAACGATCTAATTATACTCTTTTCGTTGTTGAAAAATGTACAATTAAGTTATTATTGACTATAGTTACCCTCCTGTGCTATCAAATACTAGATCTCATTTATTCTTTCTATGTTTTTGTACCCATTAACCAGCCTCCTTCCCTCCATGACCCCCCTAACTATCCTTCCCACCTCTGGTAACCATCATTCTACTCTCTGTCTCCATGAGTTCAATTGTTTTAATTTGTATTATTTTTTAATTTTTAATTTTTGTGGGTACATAGTAGGTGTATATATCGAGGGAATACATGAAACGCTTTGATACAGGCATATGATGTGAAATAATCACATCATAGAGAATGGGGTTGCCATCCCCTCAAGCATTTATTCTTTGTGTTACAGACAATCCAATTACACATTTTAAGTTATTTTAAAGTCTACAATTAAGTTATTTTTGACTATAGTCACCCTGTTCTGCTATCAAATAGTAGGTCTTATTCTTTCTATTTTTCTGTACCCATTAACTATCCCCACCTCCTCCTCAGGACCCCACTACCATTCCCATCTTCTGATAACCAGCCTCCTACTCGTCATCTCCATGAGTTCAATTGCTTTCAATTTGCAAGAAATAAGTGAGAATATGCAAAGTTTGTCTTTCTGTGCTTGGCTTATTTAAGTTAACACAGTGACCTCTGGTTGCATCCATGTCATTGCAAATAAGAGAATCTCATTATTTTCTATGGCTGAATAGTAGTCCATTGTGTGTATGTACCATATTTTATTTATTAATTTGTCTGTTGATGGACACTTGGGTTGCTCCCAAGTGAATATTGCTATTGTGAATACACATGGGATTGCAGATATCTCTTCGATATACTGATTTCCTTTTTTTTGGGTAAATACCCAGCAGTGGAATTTCTGGATCATATAGTAGTTCTACTTTTAGTTTTTCAGGAACCTCCAAACTGTTCTCCATAGTGGTTGTACTAATTTACACTTCCACCAACAATGTATGAGGGTTCCCTTTTCTGCACATTTTCGCCAGCATTCGTTATTACCTGTCTTTTGGATAAAAGCCATTCTAATTGTAGTGTGATTATGTTATTTCAGTGTTTTCTTTTAACACTTTTATAGTCAGAGGTCTTGGATTTAAGTCATTAATCCACTTTGATTTGATTTTTGCATGGTGAGGGACAGGAGTCTAGTTCCATTCTTCTATATACAGATATCCAGTTTTCCTAGCGCCATTTACTGACGAGACTGTCCTTTTCCCATTGTATGTTCTTGGCACCTTTGCTGAAAATGAGTTCGCTGTAGATGTATGGATTTATTTCGGGGTTCTCTATTGTATGCCATTGGTCTCTGTGTCTGTTTTCATTGTAGTATCATACTGTTTTGGTTATTATGACTCTGTAGTATAGTTTGAAGTCAGGCAATGTGGTTCTTCCAGTTTCGTTCCTTATGCTCAGGATAGCTTTGGCTGTTCTGGGTCTTTTGTGATTCCATATAAATTTTAGGATTTTTTTTCCTAATTCTGTGAAGAATGTCATTTGTATTTTAATAGGGATTGCATTGAATCTGCAGATTGCTTTGGATAGTATGAACATTTTAACAATATCGATTCTTCCAATCCATAAACATGGCCTATCTTTCCATTTCGTGTGTGTGTCCTCTTCAATTTCTTTTATCAGTTTTTTATAGTTTTCCTTGTAGAGGTCATTCAGTTCTTTGGTTAACTCATAAGTATTTAATTTTATTTGTTGCTATTGCAAATGGGCTTACTTTTAAATTTTTTTTCAGATTGTCTGCTGTTGGCATACAGAAATGCTACTGATTTTCGTATGTTGATTTTGTATCCTGCAACTTTACTTAATTTGTTTATCAGTTCCAATAATTTTTGATAGAGTCTTAAGGTATTTCCAAATATGAGATCATATCATCTGCAAAGAGGAATAATTTGACTTCTCCTTTTCCAGTTCAGGGAGACCTTTCTTTGTCTTGTCTGATTGATCTAGTTATGACTTCCAGTACTAGTGAATAACTATGGTGAAATAGACATCCTTGTCATGGTCCCAATCTTAGAGGAAAGGCTTTCAGTTTTTCCCCATTCACTATGATACTAGCTTTGGGTCTGTCATATATGGCTTTTATCATATTGAGGTATGTTCTTTCTATACCCAGTTTTTTGAGGGTTTTTACCATAAAGGGATATTGAATTTTATCCAATGCTTTTTCAGCATCAGTTGAAATGATCCTATGGTTTTTGTCCTTCATTCTGTTGATATGATGTATCACATTGGTTAATTTGCCTATGTTGAATCATCTTTGTATCCCTGGAGTAAATCCCACTTGGTCATAATGAATGACCTTTCTATCGTGTTGTTGAATTCTATTTGCTTTAATTCTGTTGAAGATTTTTGCATCAATGTTCATCAGGGATAGTGGCCTATACTTCTCTTTTTGTGATGTGTGTTTGTCTGGTTTTGGTGGTAGGGCCATACTGACCTCATAGAATGAGTTTATAAGTATTCCTTTCTTGTCTATTTTTCAGAATTGTTTGAGTAGGGATAATATCAGTTCTTCTTTAAATGTTTGGTAATATTCAGCAGGGAAACCATTGAGTCCAAGGCTTTTCTTTGCTGGGAGACTTTTTTAAATGGCTTTAATCTCATTACTGTTATTGGTCTGTTCAGATTTTGGATTTCTTCATGATTCAATCTTGGTAGGTTGTGCCTAGGAACTTATCTATTTCTTCTAGGTTTTCCTATTCATTGGCATAGCATCACTTATAGTAACTTCTAATGAGCCTTTGAATTTCTGTGGTGTAGGTTGTAATAACTACTTATTCATTTCTGATTTTATTTATTTTGATCTTCTCTCTTGTTTTCTTACTAATAGTCTGGCAGAAGCTTTGTCAAATTTAGTTTTTCAAGAAACAACTTTTTGTTTTGTTGATCGTTTATATTTTTTTCATTTCAATTTCATCGATTTCTACTCTGATATTTAATTTTTCTTTACTTCTGCTAAGTTTGTGTTTAGTTTGCTCTTGGTTTTCTTGAGATGCACCATTAGGTTGTTTATTTTGAGTTTTTCTTTTTTTGATGTAGACACTTATAGCTATTAAATTCCTTCTTAGTACTGCTTTCACTGAATCCCATATGTTGTGGTATGGTGTATTTCCATTATGATTTGTTTCAAGAAACTTTTCAATTTCCTTTTTAATCTATTCATTGACCCACTGGTTATTCAGGAGCATATTGTTTAATTTCCATGTGTTTGTATAATTTCCAAAATTCTTTTTGTTATTGATTTCTAGTTTTATTTTGGTCATTGTGGTCAGAGAAGATTCTTGATATGATTTAAATTTTTTGAATGCTTTAAGACTTATTTTCTGGCCTATCATATGGTCTATACTTGAGAATGATCCTTGTGCTGAGGAGAAGAACATTGGGTCTTGTTTTATGATCCATTCTGCCACTCTATTTCTTTTGATTGGGGAGTTTAGTTAATATAAATTTAATGTTATCATTGATACATAATGACTTACTCCTGCTATTTTGTTACTTGTTTTCTGATGGTTTTGTCATCTTCTCTTCCTTCTTTCCTTTTCTCTTGTCTAATGAAGGTGACTTTCTCTAAGAATATATTTTAATTTCTTGCTTTTTATTTTTGTGATTCTGTTGTATGGTTCTAGATTTGAGGTTACCATGAGGCTTGTAAATAATATCTTATAACTCATTATTTTAAACTGATAACAACTTAATACTTATTGCATAAATTAAAAAATCTAACAAGCAAATAAACAAAAAACTAATAAAATAACTACACGTTAACTTCTTCCCCCTACTCGTTATTGGTTTATAGAGGTTTACCATTTCTTCAAGGTTTAATCTTTGTAGGTGGTATGTATCTAAGAATTTATCCAATTCTTCTAGGTTTTCCAATTTGTTGGCATATAGTTGGTTATAATATTCTCATGATTTTTTGTATCTGAGGTCTCAGTTATGTCTTCGTTTTTTGTATCTGAATTTATTTATTTGGGTCTTCCCTCTTGTATTTAATCTTAGCTAAAGGTTTGGCAATTTCGTTTATCTGTTCAAAAAACCAAATTTTCATTTTGTCAGTCTTCTGTGTTTTTTTTTTTTTTTGTCTCAATTTCATTTATTTCTTCTCCAATCTTTATTATTTCTTTCCTTCTACTAATTTTGGGATTGTTCTGTTCTTGGATTTCTAGTTCCTTGAGGTGCTTTGTTAGGTCATTTATTTGAAGTTTTCCTTCTTTTTTGATTTAGGTATTATTGCTATAAATATTTCTCTTAGTACTGCTTTTAATGTATTTAATTGATTCCGGTATGTTGCATTTCCATTTTTGTTTGTTCAAGAAATTTTTAATTTTCCTTTTTAGTTTCTTCATTGATCCTTTCATTGCTTTGGAGCTTGTTCTTTAAGTTCTGTATGTTTGCATAGTTTCTGAGATTCTTCTTTTTATCAATTTCTAATTTAATTCTATTATAGTCAGAAAAGATACTTCATATTATTTCTATGTTTTAAAATTTGTTGAGACTTTTTTTTGGCTCAAGATTGTTCTATGTTCTGATGAAAGAATGTGTGTTCTGCAGCAGTTTGGTGAAATGTTCTGTAAATGTCAGTTATGCTTATTTGACTTAGTGTGTAGCTTAATTCTGATATTTCTTTGTTGATTTTCTGTCTGAATAAACTGTTTGCTACTGAGAGTGGAGTTTTGAAGTATCCTATAATTATTGTTTGGCAGTCTGTCTCTCCCTTTAGATCTATTCATGTTTGCTTTAGATACTTGAGTACTCTAATGTCAAGTGTGTAAATATTTATAATTGTTATATATCCCCTTGTTAAATTTACTTGTTTATATAGTGATTTTCTTTGTCTCTTTTTGTAGTCTTTCACTTTTGGCTTATTTTATCTGGTATAAGTCTAGCTTCTCCTGCTCTGTTTTGGTTTCAAGTTGCATGAAATATCCTTTTCCACCCCTTCACTTTGAATTTACGTGTGTCTTTATAGACAAAGTGGGTTTTTTGTAGGCAATATCAAGTTTTGTCTTGTTTCTTTATCTATTCAGCCATTCTATGGCTTTTCATTGGAGAATTGAGACCATTTATATTCAGTGTTACTATTGATAAGTATAGACTTTGTACTGTCATTTTGTTGCTTATTTCCTGGTTATTTTGAGACTCCTCTCTTCTTTTCTATCTTTAATACTGTCTTTCCTTGTGGTTAAATGATTTTCTCTGGTAGTATGCTTTAATTTGTTGCTTTTTATTTTTACTGAATCTGTTATTGGTTTTTCCACTGTGTTTACCATGAGGCTTACAAAAAAACATCCTTTAGATATAACAAATTATTTTAAAGAGATGACAGCTTAGATCATAAAGAAAAGAATGGAAACAAATAATCAAACAAACAAAAAACCCGTTACACTTTTAACTCCATCTCCCTTCCCATTTAGACTTTTAGTTGACTCCATTTGTGTATTTTTATATTGCCTATCTCTTAACAGGCTGTTGTGCTTATAATTGTTATTGTTTTTGACAGATTTGCCCATTGAGCTTCATAATAGTTATAAGTACATTGCACATCACAATTACAGTTTTAGATTATTCTGGGGTTGTCTGTGTATCCGTGTGTTATATATTTATTTTATATATCGATTTAAATATTTATTTTACCAGTGTGTTTTATACCTTCATATTTTTTTTTTCTGCATGTTAGTGGGTTTTTTTCTTTTAGATTGAAGTACTCACTTTAGCATTTCCAGTAAGACAGGTCTGGTGGTGGTAAATTCTCTGTTTTTATCTGGGAATGACTTTATCTCTCCTTCATATTTCAAGTATAGACTTGCTGGATACAGTATTCTTGGATGGCAGGACTTTTTTCTTTCTCTCAGCACTTTAAAAATGTTGTTTCATTCCCACCTGGCCTGTATGGTTTCCACTGAGAAGTTTGTTCCCAGACAGTTTGGAACTTCTTCATACGTTATTTGCTTCTTTTCTCTTGCTGCTTTCAGGATCTTCTTTTAGTCCTTGACTTTTGTGAGTTTTATTATTAAATTCCTTTGGGTAGTCTTATTTGGGTCAAATCTGTTTGGTATTCTCTGAACTTCCTGCTCCTGGGTATTTATATCTTTCTCAAGTTTTAGAACATTTTCTGTTGTTTTTTCTTTGATTAAGATTTTTAGCCATTGTTCTTGCTTAGCTCCCACTTAAACACCAATAATTTAGATTTTGTCTTTTCAGGTAATTTTCTCTGTGGGTTTTCTTTGTTTTCTTTTTTTTAAATTTCTCCCCTCATTGTATATTTTAAAATTGTCTATCATTGAGCTCACTAATTCTTTCCTTTACTTCGTCCATTCTGTTGTTTAGAGCCTCTAATTAATTTTCAGTTCAGCAAATGTGTTTCTAAGTTCCCAGATTTCCATTTTTTTAAACTAATTTTAATCTCTTTGTTAAATTTTCTGAAAAACTTGTGAATTTCTTTTTTGTCTTCCCTTAGAGATTACTGATATTCCTTATAATTATTCTTTTTAATTCTTGATCAGGGAGTTCACATATCATCATCTCCTTAGGATCAGTCACTGGTTCCTTTGACTGGTTTGGAGAAATAATGGTTCCTTTTGCTGTTGTTTCCTGAGAATGTATGTCTATGTCTTTCTGTTGGAGGATTATTTATTTATTTACTCATTTATTTATTTATTATACTTTAAGTTCTAGGGTACATGTGCACAACGTGCAGGTTTGTTACATATGTATACATGTGCCATGTTGGTGTGCTGCACCCATTAACTCGTCATTTACATTAGGTATATCTCCTAATGCTATCCTCCCCCCTCTCCCCACCCCATGGCAGGCCCTGGTGTGTGATGTTCCCCTTCCTGTGTCCAAGTGTTCTCATTGTTCAGTTCCCTCCTATGAGTGAGAACATGCGGTGTTTGGTTTTCTGTCCTTGCGATAGTTGGTTCTGAATGATGGTTTCCAGCTTCATCCATGTCCCTAAAAAGGACATGAACTCATTCTTTTTTTATGGCTGCATAGTATTCCATGGTATATATGTGCCACATTTTCTTAATCCAGTCTGTCATTGATGGGCATTTGGGTTGGTGGTGCTGGAGAGGATGTGGAGAAATAGGAACACTTTTACACTGTTGGTGGGACTGTAAACTAGTTCAACCATTGTGGAAGACAGTGTGGCAATTCCTCAAGGATCTAGAACTAGAAATACCATTTGACCCAGCCATCCCATTACTGGGTATATACCCAAAGGATTATAAATCATGCTGCTATAAAGACACATGCACACTTATGTTTATTGCGGCACTATTCACAATAGGATTAGTTTTTTATTCTGTATTCTTTGTATAGCTAGTTTTGATTAGGTATGTTTGCTTAGAGAGTCTTTGTATTTTACCTGTTGATTTTCTTCTTCTTCTTTTTTTTTTTTTTTTGATGGAGTCTCGCTCCGTCACCAGGCTGGAGTGCAGTGGTGCGATCCTGGCTCACTGCAACCTCCACTTCCCAGGTACAAGTGATTCTCCTGCCTCAGCCTCCCAAGTAGCTGGGACTACAGACACACGCCACCACGCCCACCTAATTTTTGTATTTTTAGTAGAGACGGGGTTGCACTGTGTTGCCCAGGCTGGTCTCGAACGCCTGAGCTCAGGCAATCTACCTGCCTTGGCCTCCCAAAATACTGGGATCATAGGCGTCAGCCACTGCACCCGGCTGATATTCTTTTTATTTATTTTCCACTAGGTCACTGCCTCCTTTTTCTCACTAGACGGTACCTTGATTTCAGATTTGCCTCAGCATTAGTGAATAATCAGATGCCTGCCTGTCCTGAAATGGGGGAGGTCCCTAAGGGAGTATCCTGGCAGTGTGGGAAGCCTAGCTAGGGATATGTGACCAGGAAACCTGTGGATTGAACCTCCACAACATGATGCTGCTGAATAGCATCTTTGGTTTAGTGTCGCCTTTGGCCAAGTTATCAAGAAGAGTTTCCAGGGCTGGGGATGGTAGTCTCACCTTCCCCTTTGTCTTTGGCTCTCTTCAGAGATATGTCTCCTTTCAGGCACTCAAGATGTTTCTTGTGGGTTGAAGTAGAGACAAGTGTCTTGCCAGGGAACCAAAGATGGTGGGGAAGCTGGTTGTCTACCTTGATCTTACTTTCCCCTGCATTGAAACGGTGAGTCAGAGGAAAATTTTTCACATGCTTGGTGATGAGTAGATTGGAGTGAGGAGCATGACAGATATGGAAGTCCTATTCTCTACTGTTTGCTTGAAGATGTTTCACTTCTCTGTGGTCCTGGGAACTGTCTCAATCTTATATCTAAGTTCTCGGGTATTGCTGATGACAACCTTGGCACTGTATACTTGCTTTTGGTTTTCTGTCGGGGAAGGGGGAACTGAAACAAGCTTGCTTCTACACTACTATTTTGAAATAGAAAGTCCTGTAACATTTTATTTCTTTAATAAAAAAGAGAAAGTTCAGAAGCACACATGGCAAGATGTTAACATCTGTTACATATGGGTGGCGAATACATAGGTGATATTATTTTCTATATGATATAGATATTTCATAGACAATAACAAAAATACTGTTATATAACTAAAAAGGTATATTGAAGGAATTCAGGACACCAGCCCCAGTATCTGACCTCTCGTTTTCACTCAGATAAAAGTTGAAGAGTGTAGGATTCCCCTTTCCTTTAAACCAGCTCAGAGTCACTTCCTGTAGTACCACCTCCCTCTATGGACCAACAAGAGGGGACATGCTTGTTCACACCAAAGCAAAATGTAGCCTAAACATCCATAAAACCCCCCAAAACAATGAGCAAAGACTTCCTAAATAAACCTCTATTCGATCACATTTCATTCTCTCTGATGGAAATGAGGGCCCAGTCCAAGATCTTATGAGTAATTTAAAATGGAGGCATGATATTTCTAAAGCTAAAAATGCTGAAGTTATTTATTGGTGGTTTCTTGGTAATTGTAGTGACAAATCACATGAGGGAGCTATAGGCAAAGGGAATTAAAAGAGAGTGCTGGGGAAAGATATTTTGCCCTGGAGAAGTATACAAGAGTTGTCTGAAAAGCCTATCTAACTACCTCTCTTAGGCCATTTGCTGTTTGAGCAAGGACAAATGCTCTCTTGCATCTTTACGGCTGATCTGAAAACAGAAGGGCAACAGGAATCTCCTATGAATTCCCAATCCAAAACTCAAGCCAATGCAAAACAATAGTGAGGTAGGAACCAAATCCTAAATTTTGAGAAAAGGCATTTTCCTCTGTAATTAAATCTAGGGAGATTTCACTATTTGGTATTACTGGTCAAGAGTTGTAGGATGCATTACTGAATTCTGAAGCATAGGTATTTGATTAACAAATGTAATAATGTTAAAAGACAAGAATAGAAATCTGAAGGCTCTATAAGTAGGCAACAAATATCGCATTTTGTGCCTAATCAGAAGGTTTTTCAATATTATTCATTACTTAATAATTTCCAAGTATTATTCAATAATTAATTAATTATTGTAATTTAGTAAACTGGTGAGCAGTTTATTGTGGTTTGCTGACCAGAGCCTAATCAATGCAGAAGCCATTTTACTTTAGATAAAACCACACTCACATGGAAATTTTCTGCTTTATATTTATTGCCATGTAAATCACCCCCCATTGCATTTCACAAATCAGATTAATATATTGATATTAATAACAGAAGTTAAATTTAAAAAGGATCCCATCCAGTCTTCCAAACTAATTAACCAGCAAAGATTTAAATAGGAGCTCTGCATTTCCGTGTCCCTAGAACCCACACACAACAGAGGGCTTTGTCCTGGTTACAAATCTGACCACATGGGAGAAATTTGCTAAAGTGGCTTTTGTACATGCAGTGGCATCATTGGGTCTGGCCACTGCTGTGTTTCTTTGCCAACAACTGCAACTGAACACTTGCCACCTTCCCTGCTGCTATTGAGGCTCAGGATTAGATGTGGGGAGGCCAGCATCCCTCACAACTTCATCTCTTGGCACGGCAGGCAGGAGGCAAGCAGCATGGCAGAAAGAGAAAAAATCTTTGAAATCATCAATGTGAAGGCCCTGACTCAAATTGGCAAGTATGAAGGGGAGGGAAGTAAATAGAACTCTAAGTCAAAGGGCCAATGCTGGCTCCTCAGAGAGAGAAAGAGAGAGCCCTTTGGGAGCAGGTTGGGTTGGGAGTCACTCTCTCCCGATAGGGAGCATATGGGAAGCAGACAAGATTTTGTTACTTTAACATAAAGTTTCTTAACTTGGACGCTATGGGCATTTTAGGCCAGATACTTTTTGCTTTGGGGGACCTATCCTGTGCATTGTAGGATGTTTAGTAGCATCCTTGGACCTTACCCACCAGAAAACAAATAGCACACCCGTCCCCCTGTTAGGACAACAAAAATGTCTGTAGACATTGCCAAGTGTCTACTGAGGAGAATAATCACCCTGGTTGAGAAGCATAGCACACAGTGACCCTTTTAGCAGGTTGCATTTTGGATTTTGCTGCACCAAGTGTGACTTTATCACCTGCTATTCGTTGAATTGTGACTTCTCCTAAAATATATTGAAGTCCTAACAACCATTACCTCAGAATGTGACCTTATTTCAAAATAATGTATTTGCAAATGTAATAAGTTAAGATGAGGTCATATTGGTATAAGGTGGGGCCCTAATTCAATATGACTGGTGTCCTGAATGCCATGTGAAGACAAAGGCAGAGATTGTAGTGAACACCAAGGATTGCCTGAAACACCAGAAGTTAAGAGAAAGGCACAGTAGGAGAAACTGCCCTGCCAGCACCTTGATTTTGGACTTGGAGCTTCCAGAACTGTAAGACAATACGTTTCTGTTGTTTAAACTGCCGAGTTTGTGGTACTTTGTTATGGCGGCCCTAGAAAGTGAATATATCCTCCCTGCTAAAGTGACCTGTTAACAGTTACTTTGCAGAGAGACATTTTTAGAACCAGTACACGAAGCTCCAGGCAGGGATTTAGCCTTCAGGAGCAGTCCATCGGAGGCCTGCTAGGTCTCCACCAGCTAAGTCAGGTTATTCACCTGTTTTTTAATTCAGTTAGACCCTGAAATGAGGTTGAGGACTGCTTTGAAAGACCTCAGGTTAAAGGTAAATGGAAAACACAACCAAACCGCTATGATACATCCATTACTGTCCTTCATCCCTCCCCTGGATCTTCTTTGATTCTTTCACTTAAAAACAAGACTCGGGGCAGTGGAGAAAACATCCCATGTTAAGCTATGAGAAACTAAAAACCCATCCACTCTTCCATACTTATTTGTCAAACAGTGGCAAAGTTAGTTAGGATCTTGAGCTCCTGGCACATCTTCTTTCTTTCACCTGCTTTCCTCAGAAATGCAGCTCACAGCAAAAACTATGGTTCCCTTTCCTCCACATCTTCGCCAACATTTGTTATTTCTTGCCGTTTTGATATTAGCTATCCTAATGTATGTGAGGTGGTGTCTTATTGTGGTTTTGATTTTCATTTTTCTGATGATTAGTTATGTTGAGCATCTTTTCATGCACCGTACAATGTAGCCATTTGTATATCTTCTTTGGAAAAATATCTATTCATGTTCTTTGCCCATTTTAATCTCACTACTGAATCTATTTCCCAAAGAAATGAAATCAATATGTTGAAGAAATATCTGTACTCCGTATGTTTATTGCGGCACTATTCAAAATAGCAAAGACTTGGAACTAACCCAAATGTCCACCAATGATAGACTGGATTAAGAAAATGTGGCACATATACACCGTGGAATACTATGCATCCATAAAAATGGATGAGTTCATGTACTTTGTAGGGACATGGATAAGCTGGAAACCATCATTCTCAGCAAACTATCGCAAGAACAAAAAACCAAACACCGCATGTTCTCACTCATAGGAGGGAATTGAACAATGAGAACACTTGGACACAGGAAGGGGAACATCACACACCGGGGCCTGTTGTGGGGTGGGGGAAGGGGGGAGGGAAAGCGTTAGGAGATATACCTAATGTAAATGACGAGTTAATGGGTGCAGCACACCAACATGGCACATGTATACATATGTAACAAACCTGCAGGTTGTGCACATGTACCCTAGAACTTAAAGTATAATAACAAAAAAAGAAATATTTGTACTTCCACGTTCATTGCAGCACTATTCACAATAGCCAAGAAATGGAAACAAGGTGTCCACTGACAGATGAACGGATAAAGAAAATGTGACGCACACACACGCACACACACACACGCACAAACCCAAAACGGAATATTATTCAACCTTTAAAAAGAAGGAAATCCTGCCATTTGTAAGAATGTGGAAGAATCTGGAGGACATTATGTTAAGTGAAATAAGCCTGACAGAAAGACAAATACAACATGATCTCACTTATATGTGGAATCAAAAAAGTTGAAATCATGGAAACAGAGTAGAATGGTGGTTACCAGGCCCAGGGGTTGGAGAAATGGGGAGATGTTGGTCAAAGGGTATAAACATCAGTTCTAAGATGAATAATTTCTACAGACCTGATGTACAGCCTAGCAAGTATAGTTAATAATACTGCATTGTATACTTTAATTTGCTAAGAGAATAAATCTTAATAGTTCTCACCACGAAAAATAGTAACTATGTGAGGTGATGAATATGTTAATCAGCTTGATTGTGTTAATCATTTCACAACATGTATTTATATTAACAGCACATTTTACATGTTAAGTATATACAATCTTATTTGTCAATTTTGTCTCAAAGCTGAAACAAATTTTTAATAAAGACAAATGAAACAAAAGAAGAAAAATAAGTTTGGGGACTTTGGTATGTTCAGAGCTCCCTTAGCCCTTGGCTTCAACGTCTCCCCAGGTCTCTCTAGAGGTTGGAGGTCTCTGCAGCTTTGAGTGCCAAGTCCAGGGAAGGCAGGCAGAGGAAAAGGGAAGAAGTGGGAGGCATTGGACCCTTGGAGCTGACAAATGTTCCCTGTCCCCACCCAGCCTGTGGCCCAAGTCCTGCCGCTTTCTTAATTTAACCCTTAGTCTGCCTTGGCAGGGCCTGCTGGGCACATAGCCAAATTTTGCTATTTCAAAGTGGAATAGAAATGGTGGTGGAAGAAATTATGTGGATGAAAAGCTTTACGTTTTTCCATAAAAATTGGGGAGTGTGAACACCTAACAGCTATCATTTCATATGTCCTTTTGATGTGCCAGGTGCTTCATAGACTTACCTCACAGAATCCTGGCAACTATCCTTGGGAGATGGAGATTTATTAGACCTGTTTTCAGGAGATGTAACTGAGCCTCAAAGAGGTAAAGGAGTTTTCCTGAAGTTTTCACAACTATAAGGAACAGAAGCCAATTTGAGTCTAAATTTTTCCCTGTTATCACACTGCTCCTCTCCAGTGAGCCCTTGCCTCTCCTACAAGGCCTGGATGTCTCCACGGTGTGGTAGGTGTGGTATGGGAAGCCTACAGTACCTGGATGTGGAAGGCAGAACAATACCCCCACCAAAGACGTCCACATCCTAATTCCCAGAACCTAAAAACATGTTGCCTTACATGGTATAAGGAGTTGAATTGTGTCCTCCAAAAAGATATGTTGGTGTCTAACCCCAGGTACCCTAGAAAGTGAACTTATTTGGTAATAGGATTATTGCAGATATAGTTACGTTCAGATGAGGTTATAATGGAGTAAAGTGAGCCTTAATCCAATATGACTGGTCTTTTGATAAGAAGAGAGAAATTTGGACACAGGGACATTTAGAGAGAAGGCCATGTGAGTATGGAGGCAGAGATTGAAATACTGCAGCTTCAAGCCAAGAAACACCTGTGACTATCAGAAACTGGAAAAGGCAAGGAAGGATCCTCCCCTAGAACCTTTGGAGGGAGCACAGTAATACTGATACCTTGGTTTTGGAGTCCTAGCCTTCAGAAGCATAAGAGAATAAATTTCTGTTGTTTTAAGTCTCCCAGTTTGTGGTACTTTTTAATGGCAGCCTTAGGAAACTAAAACACGTGGCAAAAGGGACTTTGGTAATATGATTAATGGTATAAACCTTGAGACAGAGAGATTAACCAAGTTTATCAGGGTGGTCCCAATGTAATCACAAGGGTCCTCATAAGAGGGAGACCAGAGGGTCAGAGCCAGAGAAATTTGAAGATGCTATTCTGCTGGCTTTGAAAATAAAGGAAGGGGCTGTGAGCCAAAGACTATGGGTGGCCTTTAGAGGCTAACAAAAGCAAGAAAATGGATTCTTCTCTATAGCCTCCAGAAAGAACACAGCCTTGTCAACACCTTGATTTTACCCACTGAGAACCATTTGGACTCCTGACTCCAGAGCTGTAAGCTAATAAATTTGTATTGCCATAAGCTATTAAATCTGTGGAAATTTGTTACAGCAGCCATAAGCAATGAATACACTTGAAAACCTGGCAGCCTCACCTATGAATAGCATCCAGCATCCAGCTGCTCTCTTGGACACTAAGGTTAGAATGAGGACCTGCACTATTTCACTCACTTGCCTCTGGGTATATACTATCAAAAAGAATCAAATATGTTTCCAAATCAGATGTTTCTTCAGACACTGATATTAATATCAAAAAATGTGAGAAAAGAAAGGACAGTACAAGATGATTGAAAATAAATGTGTCATTGTTAGTAAAACCTAATATGTGTAAAGAGCTTTACATTTTACAAAATACTTACTTTTTTGAGACAGGGTCTTGTTCTTTTGCCAAGGCTGGAGTACAGTGGGGTGATCATAGCTCATTGCAGCCTCCTGGGCTCAAGCTATCCTCCTGCCTCAGCCTTCTGAGTAGCTAGGACTATAGGAGGATATCACAATGCCCAGATAATTTTTTTTTTTATTTTTGTAGACATGGGGGTCTTGCTCTGTTTCCTAGGCTGGTCTTGAACTCTTGGCCTCAAGCAATCCTTCCTCCAGCAATCCTTCCTCCTCAGCCTCCCAAAGTGCTGGGATTCCAGGCATGGGCCCCTGCACCTGGCTTTAAAATACTTTCTTGTTTGATTACATTTCATTTCATTTTCATAAGGGCACAAAGAGAAAGGACAGCGATCGATCTCACGGATGAGAAAACTGAGTTTCTGAGAGGGTTAAATTACATTTTCAAAGTCACAAAGGTATTAAGTGGCAGAGCTGTGTCTTGAAAACAGAGGTTCTGATTCTAAGTAGAAGCCTGTCCTACTAATTCATGCCTTTTCACAGCAATATAGTAATGTTTGTTTTAAAAATGAGTGTATACTAAATACAAATGTTATAGCCCATAAAACTCAGTTGTACAAGTTACTTCACTGTTGCTATAACTGAAGTTAGCTTTTTTTTTCTTCAGTCCTGAATCTGCTGGATGGCACAAAGTGTACTCTTGGTCATTTTCAGGTCACAAAAGTGATTTAAGGTCTTGGCTCACATCAGAATCCTCCCCCATTCTCTTCCATGTACTGTCCCCTCAGTTATACAGGGTTTATAAAACTTTATGGTATGGGGAAAAGGAGGATGATGACAGCCTCTGCTGCAGTGTATACCATCCACTATGGTTGCTGTTCACTCTCACCTCCATGGAGCATCCTCTGAGACAGTTGTATTCCCACCTGGCCTCATGCTATGTGGGCCATATTACTTTATCCAGCCTTGTTCCCCCCTCACAACCACGTGACTCTTTTGGGCCTACCAGCTCATACTTTCAGGAGTAAGGGGAAATCTTCCTGCTGTCTCTTTCTCCCACACTATTTGGGGCTGTCTCAGAGTCCAATTTTGTCCCTGACATCTCCAGCAGTTATCTGCACTGTTTCCATAATATGGTGGTGCAAGGAACTCCTGTCAGAATCACCTTACTGTCATTATTTCTTCCTTGTATTCACAAGCTGAAATACAAGAGGAGAACATTCACATGTTTCTCTTCTCTACATCTCTTCAGTAACGGTCCTAACCTGAAGGCAGTGCGTATGGAATGCTCTAGCTCTTTTGGTTTGAGGTACAAGATTGTGTTGGTGTGGGAAAACATCAATGAATAATTCAAAATATTCTCCCACCAAGTCATCTTAACTCAATTATCAATTATGTGGAAGTGCATTAGAGTTTGGAAAATTTTGCCATGACTGCATGTGAAAAAAATACGAATCTCAGAATAACTAAGTAGGTTATGTTTCACTCACATAATTTAATGACTGTCACATCTTAGAGAAGTTACTTAATTTCACTTAGCCTCAGTTGCTGTCTATAAAATGGGAATTAGGATCAGATCCAGTTTTGTGGGGTCCAAAATTTATACCATTTGGGGGACCCTCTAGAACAAAATTACAGAAGCAGAATTAGGTATAAGAAGGAATCTGTGCTTAACTAACACCCAGCTAATCCAACTCTGGGGCCATAACAACCTCTGAATACCAGCCTCAGAATTGGTGAGGAGCTCAGAGGTAATGGATGTGAGAGTGTTTTGTAAACTGTGAAGTGATACGGCTACAGAATTGGAACCAACTTTACAATGGTCAATTTGATGTGCTTTATAGACATTCTTGGTTTAAGTAACTGCATGTAAGAAAATTTAGGCTAGGTGTGGTGGCTCAAGCCTATAATCCCAGCATTTTGGGAGGCCAAGGCGGGCGGATCACGAGGTCAGGAGATCGAGACCATCCTGGTTAACATGGTGAAACCCCGTCTCTACTAAAAATACAAAAAAAAATTAGCCAGACGTGGTGGTGGGTGCCTGTAGTCCCAGCTACTCAGGAGGCTGAGGCAGGAGAATGGTGTGAACCTGGGAGGGGGAGCTTGCAGTGAGCCGAGATCGTGCCACTGCACTCCAGTCTGGGCGACAGAGTGAGACTCCGTCTCAAAAAAAAAAAAATAAAATAAAATTTAAATTATCTCTTTTCTAAGGAACATTCCATGTTTTTCTTGAAAATTATAATTTGAATGTAAAAAAAAAAGGAAACCAGTTAAAATGAGGCCTTTGAGCTAAAGGCTTAAAAGAGATTGAGCTGAATCTAAGCAAAATTAGACTATTGTGAAATAGGTATAGTGAAAAGAAAAACAAGCAGGTTTGGGAAGGTGGCAATGCGTTTTCTCTGTGTAATGAACCCAGCATTGTTTCAGAATTGGAATATGATGAAATGAGCCTGGAATTGATGGATGGGATAATTGAGTTAAAATCTATCTTTACCCTAACTCACTGTGTCACTTGGAGTTGGTGTCTTATCTGATCAGGGTCTCATTTTTTTACATGAAAATGAAATGATGATAGTAGATAGTCCCCAATGTTATTTCTTCATTTTTTTTGTAAAATAAAAGCAAGTTTATTAACAAAGTAAAGGAATAAAAGAATGACTACTCCATAAGCAGAGCAGCCACTTCTTCATTGTTGTAAAAAAATATAAAGATTACTTGAATAGTTGTGGTGTAAATCATAATTTCTAATTATAAATAATTTAAGGATACAACAAAGTACAAAAAGAAAGTTAGAAAATGTCCTTAAAAGTTCAATATTTCAAAATAACCACGTGAATATGAGATGAACATCATCTCAAATGGCTCTCCTAAACATTGAAGGATGAAGATACAGATACATAGAAACCCCTTATAAAATGGGCTCATACCCTACATGCTGTTTTTAAGCAAAAACTGTACTTAACTTTATTTGTATTTTACATAAAAGAGAAAAACTGAAATGAAACTATCTTAATTCTGACAATAGGTACAGGGGAAAATATCTCGTGAGAATTTTTAATCTGGTAGCTCCTTTGGGTTTTCAGGTCGAATTCACTCCAGATGTGTGGTCTAAAAAATTTCAAGCAGATAATTTTATTTAATGTGCCTCCAATTTGGTAGCACTCCAAGGCAAATGGTAGAACCAAATACAAATCCTCTATGGAGAATAAAGTGTCAATGAATTCCCATAGATAAAGCTACAACCTAAATGAGCAGCTCACAGTAAACAAACAAACATGAAGCAACAACAAAAAAAACAAGAAAATCATAAAACACACAAGGAAAGAATGCACTGTAAACAAAGACCAAGAGAAGAAAAAGAAACAATAGAAACAACCCCTAAAGGGTTTAAACACTGATATTAACATACTGTGTTTAATGTTTAAGGTAATAAAATTGAAGATTGAAACTAAGAGGAGGGAATAGCAGATTTTTAAAAGAATTATATGTAATTTATAGACATCAACATATAATAATTGAAATTCAAAACTCAATGACAGTACTAGTTAGCAGATTAAATGCAGCTGAAAAATGAATTCATGTATTGGAAAATATACCAGAAGAAATTATCCAGCACATAGTTCAAAAAGACAGAGATGGGAAATATAAAAGCAAGCACAAGAGACATGGAAGATTGAGTGATAGGTCTAATGTCATTGATGCGTCTGTTGAAGATAACAGAGGAAAAGCAACATTAAAGAAGTAATTGCTGACAATTTTCCAAAATTACTCAAAGAAACCAATCCTCAGATCCAGGAAGTCAAAGTGAATCCAAAGTAGAAAAAATAAATCTTCATCTAGAGGTACTGTAGTGAACCCAAAGAATATCTGTGTTCAAGAAACAAGATACCTCAGAAGCAGTCAGAGAAAAAAGACAGATTACCAAAAAAAAAAAAAAGAAGGAATAGCAATGATGAATGACATTTAAACAGCAACAATTGAAGTGAGAAGACAGTGGAGTAATATCTCCAGTAGACTGAGAGAAAACAATTGTCAGCCTAGATTGTACACACAACAAAAATATTTCTCAAAGTGAGGCAATTAAAGATATTTCCAGATAAATAAAAATTGGGTATCTATTACCAAAAACAAAAAAAAAAACCACTAATGGAAATTTTCAATGCTACACTTCAGATAAGAGAAAAAGGATTCCAGCTAAAATGAAACATAAAAATGTGAGTGAAGATATCGGTTAATATGTGTGTAAATCTGAAGAGACACAAATGATAAAAAACAATAAAAACAATTTCTAATTTATGAAGTTAAAAATAGTCCAGAAATAAAATACTGGACAATGATATCATTTAGCATTTTGAACTAGTGTGAGCCCTTGACCCCTGTGCTTTCTGGACTTAATAGTCCAAATAGAGGAATATCTGAACTGCTGAACTGCAGTTTGGAACTACTGTCTGTTGCTGTGTGTTGAAACGATAGAAAATAGGGAGGACTCATGCGACCAGCTGCCCTTTGAACCCTGGGCATGGCTTTAAGCTGAGCTGGGCAGTTATGCTTATGTTGCAGCTAGTCTAGCACTTCATCCTCATTGTTCTATAACTAAAGCTAAATGGAAGAATGGATATTGGGTTAGAAACCTAGAACTCTCTCCCACAGCTGTATACTTACATCAAGTTGTAGCTGGGAAGGATGAGGCTCAGAGAGGTCACAAGGCTGATGGCTGACAGTGAAGGGGCAAGAGTTTGGTTTTACTGACTCTGAGTTTAGTATTCTTTCTCCAGGTCCATGTAATCTCTTTGTTGTTACAGCAGTTGTTTTCCATTCATAACTCTTTGCAACAAGGGTGTTTAGTTAGAGGATAGCATTTGGATCTGATGTCAGGCACCTGTCTGTGGATTGCTGGGTTATTTGTCCTTGGTCTATAGGCACCTGAAGGAGGATTAACTCAGGATCTCTGAGCAGATTAGGCAGTATGAGATTCCAACTTCATGACTTTCAATCCACTATGAGGGGAGCCTCTAGTGAACTGCGAAGTAGTTTCCTTTCTCCCAGGAGTCACTTCCAACACTAGCTCTCAGAGGTCTCAGGCCCTTGTCTGACTAGGGCTCATCTGACCTTGGAGTAATCCAAGACTGTTGTTGATTAATTTTCAATAGAAAATCCTTTTAAGTTTATGTGTCTTTGTGGATGTAGGTCACTTATTTGGTGTAACACTAAAGCAGGGTAGCCTTGAAATTTTTAATAAGAGAGTTGACATTTTTCAGAGAGGAGAGCGAGAAACTAGTTGGGGCCTTAGGCAATCAAAATAACAGTGAGAATATGGTGGTTGTAGCAATAGTTTCTGCTGGCTTGAGGCCAGAAAGCTGACCACAGAACTTAGAAATAGGCCACATGTGGATTTATCTTCAGGGATTTCAGGAAAGGGGTGCTCCAAGATACCAAAAATATGACTGGCACATTTTGGAGATAATTAAATTGTCTGTTATCTTCATATTAATAACAGCTTGTTGGAGGAAAGAAAAGACTCCACAAAAGAACTTGACATTCTGATAAAAGGATTTGCTTACACTATTCAATTTAACTGTACGTTTTTATATCATGTATGAATTTTTACTTAAAACAGATCTTGATTATATGTGCTTATTCTTTTAAAAAATCCTCCTTGCTGACTATTCATTTTTCTCATACTTAGCTTAGATGACACTTCTCATAGGAAGTTATCAAACCTTCATATCATGAGAGATATCCCTTTCCTGTGCTCACAGTTTCCTACATTATACACTATGATGTAATTGCTTATTTACTTGTCCATCAATATCCCCAGTGCCCTGCACCTGGCACATAGCAGACTTCAGTGATTATTAGTTGAATGGAAGAATGAATGAAAGAATGTACGTAAATTTTTGTGAGGGTTTGTAGAAGAAAGAATTTGCATCTGATTGGGTGAAATATAAGATACTCTCTAAAAGATATATCATTAGAGATATGTTTAAAAATATATAGAGTTTCATAAAGGGGAAAAGGCAAGAAGAATTCCAGACAAAGCAAAGGAAACATCATGAGTAAACCACAGACACAGGAGCAGTAAAGTTTAACTATGTAATGGCCAGTTCAGATTGGCTAGATCTGTGATTCTCAAACTCGACACACATTAGGATCACTTGAAAGGCTTACTAAAATCCTAAAGTTACTGATTCAGTAGGTCTTTTGTGAGCCCCAATAAGTTGCATTTCTAACAAGTTCCCAGATGATGCTGGTCCAGAGACTTTGAGAACTATTGAGCTGCAGCATAGTGTATTTGGAAGGAGTGGTAGTAAGTAAAGATGGAAAGATAGACTGGGGCTAAACTGTGGAAGGTTTTAAATGATAAGTTGAATATTTTGTGTTATTGGTAGGTGCAGGAGAGTTATCAGAGAGTCTTGAATGTGGAAGCAATTTAATCAGAGCTATTTCTTTCTCTCTTTTTTTTAATGAAAAATATTTATTTATTATAAACCTATTTTTTTGTTGTTGTTGTTTGTTTTTTTTATTATACTTTAAGTTTTAGGGTACATGTGCACATTGTGCAGGTTAGTTACATATGTATACATGTGCCATGCTGGTGCACTGCACCCACTAACTCGTCATCTAGCATTAGGTATATCTCCCAATGCTATCCCTCCCCCCTACCCCCACCCCACCACAGTCCCCAGAGTGTGATATTCCCCTTCCTGTGTCCATGTGATCTCATTGTTCAATTCCCACCTATGAGTGAGAATATGCGGTGTTTGGTTTTTTGTTCTTGCGATAGTTTACTGAGAATGATGATTTCCAATTTCATCCATGTCCCTACAAAGGACATGAACTCATCATTTTTTATGGCTGCATAGTATTCCATGGTGTATATGTGCCACATTTTCTTTCTCTCTTTTTTTAAATTACATGTTAAGTTCTGGGATACATGTGCAGAACGTGCAGGTTTGTTACATAGGTATACATGTGCCATGGTGTTTTGCTACACCCATCAACCCGTCATCTACATTAGGTATTTCTCCTAATGCTATCCCTCCCCTAGCCCCTCAACCCCCGACAGGCCCCAGTGTGTGATGTTCCCCTCCCTGTGTCCATGTGTTCTCGTTGTTCAACTCCCACTTATGAGTGAGAACATGTGGTGTTTGGTTTTCTGTCCCTGTGTTAGTTTGCTGAGAATGATGGCTTCCAGCTTCACCCATGTCCCTGCAAAGGACATGAACTCATCCTTTTTATGGCTGCATAGTATTCCATGGTGTATATGTGCCATATTTTCTTTATCCAGTCTATCACTGATGGCATTTGGGTTGGTTCCAAGTCTTTGCTATTGTGAATAGTGCTGCAGTAAACATATGTGTGCATGTGTCTTTATAGTAGAATGATTTATAATCCTTTGAGCATATACCCAGTAATGGGATTGCTGGATCAAATGGTATTTCTGGTTCTAGATCCTCGAGGAATTGCCACACTGTCTTCCACAATCATTGAACTAATTTACACACCCACCAGCAGTGTAAAAGCATTCCTATTTCTCCAAATCCTGTCCAGCATCTGTTTCCTGACTTTTTAATGATCGCCATTCTAACTGGTGTGAAATGGCATCTCATTGAGGTTTTGATTTGCATTTCTCTAACGACCAGTGATGATCTTTTTTTCATATGTTTGTTGGCGGCATAAATGTCTTCTTTTGAGAATTGTCTGTACTTATCCTTTGCCCAGTTTTTGATGGGTTTTTTTTTCTTGTAAATTTGTTTAAATTCCCTGTAGATTCTGGATATTAGCCCTTTGTCAGATGGATAGATTGCAAAAATTTTCTCCCATTAATCAGAGCTATTTCTTTAGAAAAATTAATCTTGCAGTGGCCAAAAAGATGGCTTTATGGAGGTGGGTAGTTGGGGGTTGGATGGAGAGATTGTAGGCAGAAGGCCAGTTAAGAAGTGAGTCAAATATTCCAGGTTTTAAAAAACCATTCTATATTGCTGAGATTTACCTTTTAAAATGTTAATCATTTTGAATGGAAATCTTCTTAAAATATATTACACACTCTCTGCTTTCCTACAGAGGGAACCCTGAACATAATGCATCCTTTCAATGACTCCAAGTTATCATTCTGAACATCAGTGATTGCACTGGGTTGTGACACAGTGTGCTCTCATGGGTATGGAAGTGTAAAGAGCTTTTTGCCCAATTCTAAATGCCCTGGAACTGCTGTGAATTTTTAGTTTTGTGTCTTCTATTGATAGCATTTCTGACTCTCCCTTGGCAGCTCCTCTCTCCATTTTAATTGGCTGATTCTAATCTGCAATGGGCTGGAAAACCAGATATAATTGTTTGTAATGTAAGAGTAAATAGAGTATGGGTGAAGTACTCTTCTATGAATAAAATCTATAAGCTTTGGGGTGTGAACTCTGCAACATTTATTTGGGCTGCTTACAGGTCTTTTGATGTTCTTTCTATTTTATGGCTCAATTCCAGGTAAATGAGATTGCCAAGAAGATAAGAAGTAATGTGTTGTCAGTAGGAGTTTCACGACTTTTCTTTCCAAATCATAATACTTGGATGACTTATAAAAGCCATAATTATGAGTAAATTCACTTCCAGGAAAAGAGAAATAGCATTTTAAAAGACACATTTATTGTTTTCAGATCACTCTCCTCCATCTCCCCTACCCTGATAGTCATTTGAAGTTAGACTCTAGACCACAAATTATTTGTGATATTCCTCTTGAGAAGTCACCATAGAAGGTGCAGAAAACTTTCTGATATATGAGATGATAGTGTTTATTAAAGTGGTAAGACAAACTTTCTTTGGAATACTGTTGGGAGGTAGGAAGACGGGGAAATCCCCACTATGTTCATAGCATATTGAGTCTCCGAATAGCCTGCCTCTTTTCAAAGGAAGCAGAGTCCCACAAAAGTCTTCAGGTAAACTGCATATGGGCCCTGTGGAGTTTATTAACTTGTTTTTCAACAAAGTGTAAATGTTGCAGATATAAATACAGTTAGGGGAGGGGAGGGGGAGAGAGGGTACTAGGCCAAAATATTTATTATCACAGTGACATTGTAAACCAATTAGAAAACATTTACTCATTAGTTTGATTATATATATGTATAATATGTGTATCTGTATATATATGTGTGTGTGTGTGTGCACATATATATATAATATATATACTATTGACAGAAGAAATTGCTTATGAAGTTATCAAATTTTATTCTTAAAAGAAGAAGCTAGAAAACAAGACCACAAATGACAAAACATCCTAGTTAGAGCCCAGATGGCTGCATAAAATAAATAGCCATTTCCTTGATGGAAGCATAGGCAATTTGGCTTGTGAAGCTGCAATTCCAGCAGAGATCCTTGAAACAGATGTTGATATTGCTTTTGCATCAAAGCTTTCTCAAAGAGCAAGATATTCAGGTAGCAAGATAAACAAATAACCGGTACCTTCAAATTCTTGTTAGTGCCACAGGGAGACAGTGCTCCCCCAAAAGGAGATTGCCTCAAGATATCCAGAGCAGAACACACAAGCACAAAAACTGGAGGAAGATGAAATTTTTCTAGTGTTCTGTTACAGATGAAAGCAGCTCCCAAATCTCCATTTTGCTTGTGTTCATTTTGATTCTTCCATTCTGCCTCCCTGTATAGCTCTGCCTCTTCAAAGTCATGTCAGAGAGAATACTACATTAGCTGTTCCTTTGGGGAGGATGAAAGGAGTATAGGGAGGAAAGCGAGGATGATTAGGTTTCTGGCAGATAGTGATAAGTGTCAACAACTTTACAACTGTAGGGAATGGTAGAAACAAAGACCATAGTTGGAAAAGAGTATGATGCATTTATGGGCTGGTGGCCAGAGAAATATGGCTAGAATATAGGGTTTGTAGAGGGAAAGAGAAGGTTGAGAAGAAGCATGAGAAAATTGAGTGAAAAATAATGATTGGGAAACTTTAAACTCAATAACACTCCTTCAAGAAACCTTGTACTAGTAATAATTGTCTTAAAAATTTCCATCTGATATCTTATTTGAGAAACAGCACTTGGATTTCAGCAACTTCAAAAACATTCACCTTTAAAATGTACAAAAATATCAGGAATTTTAAAAGTAAGATGTTTAGAAAAATTTTAGTTATAATAATAAAAGGGTTTTTTTTACAAACAAGGAAATATCATGTTTTTTATATCTGTCCTGTAAAATATTCATCAGCAGTAGTAAAAAAGATGTCACTACAGATGTCTTAGATATTAAATAAGAAATTATTATGAACAATTTTATACCAGTAAATTTGATAATTAAGATAAAATGGACAAACTCCTAGAAAATGTAGCAAAATTAATTGAACAAGAGTTAGAAACCTGAGTAGTTCTATAACAATTAAAGGAATTCAATCACTAATCAGAAGTCTTCCCACAAAGAAAACTCCAGGCCCATATGGCTTCATTGGCAAGTTCTACCAAACATTCAAATAACAAATACTTTCAGTTTTGAATAAAATTCCAGAGAAGAGAAAATCAGTCAACATTCCCTGACTTATTTCATGAGATGAACATAATCCTGATTCTGATGGATGAAAACAATAAAATCAAGAAAAAATATAGAAAAATATCATTTATTTCAATAAATGAAAAAATTCAAACCAAATATTATCAAATAGAATTCAGCAACATATAAATAGGATAAATCATTATGACTGTCTTAGTCCATTTTGTGCTGGTACAACAGAATACCTGAGACTGGGTAATTAATAAAGAACAGAAATTTATTTCTTACAGTTCTGACTGGGAATTTCAAAATCAAGTGGCTGGCGTCTTGCAAGGGCCTTCTTGCTGCATCATTCTATGCTAGAAGGTAGAAGGGCAAGAGAGGGAGACAAAAGGGGCCCAAATTACCCTTTCATAATAAACCCACTCTGGAGATAACAGCATTAATTCATTCATGAGAATGGAGTCCTCATGGCCTAATCACCTCTTAAATGTCCCACCTCTTAATACTGTTAAAATGTTAGTTTTATTTCAACATGAGTTTTGGAGGGGCCAACCATTCAAACCATAGCAAAGACAAGGTACAGTGTATCCCAGGAATGCATGATTACTTTACCTTCAGAAAAATCGAACAGTGTAATTCACTACATTGACAAATTAAAAGAGAAAAATCATATGATCCTCTCAATAGATGCAAATAAATCATTACATAAAATTAAACTTTCATCTGAAAAGGGTATTTATTAGAATTATACAGTAGAAGTAGAGATGTCCAGAATGGGAGAATAAGAACCTCCATAAATTTATCCCTCCATAAAATAAGTGAAAATTCTGGCCAGAAAATATGTCAAAATAAACCTTTTCAGCCCTCTATAAATTAATCAAAGGCTTAAAAAAAATTGAGGGGGATTTACAGAAGAGGCACTGCTAAACCTCAGTAAGAAAAGCAGGGACTGTGGCTTTTAAATTTCTCCTATTCCCACCTCCATCTCCCCAGCTCTGTGGTAGCCTTGAAAACGAGTAGCTTCTTCACAGTGACTGGGCTATGCAAACTAGTGTCCTTGCAACTACTGGAGAGGCACATCAGTTTTATAGCTCCTCAAAAAATCCCATTCTCAAGAGAATTTCCATTGTTTGAGATCCCTAGAAAAAAACTCATTTATAGGGCTTGTCATTACTTGACCTGACTCAGTGCTTACTCCTCAGAAAAATTCCTCTTCCTAGGACATTTGTTGAAAATAATCAATGACAATTCTTCAACATCACAGCTACATGAGGCTGTGATACCAGTTGGGAAAAGCAAGAACATGGAAAAAAAAACCACAAATGGAAGATCTGGGAACTACATGTTAATATGGGGCTTTGAAAGCTCTTATACATGTTTTAGATCTAGAAGAACAGAAACATGTGTTGGACTGTGAGAAATCCTGAATTCAAACAAATGACATCACTTTTAGTGAGAGTAAAAACAGGTATGACTACTTAGGAAGACAATTTGCCATTTTCTAATCAAGTAAAAAATGATGTATAACAATGACTTAGAAAGTCTACTCCTATGTATATGTCCCAAATCAATGCATTCTTATAATCATACTAGAATTATTCAAAATTGCCAATAACTGTAAATAAACCAAATGCCCATCAGTAGAATGTATAAGGAAATTATGGAATATTATATGACCATAAAATGAATTAACTGCAGCCACACATAGCATAGATGAATCTTACAACCATTATAGTGAGAGTAAAATATAAATGCACCAAAGAAACATGAAATGATTTCGTTTATATAAAATTCAAAACCAGGGAAAACTATACTGAAATGTTTGAGACTGCATACATATGTTGTAAAACCATAAAGAAAGTCAAGAAAACGGTCACCATACAATTCAAGATGGTGACATCCTTTAAGGGGTTATAATGATAGGGTACATAATGGGCTACTGGGTACTAGCAATGGCGCGATCTCGGCTCACTGCAACCTCTGCCTCCCGAGTTCAAGCGATTCTCCTGCCTCACCCTCCCGAGTAGCTGGGAATACAGGCGTGTGACACCACGCCCAGCTAATTTTTTGTATTTTTATAGAGATGGGGTTTCACAGTGTTAGCTAGGATGGTCTGGATCTCCTGACCTCGTGATCCGCCCGCCTTGGCCTACCAAAGTGCTGGGATTGCAGGTGTGAGCCACCGTGCCCAGCCGGGATCATGATTTTTAACACATATAACCATTGCACTCAGAATCCCACTTGTAACTCTTCTGATTTCTAGTACAGTTAAAACAGTTTATAAAATGCTCTTGAGGGCAGCCAGAAAGACTGCTGGAAAAAGCATTAGCATTTTTTGGCAGCAGTCTCAAGGGATTCTCAGGGGGAAGATGTCTTGGTGTAAAGGCATTATTTTAAAGACACTGGCTTACACTAACTATCTGATTTGCCATTTCTAACATTTATAGTTGTAAAACGTTCAACTGCAGATAATGCCTGCCTTTTAGTTTTTTGTCTTCAGCTAGTAATTCAGTCCAGGAGACTGAAACACAAATGAAAACACATTTTTTCTCCATGCAAGCCTCTCACCAGGCTTCATTTGCTCAGTAACCAACCTGGCAGAAGATAAGTGTCTTTGGAGCATAATTTCATTATCATTCCTTCTTTTTACATCCAGAGAGAGAATTATCTCTGGGTTCATGTTAAGTTGGTAAGGATCTCATACTCTCATACTCTCATATCTAATCCCTTAAAATCTGTACACCCATAAGGTTTTTTCCTCTTGATCTTCTCATAGGCACTGATTAGGTATGCGATGGAAAGTAATAGGGGTATGGGCATGACTATGGACACATACAAGATATAGAGGGCCAATCAATGAGCACCTTGTAGAATATCCTCTAACCTCACACAATGCAAGTCACTTAATGGAATGCAAATAATCAAGCTGGAAAGAAGACAGGTACCGGGGTCAGCATATGTTCCTCACACCCATCATGGGTAGTCACATTCTCTCTCCTTTTTTTCTTTCTTCTGGGGAAATGTAAGTGGATGAAAATGCCTCTGAGACACCACACAAAATGTGCTAAATTCTTTGCTGGCATCTAATATTAGTACTTTGCTTTCTCTCTTTCTTATTAAAATCTACCACAGGATTATGGTGTGATAGATATGGGAAGGATTATAAGGATTGTGATGGTTAATTTTTTTATTATACTTTAAGTTCTGGGTTACATGTGCAGAATGCACAGTTTTGTTACATAGGTATACACGTGCCATGGTGGTTTGCTGCACCCATCAACCCATCATCTACATTAGGTATTTCTCCTAATGTTATCCCTCTCCTAGCCCCCCACCCCCCAACAGGCCCCCGTGTGTAATGTTCCCTCCCTGTGTCCGTGTGTTCTCATTGCTTAACTCCCAATTATGAGTGAGAACATGTGGTGATTGGTTGTCTGATCTTGTGATAGATTGCTGAGAATGATGGTTAATTTTATGTGCCGACTTGACTAGGCTAAAGGATGCCCATATATTTGGTAATACATTATTTCTGGGTGTGTCTATGAGGATGTTTCAGGAAGAGATTAGCATTTGAATCAGTAGACTGAGAAAAGATCACCTTCAACTGTGTGGGTGGTCATCGTCCACTTCATCAAGGGCCTGAATAGAACCAAAAAGCAGAGGATGGGCAAATTTGCTTTCTGCTGGAGCTGGGACATTTATCTTCTCCTACCCTTGGACATAGGAGGTCCCAGTAGTTGGGCTTTCAGATTTGAACTGGGGCTATACACCATTGGCTCTCCTTGTTCTCAGGACTTTTGGCTTGGACTGGAACTATAGCACTTACTTTCCTAGTTCTCCAGTTTGTAGGTGACAGATAATGGTACTTCTCAGCCTCCATGATTGTGTGAGCAAATTCTTCATAATAAATTTACTTCTATATATCTGTATATGTACAATTGGTTCTGTTTCTCTGGAGAACCATGACTAATATTGGGATATCCTAATCCAGTGGTTTTCCAGTTATACTCTGGAGAGACCTCTCTGGGCCACTATAGAGGGGACTTGATCCCCTATTCTAGAGCAATCAAAACAACTCTACTTTATTCATTTATTAATTGAGGAAATATTTACTTTACACGTACTATATGACAGGCATGAATTGTGTCTGTGTGTGTGTATTTGTGTGTGTGTGTGTGTGTGTGTGTGTGTGTGTATGAAGACCCATTGGTGAGAAAGAAAAGAACTTGAATTCTTGGAGGCACTGAAAGGTGGCCCAGTGTGATTGAGTGTGGAGTAGGGATAGGAACAATGAGAGAGTGATGAGGCTAGAGGAGTAAAGGTCTGCTTTTTGTGGTGGATCCTGGGTTTCTGGACTCAGAAGACACCCTTTTCATAGAAGAGTATGTCTGGGGGATGCTATGGCTTTTTCACATGTACCTCAATAGTCTATTCTCTCAGATGGCAGTTATATTGCCGGCCTAATTCATATGGAAGAATATCTAGGATAGCGTGATATGCCTTTGGTAAATGTACTTTGGAAAATGAGGTGGTGGGTGAACAGGAAGAGTTATAGATCTGTATCCTCCAAGTCCTTGCCTCTAATTATCTGGATTAAAAAATAATTAGTTAAAATCTAGCTGTTATTTCCAGGGATTCCTCCTGGAAATAATGTGCCAATGTGGGAATATGTTGCTTTGGAACAGTAATACTTGTCGTCCATGCGTGCTGGACACTTGGCCAGAATTATTTCATTTAATCTTCATAATAACCCTATGAAGTAGATACTATTATTATCCCAATTTTATTGATTTTTCAGATATTAACTTACCCCAAGTCTGATAGCTAGTATGTAGCAGAGCAGGAAATTGAACTTAGGTGGTCTTGGCCCTAACAGATAGAAAAAAAATTAAAGATAATATTATTTCAAAAATATAATTCATTAAAATTCATAAGCATTAACTATGTTAGAGACTCTCAAACTGCAGATCAGTGTGCCTAGTTTTTATTTTTAATTTCAACTTTTATTTTAGATATGGGAGTTAATGTACATGGGAATATTGATGCTGAGGTATAGATCCCATCACCCAGGTAGTGAGCATAGTACTCAATAAGTTTTTCAGCTCACGCCCTTTTCCCACCCTCCTTGCTCTAGTAGTTTGCAGAGCAAACAAAATTTCCAAAATTTATGTCCATGTCTGTTCAGTGTTCAGCTCCAACTTATAAGTGAGAGCATGCAGTGTTTGGTTTTCTGTTGCTATGTTAATTCACATAGGATTATGGTCTCCAACTGCATCCAAGCTGCTGCAAAGGACATGACTGTATTCTTTTTTATGGCTGCATAATATTTCATGGTGTATATGTACCACTTTTTTATTATACAGTCTACCATTGGTGGGCATCTGGGTTGATTTCATGTCTTTGCTATTGTGAATAGTGCAGTGATGAACATATGAGTACATAATTCTTTTTGGTAGAACGGTTTATTTTCCTTTGGGTATATACCCAGTAATGGGATTGCTGGGTCGAATGGTAGCTTGGCTTTAAGTTCCTTGAGAAATCTTCAGACTGCTTTCCACAGTGGCTGGATCAGTTCACCTTTCCACCAAAGGTGTATAAGTATTCTCATTTCTCTGCAGCCTCACTAGCATCTATTGTTTTTGATGTTTTAGTAATTGTCATTCTGACTGGTGTGAGGTTTGATCTCACTGCGGTTTTGATTTGCATTTCTCTGATGATTAATGATGCTAAGCATCTTTTTCTATGTTGGCTTCTTGTATGTATTCTTTAGAGAAGTGTCTGTACATGGTCTTTGCCCAGTTTTTAATGGGGTTGTTTGTTTTTTGCTCGTAATAAGTTCCTTATAGATTCTGGATATTAGAGCTTAGTCAGATGGCATAGTGTGCAAATATTTTCTCCCATTCTGTAGGTTGTCTGTTTACTTTGTTGATGATAGTTTCTTTTGCTGTGCAGAAGCTCTTTAGTTTAATGAGGTCCCATTTGTGATTTTTGGTTTTGTTGCAATTGCTTTTGGCATATTCATCATTAAATCTTTGCCAGGTTCTATGTCCAGAATGGTATTTGCTAGGTTATCTTCCATGGTTTTTATACTTTTAGATTTTACATTTTAAATCTTTAATTTTAAATTTAAAATATTCGTTGCATTTTTGTTAGCCTTGTTGAAGATCAGATGGTTGTAGGTGTGCAGTTTATTTTTGAATTTACTATTCCTTCCCATCGGTCTATGTGTCTGTTTGTGTACCAGTACCATGCTGTTCTGGTTATTGTGGCTCTGTACAGGGTCTTTGTTGTTGAATTCTTACCCTTAGTATCACAATGGGGAGAATTAACAGTGTTCTTTGGTGGTGGTGTTTAGGCTGCGATCCAGTAGATGGCGGTGGAAAATAGCGGGCAGTAGATAGGTTCTTAGCTGCGTGGCTCCTTTGTGTATCTTCCAATTTGCATTTGTGCTCTGCAGTGCAAAAAGTAGAGAGGTGACCTTCTTACCAGGTCCACTCCTGGGCGTTGGGGAAGCCACCTCCGATTACTGGCACTGTGCTTGCGTGTGTGTGTGTGTGTGTGTGTGTGTGTGTGTGTGTGTGTGTGTGTTAGATGTTTCAGGCTATGGGGTCCCCTCAGGCAGAGGTCCAGTAGGGAGACAGGCCACACCCTTACCTGACCAGCCCTGTGGAGAGAGGCACACCCAGGTCCCACACCAGGCCACGAACCGGTGCCACTCACCCGTCTCAGTTTTCTGAGAGCATGAGCTCCTTCCTTTCTCAAGCGCTGGCCACAGATCCTGGCTGGGCATTCCCAAGCCATGGGCTGCAGCTCTGGAGCACCAGGACCTGCTTGTGGCTTCCTCTTCTGGACTCGTGGGGTTGGGTTCCAAGTGTGCTGGGGTATCCAAAGGGCTCTCAGGCTGCCAGAATGCACTCAGGTGGAGCAAAGCACCCAGCTTGGGCAGCAGAGGCTGCACTGTGTGCACACTCCGGTGGGGTGGCCAGGCAACGCTGCCCTGGGAAGGGTTGGCGAGCAGGTGGACCTGCAAGACACACATGCCCCAGTCCCACAAGAAAGCCAGCCTTGCTTTCTCCCCATTGGGTGTTTAGCTTGGGCCAGAGCCTCTCAGATGAGATGGGGAGCCCTAGGGGATAGGTGCCTATGGCCAGATTCCTGTGCACAAAAGTTCCTGGCTCTGGACCTGCTTGTATTAGTCCCTTCTCATGCTGCTATAAAGAACTGCCTGAGACTGGGTAGTTTATAAAGGAAAGAGGTTTAATTGATTCAAAGTTCTGCAGGCTGGGGAGGCCTCAGGGAACTTACAGTCATGGTGGAAGGGGAAGCAAACACATTCTTCTTCATATGGTGGCAAGAAGAAGAAGTGCCGAGCAAAGGGGGAAAAGTCCCTTATAAAACCATCAGATCTCGTGAGAACTCACTCACTATCACGAGAACAAAATGGAGGTAACCGCCCCTATGATTCAGTTATCTCCCACTGGGTCCCTCCTATGACATGCGGAGACTATGGGCACTATACTTAAAGATGAGATTTGGGTGGGGGCACAGCCAAACCAAATCACTGCTAAAGCCCTGTCTCTGCCTAAGCCCCAAGGAAATCCCCCTGCCAGCTCAAATGTCTGTGGTTGGTGTGGGGTTCCCTGCAGCTAGGATCCCAGAGGTCCATGGCAAGAGCAGTCATTCCCCCAGTCCCTTCACACATTCCTTCCTCAAGAGCCATTCAGGGCTAGAAACCAGCCCCAGTGTTCAGGTGCTCCATGTGGAGTTTCCAGCTTCCACCCTCTTTAGCCTCTGTATCTGAGTCTTTTTTCCATCCACATTTGGCATTTTCTCTCTGAAGATCTCTTCAAATTATGTTGGTTTAGTCAAAAACCCGGTCTCTCTCTCAGCAGGAGCAGCACTTCCTGGCTGCATCTAGTAGGCCATCTTGAAACAAACAAACAAACACCTATTTTTTTTCTTTACTTGTGAACTCAGGCAAATCTATGCTCTGAAGTCAGTTACAGCTACAGAAAGATGTGCACGTAGTGTCATTGCCTGAAAAGTATTGGATAGACCTGGCTGAATTCTCATTTCTGGCATTCTCAGACTGTGTGGCTTTTGTCAAGCTCTTCACTGTCTTAATCTCAGTGTCCTCATCTGTAAAATGGGGCTCACAATAGTGCCTACTTCATATAGGTGCCTTAAGAACTGAATTAGGTAAAGTGCCTAGCATGGTTAAGAGTAGCACTGTCCAATGGAACTCTCTGTAATAATGGAAATGCTCTAGGGCTCTTCTGTCCAATATATAGCCACCAACCACATGTAGCTATTAAGCACTTGAAATATGGCTAGTGAAACTAATGAGCTAAATTTTTAATTTAATTTAATTTACATTTACACTTAAATAGCCACATATAGCTACTAGCTACCATATTGGACAGTGCAGATCTAGATACAGAGCTAAATTCTCAATAAATGGAATGGTTTTATTATTGTGCAGATATTTTGCCTAAATTACAGATCTTCTAGCTTAAGGTCCTTACTTCCAATGACTGTGGACTGACTTTTTTCATGCATAGATTGATTTACTCTTGTCTGCCTTTCCTGACTTGTCTGTACTTAATCTTTTAATCACTGAATTATAGCACATATCAGTCTGCCTTCTGTGACCTGGCATCCTTGATGTTACAAAGCATACATCCTTGGATATGGAAATTGTATGACAATCGTGATAAATAGTTGAATTGTGGACTCAATGTTCTTTGCCTTCATATGACTTTTTCCAGAAGTTGCTTAATAGTTTCTATCAAAGGAAGGTGTTATAATTGTCTATCTCCCCAGTGGACACTCAGTAATGACAAGTTGTAAAAGGGCCCAATGGAGGCTTCAGGGAAAATCATACCATTTTTCTGTTTGAAATATATTTTTGGGTTTTTACATTCATGTCATGAGAAACTGATTTTTAAAAGTTTCTGGCTTGTAGTAGATATAGTGTATAGTACCTGAGAAGGGAATGAAAAGGTAAACAGGAGCCAGGAATCTGTCATTTGTTGATTTATTTGCTAATATCTCTATTCAGTCATCCATCCATCCATGCATTTAACACATACTTATTGAGTGTCTATTATGTGCTAGTCCCCAAGAAGCAAAAGGTAAGACTTTGTGACGGCTCTTAAAGAGCTCACAAATAAATGCGATGGAATAATATTACACACATTGGAGTGAGTGTTCCCCAATTTTTTCCTTTGCCCCAGCCAGTCAGAGAAGGCCTTGTACATGCCAATCCAATTGTCTCTGTCTTTTGAGGACAGTTTATTTCTCTTTTTTTTCTTTTCGTAGAGAACGGGGTCTTGCTATATTGCCCAGGCAGGTCTTGAACTCCTGAGCTCAAGCTATCCTTCTGCCTCTGCCCCCCTAAGAGCTGGGATTACAGGTGTGAGCCACCATGCCCAGCGAGGACAGTTTATTTCTGTTAGTACAGTTCCTATGATTTGGGGATACAGAATCAGAGAATGGGAAAAGGAAGACAAGACTGAAGAGAAAAGAAGGGAAGGACTTAGTCTATTGAGCTAAAAGTGTAAAGTCAATTTACAGATAAAATTTTGGGAGGAGGGAAGAATCGAGAAACACACAGTAAAAGCCACGGGTAGAGGGCAGAGTTCCCTAGCAAGGGGAGAGGGAGGTTGGTGAATGAGAGGTATAGAGTGTGAAGGGCAAGAAAAGTGGGGAGGAAAGAAAGATAGAAACCAAGAATATTCCCTTACCACTAACTTGAGAATTTTGATGGCATCCTAGTTCAAGTCTTTTGAGAGACTAAAGTAAATAATATAATTTTTATACTATTATTTCTGTGTGGTTTGACTATGCTTTCCATTACTTTGTGTTGGAGCTACAGGAATCACAGCTTTAATAGGGTTGCATATGTAAACCATTACAGCATAACATGCCAACCACTAAATGAAGTAAGCATAGGATTTTAGGGAAGTCTTCATCAAGGAGTAGATTGTTGAACTGAGTTTTAAAAGGTACGAAGTCAGTCAGGTAAGAAGGATGGTCTAGGGATCGGCAGGAAAGGGTATACCAGCATGTGCAACAATGTGGACATGTGACACAATGTGGTCTAGTCAAATAAGGGGCTTGGAATGGCTGATATGGGTGGTATCAGCCACCCATGAGGAAAGTAGAAAGAGATGAGACTGGAGAGGTTATAAGGGCCAGATCATGAATGGTCTTAATGTCATTGCTGAATCTTATTCTGTAAGCATAAATTGTATGCTGTAAACAACAGGGAGCCACTGAAGTGTTTTAAGCATGGGAATGGCACAATCAGATTTGTGGTTCAGAAAGATTTTTATGAATGCATGGTGAAAATTATCTTGGCTGCATATGAGAAGGGCAAGGCTGGAGGCAGAGAAAGTAATTATGAGACTTGAGCAATGCTGTAAATGAGAATTCTGTTTTGGACATATTCAAGTTTGTATGTCTTTGAGACACCAAAATAGATATATCTAGTACACTGTTGGGTATGTTGATAGAGATTTCTAGTGCTCACTCATATCTGGCTCTTCTAACCTTATGAGCACATTGGAGGATTGTACTTGAAATTAGATGAGGTCTTGTGACTTGTTCTAGCCAATTTGCTGTGAGTGAAAATAATATAAGTCACCTCTGGGCTAAAGCATTTATTTAGCAGTATAATTCTCCAGTCTGTCTTCCCCTGCTGTATTGACCAAAGAGGCTAAGTGTCCCATATGGTATAAGTACAGGATACTAGCACTTCCATCAGCCTGACTGCTGGAGGACAGTGTCTTGGAGTGTTACCCAGATTTAGATTTTATATACAGAATAAGTAGGAAGTGAACTTTTGTTTTGTTGAGTCAATAAGGTTTTGAATTTTTAAGACCAAATAGTAACTTATCCTAGTTTGATTAATACATGTCTGAATCTCAAGAGAGATATCTGAGCTATATGTGGAGATTTGGAATCACTGGTATATAGATGTAACTGAAGCCATGGAAATGTATGGGACTGCCCAGGGGTAATGGTATAATCAAAGAAAAATGGGCTGAGAATAAGAACGAGAACTCCAGATGCAAAGTGAAATGTAGAAGAAGATAACCCTATGAAGAATTAGAAAGAGAAGTCAGAGACATAGGAAGAAAGAGAAATGTGGTGCCATGGGAACAAAGTGAGGAGAAAATGTCCAGAAGGGTGGTTAGTAGAATCAAATGTAGCAGGAAGGTCAAGTCTGATTAAGTCCTGTGAAGCATGCAAATGATTTTTCAGGAAGGAGATGGCTAGAGGCTTTGGACATACTAGTCTTAGAGGAAGACTAACTGCAGACTCCAGGTTGCATTCAACTGGTGATTAGGAAGTAGGTATGAAAAGAAACTAAACATAGATAATTTATTTAGAAAGTTTAATTTCAAGTGGAGAGAAAGTGGGAGTTTGAGAAAAAAAGAAAGAAGGAGAGGGGAATAATGTTATTTCAATGGCTAGAGGAGGATGTAGGGAAGGATAAGTTGATGATACTGTGATTGTTGCTTATGCGGACATGTGGACCTTCTGGTATTGAGTTTGGGGCAGTAGTCCAGTGTGGCCGGGAGAGGTCCCCATGGTGAATGTTCTTGAACCAAGAGGGAGAGTTAGCAGCTGGGAGGAATTGGCATCTACAGAGTACTGTTCATTATCAAAAAGATGATCTTCACAAGGAAAAAAGATCTGCCTGCTACAGAAATGGAACCAAGGTTTAAGGCCCTGGGTTGGGGGTCAGCAAGTAGTGTCAAGAGTAAGCTCTCTTCACACAAAACCGAAGGGCCGCAGGGTTTCAAATTAGGACAAGTCAGCCTATGCAAGGGGGACTGGAAGAGTTGAAAGGCTGAAACAGCAAAGGCTAACAAACAGGAGCAAGGGGTGTGGCAGGAACCTAATTGAGGGTGCCTGAGTCAGAGAACAGAGCAAGAAGCAGGCCAGGTAGGGATGGGAAAGGTAAGTGATGAGTGACTCATTGGCAGGAGATTTTGAAGTAGAAGGTGTGCTCTCAGATCTTCTCTTTTTGGTTCTCAAGGTACTGACTCCAGATATTAGGGCAGAAGCTACAGGACAGAATATGTTTGGCATGCAGCAGGACTGTGGAAATTAGGGAGTCAGGTAAAGCTTTAGCTTTGACCACTAAATTATAATATTTCCCTCAAATGTTGAATATTATCAGAATAATAAACAATATACTATTGCTTTAAATTTCAGCCAAATTAATAATATAAATTTGGTAGATTTTCTGAATAGACTACCAGCTCCATGAGGGAATAGTTTTTGCCCACCTGGGTCACCACTGTGTCCTCACTGCTAGGAATATTATGTGGCTCCAAGTAGGAGTTTAACAAATGTCACATGAATCAGCAACATGGCTGAATCTCTTTAAAATTAAGAAAGGGAATTTGAGGAAGTAATGTCAAGATGGACCAACTGATGCTGAAGATATAGGTGAGGAACAAACAACTATAGCAAAGTCTTCAGAAGGATGCTGTGGAAGAAGGTAGAGTTTAAGATCAGAAAGAGGCAATGGTAGAGTCTTCTGGAACAGCTTAAGACTAGGAGCAGCAACAGCAGCCTAAAACAGGCTAGATAGAACGTGGAAAGGAAATGATGCAGCCAAAGCAGAAAGAAGTACCCAACATCCAGCCCTCTCCAATAAACTTTGCATATTTCAAGTACCATCATGGAACTGATGCAGCAGGATTGTAGGGCTTTTAAAAAGTAATCTCCTGTTGCCTAATTGCTCTGGATAAGACTTCCAGTACTATGATGAATAGGAGTGGTGACAGTGGACATCCTCTTGTCCCAGTTCTCAAGGGGAATGTTTCCAGCTTTTTCCCATTCAGTATGATGTTGGCTATTGGTTTGTAATAGGTGAGAATATAAATTAGTTCACTCACTGTGGAAAGCAGTTTGGAAATTTCTTGAAGAATTTAGAACTACCATTCAATCCAGAAATCTCATTATGGGGTATATACCCAAAGGAATATAAATCATTCTACCATAAAGACAAATGCATATGTATGGTCATAGCAGTACTATTCACAATAGTAAAGGCATGGAATCAACCTAAATGCCAATCAACAGTGGCTTGCATAAAGAAAATGATGGTTTCACTTGTAAGTGGGAGCTAAATGATGAGTGCACATGTGATATGGTTTGCCTGTATCACTGCCCAAAATCTCATCTTGAATTGTAATCCCCATAATTCCCGTGTGTCAAGAGTGGGATCAGGTGGAGGTAATTGGATCATGGGGGAGGTTTCCCCATGCTGTTCTTGTGAGAGTGAGTTTTCACAAGATCTGATGGTTTTATAAGCATATGGCATTTCCCCTATTTGTTCATTCTCCTTCCTGCCAGCTTGTGAAGAAGGTGCCTTGCTTCCCCTTCACTTTCTGCCATGATTGTGAGTTTCCTGAGGCCTCCACAGCCATGCTGAACTGTGAGTCAATTAAACCTCTTTTTGTTTATAAATTACCCAGTCTTGGGCAGTTCTTTATAACAGTGTGAAAATGAATGAATACAGTAAACTGACACTGAGGTAGTGGGGCACTGCCTTAAAGATACCCAAAAATGTGGGAGAGACTTCGGAACTGGGTAACAGGCAGAGGTTGGAACAGTTTGGAGGGCTCAGAAGAGGACAGGAAGACGTGGGAAAGTTTGGAACTTCCTAGAGTTGTTGAGTGGCTTTGACCAATATGCTGGTAGTGATATGGACAACGAAGTCTTGGTGGAGGTGATCTTGGATGGAGATGAGGAACTTGTTGGGAACTGGAAGAAAGGTGATTTTTGCTTTGTTTAAGCAAAAGGACTGGCAGCATTTTGCCTATGCCCTAGAGATCTGTGGAACTTTGAACTTGAGAGAGATGATTTAAGGTATCTGGCAGGATAAATTTCTAAACAGCAAGGTGTTCAAGAAGTTACCTGGGTGCTCTTAAAAGCATTCAGTTTTATGCATTCACAAAGAGATGGTTTGGAATTGCAACTTATGTTTAAAAGGGAAGCCAAGCATAAAAGCTTGGAAAATTTGCAGCCTAATGATGTGATAGAAAAGAAAAACCCATTTTCTGGGGAGAAATTCAAGCCAGCTGCAGAAATTTGCATAAGTAATGAGGAGCCAAATGTTAATGGTCAATACAATGGGGAAATGTCTCCAGGTCATGTCAGAGACCTTTGTGGCAGCCCCTCCCATCACAGGCCTGGAGGCCCAGGGCAGGAAAATGGTTTCCTGGGCCAGGCCCAGAGCTCTGTTCCTCTGTGCAAGAGCAGCCTTGGGACCTGGTGCTCTGCATCCCAACCTCTCTGGCTCCAGCCATGGCTAAAAGGAGCCAAGGTACAGTTCAGGCCATTGCTTCAGAGGGTGCAAGCCTCGAGCCTTGGCAGCTTTCACATGGTTTTGGGCCTGAGCGTGTGCAGAAGACAAGAACTGAGCTTTGGAAACCTCTTCCTAAATTTCAGAGGATGTATAGAAATGGCTGGATGTGTAGGCAGAAGTCTGCTGAAGGGGCAGAGCCCTTGTGGAGAACCTCTGCTAGGGCAGTGTGGGAGGGAAATGTGGGGTCAGAGTGCCCATACAGAGTCCTCAGGGGGGCACTGCCTAGTGGAACTGTGAGAAGAGGGCTACCATCCTCTAGACCCCAGAATGGTAGATCCACAGACAGCTTGCACCGTGTGCCTGGAAAAGCCACAGACACTCAAGGCCAGCCCCTGAAAGCAGCCGGGAGGAGGGCTATATCCTGCAAAGCCACAGGGCGGAGCTGCCCAAGGCCGTGGGAGCACACCTCTTTCCTGAGGGTGACTTGGATGTGAGATGTAGAGTCAAAGGAGATCATTTTGGAGCTTTAAGATTTGACTACCTCTCTGGATTTTGGACTTGCACGGGGCCTGTAGCCCCTTCATTTTGGCCAATTTCTCCCATTTGGAATGAGTGTATTTACCCAATACCTGGGCCCTCATTGTATCTAGGAAGTAACTAACTTGCTTTTGATTTTACGGGTTCATAGGTGGAAGGGACTTGCCTTGTCTGAGATGAGACTTTGGATTTGGACTTTTGGGTTAATGCTGGAATGAGTTAAGACTTTGGGGGACTGTTGGAAAGGCACTACTGTGTTTTAAAATGTGAGGACAAGACATTTTGGAGGGGCCAGGGGTAGAATGATATGGTTTGCTTGTGTCCCCAACTAAAATATTATCTTGTATTCTAATCCCCATAATCCCCACATGTCAAAAGCAGGACCAGGTGGAGGTAATTAGATCATGGGAGCGGTTTCCCTCATGCTGTTCTGGTGACAGTGAGTGAGTTCTCATGAGATCTGATGGTTTTGTAAGCATCTGGCAGTTGCACCCTCACTCTCTTGATCTTCTGCCTTGTGAAGAAGGTGCCTTGCTTCCCCTTTGTCTTCTGCTATGATTATGAGTTTCCTGATGCCTCCCCAGTCATGCTGAACTGTGAGTCAATTAAACTTCTTTCCTTTGGAGATTGCGCAGTCTCAGGCAGTGCTTTATAACAGTGTGAAAACAGCCTAATACAACATGGAAACACAGAAAGGAACAATAGACACTGGGGTCTACTTGAGGGTGCAGAGTGAGAGGAGGGTGAGGATTGTAAACACATATTGGACATTATGGTTGTTACCTGAGTGATGAAATAATATGTACACCAAACCCCCATGACATGGAATTTATCTATAGAACCTACCTGCACATGTACCCCTGAAACTAAAAAGTTAATTAATTAATTAATTAAAAAATAATCTCCTGGAACTTTGGAGTTGGTGTTCTTAAGGAAGAGCACTCTCCAGTGAGAAGTCTTATACTGAGGAGAAAAGGTACCAACTTGTGTTGACGAATGAGTGGCTGCACACTAGTGGCTATCCAGCAACCAAAGAGGATCATATCAATATTAGCTACTGCCTTTGATGTGTCAAGCCTTTACACACATTATTTCTAATTCTCTCAGCAATCCTCCAAGATGAGTGTCATTATCCCTGTTATGCAGCTGGAGAAACGGAGGCTCAGAAGGAATAAATGTCTTGCCTAAGGTCCCGTACTCAGAACTGGTAGAGCTTGGGCTCTCAAATACAGCACTGTGCTCCTGCCTTATATCCAGACAGTTGTCCCTCCAAGAAGGAATAGAAATAGCTGGAATCACCTCATGTATTTACCTTATACAGATTTCTGGGGATTAGCAATCCAAATGTATGGTTATAATTGTCATGAACTTCTACTCCCTTTTGAAGACACACAGGTCTTATGTGGTGATTCAGAGGATGTGGGAGCAAATACTATATTAAAACCTCATGACCCCAAGGAAGCCTTTCCTAACCTTTTGTCCCTACACAGTGGGGAACACCAGTGCCACATAGCATGTAGATAAAAGTGAAAAAAGCACCATAAAGAGAAAACTCCGTGCATTCACTTCATACAGTTGAGGATTGAATGAGCTAATATATGTGAAGCATTTTGAATAGTGCCTGGCACATAGTAAGCCCCCATAAATGTTAGCTGTTCTTGTGGCCATCATTGTGATAATCATCATTATCATCATGATTATTATCATTATCACCTTGGCTAACTAAGCACAGTGAACGAGGCTATACTTTAAGTATTTTTTTTAATTGGCATCTCCAGCAGGGTTCTTAATTGTCAGTAGCAGAGGCTTCTGTGAAAAAGTAAGGAAATGTCTTTGGTAATGTGAGGAAAGCAGTGAAAACAATGGCACCACACCCAATGAGAAGTGGTGGAGTGAAACAGTGGAGAACTCTGGGCAGAGAGTGAGGACATCTCATGGTCTTGATCCTGGCTCTGCACTAGGAACTCCAGTCCTCTTGGCAAAAGTTTCAACCTCTGTGAACCTCAGTTACTTCTGTAAATTGGAAATATTTATTCAGCATTATCTCTGCCCTTTGCAACTATATGTTACAATTACACTGTATATAGATCACAGCAAGCTGGATTAGATAGCCAAATCTGGCACACTCCTTATGCTTGAAACTAAGGCACTGTGAGAGACTGCCAAAATAATCTAAATTATTGATTAAAGAAGCCGATTTTGTCAAAGGGCCTGAGGAGAATCAAACTGAAAAAAAAAACAACTAATTATGATGTATTACATTTTTAAAATGTTTTCTAAGTGGAATAATATTTTGTATAACCTTTTGGGACTGGCTTTTTTTCACTAACCATAATGCCCTGAAGTTTCATCCAAGATGTGTGTATTGCTGAGTAGTATTCGATGGTATGGATGGACCATAGTTTTTAAAATCCATTTACTTACTAAAGGATATCTGGGGTTTTCAGTTTTGGGCTATTACAAGTAAAGCTGCTATGAACAGATTTTTGTGTGAACTTAAATTTTCACTTCTTTGGGGTAAATTCCCAAGGGTACAATTGCTAGGCTATGTGGTACCTGGATGTTTAATCTTATAAGACACTGCCACTCTTTTTTCCAGAGTGGCTGTATCATATTACATTTCTACCATCAGTGAATTGTATAAGTGATCCAGCTTCTCCGCACCCTTGCCAGTATTTGGTGTTGTCACTATTTTTTATTTTGGCTATTCTGATATCTCATTATGGTTTTAATTTGCATTTCCCTTGTGGCAAATAATTTTGAATACCTTTTTATGTGTTTGTTATATATAAGCCTTATTTCCTGAAATGTCTCTTTATGTCTTTACCCATTTATATATCCTGAAGAACAGCTTCGTGGCTGCTAGGGGTTAGGGATGGAGGTGTGGGGGAAGGGGATGAAGGAGAAAAATGGGTATGTTTAGAAATGGACAGAACAAAAGATCCTTGGGTTATGGAACTGTTCTATATCTTGATTGTAGTGGTAGTCACATAAACCTACAAGGTGATAAAAATGCATAGAACTAAATACACACAAGTGCACACTAGCACAAATGAGTACAAGTAAAACTGGGTAAATATAGATAGCTGGATTGTATTAATATCAATATCCTGGCTGTAACATTTTGCCATAGTTTTGCAAAACATTACCATTGGGGGAAACTGGGCAAAAGATACATGAAATTTCTCTGTATTGTTTATTACAACTGCATGTGAGTCTACAATTATATCAATAAGAATTCAATGAAAAAAAGTAACTGGAGACAGTATCTGTGTTAAATGCCTTGCTCTTTTTTCCCATAAGACATCACCCTCTTACTAAAGACTGGTAGATAGATAATTCAGTATGTTGTGGATATTTAACACAGCCTATATAGATGTAGTGATGATAGGCCCAAGCAGAGTACAGATAACCATCTGTAATGGATCAGGGAATCTTAGGCACCATCAGTGATGAATTAATCATGCAATTTGTTTAAGCTGTGTGATATGGTTTGGATTTGTGTCCCCGCCCAAATCTCATGTTGAATTGTAATCCCCAGTGTTGGAGGAGGGGCCTGGTGGGAGGTGATTGGATCATGGGGGCAGATTTCCACCTTGCTATTCTTGTGATAGTGAGTTCTCATGACATCTGGTTGTTTGAAACTGTGTAGCACCTCCCCCTTTGCTCTATTCCTCCTGCACTGGTCATGTAACACGTGCCTCTTTCCTCTTCGCCTTCCGCTATGATTGTAAGTTTCCTGAGACCTCCCCAGCCATGCTTCCTGTACAGCCTGTGGAACCATGAGCCAATTAAACCTCTTTTCTTCATAAATTACCCAATCTCAGGTAGTTCTTTACGGTAATGCGAGAATGGATTAATACACTTTATCTAACATAGCTTTATGTGTGCAAAGCCCATGTCTGCATATGTTACTTATTTATTGCCTACCTATACACTACTGTGTGCTCAATAAATGTTTACTAGATCAACAAATAAATTAATGAATTGATGAACAAATATTGTCCCAGAGAAACTTGTCAAATGCAATGAGAACTTGCAGAGGACAATGGAGCATGGGATTAGGAATTACAATGATACCAAGGTTGTCTGTGGCCAAGATAACTAGGTTTCATTTTTTATGTATTATAAAAGTAATATATACTCATTGCAGGCAATGTGAAAAACACAAAAAGCATAAAACTATGCATAAATAATTTAATATTTTGGCTGCACACAGTGGCTTACACCTGTAATACCAGCACTTTGGGAGGCCAAGGTGGGTGGATCCCTTGAGGCCGGGAGTTTGAGACCAGCCTGGCCAACATGGTGAGACTATGTCTCTACTGAAAATACAAAAATTAGCCAGGTGTGGTGGCACATGCCGGTAGCCTCAGCTACTTGGGAGGCTGAGGCAGGAGAATCACTTGAATCCCAGAGCGGAGGTTGCAGTGAGCCAAGATTGTGCCACTGCACTCCAGCCTGGGTGACAGAGCTAGACTCTGTCTCAAATAAATTAATAATAATTTAATATTTTAACCACTAGGAGATACTCACTAATGCCTTGGCCAATTTCATTTTAGTATAATGTATCTATATCACACACACACGTATGCACACAAACACACAGAAACACACATTTTCTCTTTCATGAATTGCTGTACCTGTCCTTAATCTATTTTTCCATTAGGGTCATAGCATTTTCCTTTCAATTTGTATTAGCTCTTTATGTATTGGGGTAATAATCTTTTGCCACACTTATTACTAATAGTTCTCTAGTTTATTATTTGCTTTTTACATTTTATTTATGATTTTCAGCATTCAGGAGTGTTAGATTTGCATGCAGCCAATGTGTAGCTCTTTCTCTCAAAGAGGCAGTGCAGTGAGGAGTGTCACTTTCAGGTGGAAACTGGACTCTGTCAAATGCTAACAGGGGGACCCTGAGCCACTTATCTTCTCTCTCTATGACTAAGTTTTATTGCCTGCAAAATGTGGATAATGATACCTACATTATTGTTTGTGAGGACTAGAAATAATGTCTTCATTGGTAACATGAGGAAAATAATAATTTCTACTTGATAACTTTGATATGAAGATTAAATGAGATAATGCATATAAAAAAGTTAACATAGTACCTGGGATGCAGTAAGTGCTCAGTGTTAGTTATTATTCCTTTACTGCACTTATCTATAGGGATTCTTTTTCATTCAGCAGAAAATACTCATCTGTATTTCCCATATGTATATTACAATTGCCTCTTTGATCCACTTGGAATTTGTTTTGGAATGAGACTCTAGTTCTGCTACATGAAGCACTTTCCCTACACAATTTATCAAAGAAAAGTTTTTGGTTAATTGAAAAGAGGCCCTAGCTTCTTAGTCAGTTTTGAGAATCTGATAATTTTTTCAAATGTTGCTGCTGCTGTTTGTCGGAGCAGATGCATCTGAATCTGGTGTGGGTACAGGTTTGTGATGAGGCCTTCATAATGTCAATTTCCTACAACATATCTCCATAAAATGGTTGTAAATGGTACAATGTTTATTTTTTATTCAGAATTGTTTCATAAGCATTTTGGGCTTGGCTAAGCTAGAACCCTGCAACATCAGAATAGTGTGGGGGCTTGTTAGAAATGCAGAATCTCAGGCCCTGCTGCAGATCTTCTGAATCCCGATCTGCATTTTAATCAGAGCCCATGAAAGTCTGAGAAATACTAAGCTAGATCATACTTAAGTATATGTATATAATATGTATATATACTTAACATATAAATATAATATATTAATACATATATAATGTATACTTAATATTAAGTATACATTAAGTATACGTTATATATAATATGTATATATGTATGTATTAATATAAAGTATACTTTATATATAATATGTATATATCGTATATATGTATGTATATACACATACATATTTTTTTCTTGCAAAGTAATGGATGTTCATTGTGTAATATTTGGAAATTTTAGTAAAGTTCAAAGAAATAAAAATTATATAAATTCCAATCACCTAGAGATACATTGCATATATTATATATTCTAATATATGATATATTATAACATAGAATATAACCACTTGTGAATATTATGGATTTTTTCTAGAATTTTATTCAGGATTTCATTTTTTTACTTTGGCATTATAGTATATGTATTTTTGTATATCCAGATTATTACCTGACATTTCCACACATACTAAATTTTTTTTTTTTTGAGACGGAGTTTTGCTTTTGTTGCCCAGGCTGGAGTGCAATGTGATAATCACAGCTCACCGCAACCTGTGCCTCCTGGGTTCAAGTGATTCTCCCGCCTCATCCTCCCGAGTAGCTAGCATTACAGGCATGCACCACCACGCCCGGCTAATTTTGTATTTTTAGTAGAGATGGGGTTTTTCCATGTTGGTCAGGCTGGTCTCGAACTCCCGACCTCAGGTGATCTGCCTGCCTTGGTCTCCCAAAGTGATGGGAATACAGGCGTGAGCCACCACACTGGCAATATTTTTCAAAATCATAGTTTTTATTGGCTGCATGATAATCCACCATAGGGATAAAGCTTAGGCATAACTCCACTGTTAAATAGTCAGATTATTTCTAACTCATTGCTAGTATGGTGTGAACATTTTTGCACATGCATTTTAAACAAATATCTGATTAACTCCCAAAGATACGTTCCTACAGGATTAAAGAGTAAGAATTATTTTGGGAATCTTGATGTATGTGGCCTAATTATAGCAACAATCTCCCTTTCACAGCAGTATACAAACATGCTTACTTTGGTATCTTTTCTGGGCAGTATTTTTTCCTAATTCTTCATGTTGAATTAATTATAGATTTATGGCATGTTGGAACGGTAGTAATAGAATCTCTTGAGCCCTTCATCCAATCTCCGCAATGGTGCAATCTGAGACAACTGTAGTACAATAGCAGAGCTAAGAAACTGATATTAGTGCAGTACAATTGAACTACAGACCTTATTTGTATTTCACCAGTTTTTATATACACTATGTGTGTGTGTGTGTGCATGTACGTGTACACACATGTCTAGCTCTAGGCCATTTGATTCATCCATAAATTTGTGCAATCACCATCACAATCATGACACAAAACTGTTCTGTCTCCACAAAGGAACTCCCCTGTGCTACCCCTTTATATTCACATCCATCTCCTACCCTAGTCTCTGTCCCCTGGCAACCACTAGTCTGTTCTCCATTTTTATGGTTTTGTCATTTAAAAGATATTATATAAATGCAATCATATAGTATGTAATCTTTTGAAATTTACTTTTTATTCACTCAGAATGATGCACCTGAGTACCATTCAAATTGATGCATGTATCAAAAATTTCACTCCTTTTTGTTGCTGGGTAGTATTCCATTGCAGAAATGTACCAGAGTTTGTACCAGGGATATTTTAGTTGCTTTCAGTTTTCAAGTACTATGAATAAAGCTGCCATGAAAATTCATGTACAGGTTTTTATGTGGATGTAAGTTTTTATTTCTCTGAGATAAATGCCCAAGAGTGCAATTGCTGGGTTGTGTGGTAAGTGATTACGTAGTTTTGTCATACTCTTCTGGAGTGGCTGTATCATTTTACTTTCCCACCAGCAATGTATGAATGATTCCACTTCCACGTTCTCTCAAGCATTTGGTGATGTCACTACTTTTATTTTGGCCATTCTGATAGGTAGTTAATGATGTCTCATAGTTTCAGTGTGTATTTTCCTGATGGCTAATATTGAGCATATCTTCATGTGCTTATTTGTCATCATAGCTTCTCTTTGGCAAAATGTCTATTCATGTCTTTTGCACAATTTCTAGTTATATCATTTTCTTTTTACTTTTGAGAGTCCTTTATATACTCTGTTTAAGGTATGGAGTCTATTTACCAGTGCTGTACCAATTTAAATCTCCTGGTTTTGATTTGGTAGTACAGTTATATAAGATGGCATCATTCGTAGTAAATTTATATGTCAATCCAGTGGAGACTAAGATAAGAGTTCAAGGACTCTGCTATTAAAGTGATTATCTTTTTCAGATATGGGTTTTGCAAGTATTTTCTCCCAGTTGTTAAGCTGATTTTCATCCTCTTAACACTGTCTTTCACAGAGCAAAAGTTTCGACATGGTTTAGTGAAAAGAATAGATGAGAAGTAGCAAGTGGAATGTGGACAGATACAAAGGAGCACCACTGCTTACCAGCTTAACGGAGAGCTCTTTGTAGTCTCTGGAAGCAGATATGAAAACATTTCGTGTCACCTTAGTGGTGTTACACTGATCTCCTCCTCCCTACTCTGGCCCCATCTCCTGCGTCTGGCTGCAGGACCCACTACATTGTGATTCCTACCTTTGGCAGGAAATAGATAAAGGGCCCCTGCCACAGAAGGACTTTGACTTCTTATCCAGCTCCATTATTTCTCTTGGCTATTTTTCAGTCTCTTGGAGTATCAGCCTTCTGCCCTGCATCTTGCCTCTAGCAGCCTGGTTTCCCAGCCTCTCCTTGAGTGCTTGCACTAGGTCAATGACCATTCTCCTGCATGAGCCTCCTCTTGTCACGGCTTCTAACACACATGCTCTGTGGTAACTGCTAGCCTGAAGAAAAATCACAAAAAATTTTGTTACAAGTAGTTGCACAGACTAATAAAATAGCCATTTTAATGCTGGAGAACTGAGGCTGGGCAAAATGTCAAGATCATGTTTCAATCTATTTGAAGGCAGAAGATGAGGATGGCACTTATGCCCCACCTATTAGTGACCAGGGATGAAAATACAACAGCTGCATAGACAAGGCACTACACCTTGTAGAGTCCTGCCCTTCTGTACTTGAGAGAATACAAAATATATGAGAAAGACAAGAGTATAAAGGGGAGAGAATATTCATATTTATTCTTTCAGAGTTCAGGTATCATGAACCATATCCAAATCCAATCTGCTTTTGTTTGATGTACGTGATTAATCTTACAGATAAACATGTGTTGATTAGAGGAAATGGCATTCCTCTTGTTTGTCTTCCAATTCCAGACTTAAGATCATTTTGTGAATCTAAGAAATTTTTCATGAGCACCAACGGTGTGCTGGAGCTAGCTCATACCTTCTTGCAAGAACTCATTATGCACATCTCTTCCCAGCTCTGTGTTAAGTGAAATAAAGTTGCTAACTTGAAATCAGTCATGGTGGAAATATTTACACCATAAAACCAGCAAACACTACAAATCAGAACTTACTTTCCTTTCTTTTGGGGAACTAGTTGTTCAACATCTACTCATATACCACTGGGTGCCTACCATTGGCTGTTGTGTAGACTCCGGGAGATAAGAGATAATCCTCTCTCAGGCACCTCACAGTCTGGGAATTACAATCCCCTTTTGGAAACCAAACCTCTTCTGTCAGCTCCTCTGTTCAGTAGTCTCACCCTGGCTAATCCTTTCTTCCTCTCCCTTTTTTATTTTTTATTTTTTTTGAGACAGAGTCTCACTCTGTTGCCAGGCTGGAGTGCAGTGGCGTGATGTCGGCTCACTGCAAACTCTGCCTCCCGGGTTCAAGCGATTCTCCTGCCTCAGCCTCCCAAGTAGCTGGGACTACAGGCATGCACCACCATGCCCAGCTAATTTCTGTAGTTTTAGTAGAGATGGGGTTTCACCGTGTTGGCCAGGATGGTCTCGATCTCTTGACTTCGTGATCTGCCTGCTTCGGCCTCCCAAAGTGCTGGGATTACAGGCGTGAGCCACTGGGCCCGGGCCCTCTCCCTTTCTTTTCAGCCCTTCCTTTTTGCTTTTTGGGAACTCCCATTTCATTCTTACGCAGTTTTTTTATCATCTCAATACTTTTCCCAACCACCTTCAACATTTCCTTGCCTTCATTGAAGGTTGGATTTTTGAGGGCAGCCTTTTTTTGTGGCTCTCTCAAATGGAACATGCTCAATATCCCATGTCCTCAGCCTCTAAGGGACCCCAGGGAGGAGCTACCATTCTGTTGGCATTCTGTGGCTGTTTCCAGACCATTACTGCAATACTTTTATTTAATATCTCCTCTTTCTACAGGATCTAGTCAGACTATCCCTCCTTCATTAACCCAAAGAGGGAACACAATAGAAGGAGCAGGTTTGGGAAGAAAGAATTTGACAGGGGTGGTACTGGTGGAACATCTAGGTGGAAGATGTCCAGCCAGATATTGGACATGCAGCTACCAAGGATCTTTGTAAGCAAGCAACTTTGTTGAAATTTCCTCAGATTCATATGGGGGATTTATTTCTTCCTATATCTTTTCTACCCTCAGGACTGGATAAGGAAAAAATTACC